>NC_000015.10:42064752-42367783 GCF_000001405.40 Homo sapiens | reverse complement strand
CTATTTCACTGTCTTTTGGGTCACAGCCAGAGAAAATATATTACATTTGCACCTGGAAACATTCTAGTTAGAAATAAGGATGAGTGTTCAGACTGTGAAAGTTACAAGCTGTAGGTTACTCAAGGAGATGGAGCCATCCTTTTCTCTTTAAAACCTTTATATCAGGAAAGAAAGCCATCCATCTGGAAAGGCTGAAAGTAGTTCCCATTTTTGGTCCTATATCTCTGGGGTATTTTAAAAATAGCAGCTTTTATACTATATTTCTGGTGTTCTGGAGTATATAATACACTTCTGAAAGTTCTGATGGTGATTGTTTAAACTTGAAGATTGAATGAAAATGGAAAAGTACGTGTCAGCTCCTCTTCAGCAGAATGCCACCCAGTGTTAGCTGAGGCACCAGGCTTCCTTGTGAATTGTCTTGAACACCACTCCATAGCCTCTGAGAGGGCAGAGCCTCCTCACTCCCACCACAGTTCAGCCGGTTCCTAGCAGCTCCTTTCTGTGTGCTTCTCTCTCCCCACACTCCTGTGCTTTCCACACTCTGAGTGTTGGCTCACCCCTGCTTGTGTAAACCAAAATAGGAACCTCCACCCTCTACCAAGTCACTTGCCTCAGAAGTTTCACAAGCACTCGGAAAGAATTCTGTGAGGGAGGCCGGGTGCAGAGCCTCATGCCTATAATCCCAGCACTTTGGGAGGCTGAGGCGGTGGATCACTGGGGTCAGGAGTTTGAGACCAGCCTAGTCAATATGGTGAAACCCCATCTCTACTAAAAATACAAAAATTAGCCAGGCATGGTGGCGCATGCCTGTAGTCCCAGCAACTAGAGAGGCCAAGGTGGGAGGATTGGTTGAACCTGGGAGGTGGAGGTTGCAGTGAGCTGAGCTGGAGACACTGCACTCCAGCCTGGGCAACAGAGCGAGACCCTGTCTCAAAAAAAAAAAGAAAAAAAAAAAGAAAAAAAAGAATTCTGTGAGGGTCGGGTCGTGGAGAGGAAGAACACCAGGTTAGGGGTCGTCACAAGCCCTGTTGCTTCCTCCACTCCATTTTCCTTTCAGTTCTAGCTCTCCTCCCTCTTGTAAGTAAACGGGCAGGTGTTTTTCTTTCTTTTCTTCCTCGAAAACAATCATACTTAATTCTCCTTCCCCCACCCCAGAGATTATTGTAATTCTGTAATTATAATAATCTTTCTGATTTTTTCTTACAGGTTTTCCTCGAGAAGAGAGAAGATGTTTCTGCCATGTTAAGGGTTCAGAAAGTGAGCACATTTGGCGAAATAAATTTAAAGACTTGACAATAATTCCACAGTAGTAAGAAGATCTACCCTGAAGAATGTCATACTTTTTTTTCTCCTGGTGTAACAGCCCTGGCACAAGGAAGAAGTTGGTTCTGCCTGGATGATGAGGACCTTGGGAAGGGGCAAGAGACCAGGTCATACAGAAAGCAGCAAAAACCAGCCGGTGTGGCTGGGTCCATGTCGATAGACAGCACGGAAGAAAGAAAGAGCCTGGGAAAAGGAATAGGTTGGGGATGGCAGGGTTGTGAGTTAGATGGGAAGGGACTCTTTGTCTTATTTTTCCATTCTGAATGCTTTTCTCCCTCACGTTTTACATTTCACAATTTCCCTCACATTTCTGAATTTCTCTCACATCTCTGAAACTGTGATGCAACTTACATTAGAAAGCTTCCTTCTACTGCACTCAGCTGGGTGATGGTCATGACCTTCCATGGACACCCTCTGATAAGATCAAGAAAGTACTAGTATTGAGAATCTTCTAGACTTGGGAAAATAAGGTTCATGATGAATTATAGCTTGGGAAACTTATCTAAACTCTATTCTTAAAATAAGCCTAATTCAAGAGATTTCTGTGTACCAGAATACAAGGAATAAAGTCATCTATTCAGAGGACTAAGAGGCTGCTGCCGTCTGTCTGGGAAAGAGGTGTCCACAGGTCCAGGTGTTGGTGGAGGGCACTAGCTGGCCCCAGGAGTGAAGAAGAGCAGGGCTAAGGGTGAGGTTGGACTACTGGGCAAAGCACAGATGGATATGGGTATGATAGTAATACCTGGCAGGAAGAAAGGCAAACACCAGAGAAATGTGGCTGAAGTAGAGACCCAGCTCTGAGCTGGGAACGGGTGGGGCCCTGTAATGACAGAGAGGTGGGGACAGGAGTTGAGGGAAAGAGGTGAGGGGAAAAGGTGAGGGGAAAAGACCCATAGCTGGAGCTCCAGCCACCATCAGCAAGTGAGAAGGCACTGGATCTGGAGTTAAGTGGGAAGGTGGCAAGCTCCCCCAACTCCCAACAGCAAATAGAGGAGAGAGCTAAGCAGAAGGTTGCGATGAGAAACTGCAAGGCCCAGCTATCAGCCCAAGGAGCTTGGAGGACAGTGGAGGAAGGGAGAACGGATTTCCTAGGGAAGGAGCTGGAGGTTAAGCTGGAGGTGGCTGTATATCAATGATGCAGTTTTGACTCCGATTCAGGGCTGTGAACTGGAGGCCCAACCAGAAATAACCTCTCCTAGCAGAGCCAAGAAACACTGAGACCATGCTGATGGAGGGAAGTTTAACCTGAAGTCTGGGTTAATCCAGCTGCTAAATACGGTGGGCCCTTCCTTCTCCAAGCTCTAGGTTAGGGTGGGTCTGGAATAACATGGAATTTACAGAAAGGTGACTCCACCTAGCACCAGAGACAGGAGGAGCCCAGGAACCTCATTGTTGTCAGGGTCCACTGCTGGAAGCCCTGGCCAGCTGAGCTGATGGTGCAGGGCAGGGCCCTGTGGAGCAATTCTGGGATCCCATGTTACCAAGGGTGAGGAGAGGACCAGATACCTTTTCATCACAAGGTCCTGCAACTGGCCCTTCACTTCTCATCCCTCCAAAAGAAGCAGGGATCTAGGTTGCCCCTGCTTTGGGAATTGCAGGAGATGAGAGAGAAGAAGCTTAAGAACTCTCCACCTGGCATGACTGAGGCACATGCAGATGGGAAAAACGAAGCCCTTGCTCAGCAAGTTGGTCTCAGTGAGCCTTTAAAGCCAATCACTGGGCAAGGTGCCAAGTTTCCCAGCCAAGTGTGATCCCTCTTTTGTAGTCTCCTTCCTGGCTCTATGATACACTCAGATTTTCACAACCAAATGTACATTTTATATTTGATGTAGATAACTAGAATTGCCCTAAAGGACAAGCAGTCCCCTGCCCATGAGGGGAGCATTCACACACACATCCTCATGCTGAGATGGATGGATGCATTTAGACCAGGCATGAAGTACTCAAACACATTGCTGTAGCTAATATCTTGACTGGTCATAGGCACAAATTAAGCTGGAAAAATGTTTATGATGTTGCCACTTTTAAGAGACTGCATAGCTGCTTGTAGGCAGTAATAAGAGTAGTCTATGTTTACTGAGCACTCAACCATGTGCTGGTCTTAAGCCTTTAGCCTGCATTAACTCATTTAATCCTCAATTAATTAAGAGATGGGTTCTTCAATTATGGTTTTTCTCCATTTTTCACATGGAGAACCTGTGGCAAAATGAGGGTAAGTATGTGACCAAGATTACCTAAGTGTTAGGTAGCAGGCCCAGACTTGAACTTAGGTTATCTGACCTCAGAGCCTGGGCTCTTAGCCACTGTGCCATTCCATCTCCAACTTATAGAGGCTGATGCTTTCAGGGGCAACCCCTGGGGTGTCACTCAATGCCTGTTGTGTCTTGAGGAGGCCCAATAAATGACACCTTACTTCCATGCATGAGTTTTGAGCCAATAAAGGAATACTACAAAAGTGCAGGGCAGGTGGGAGTCCAAAATCCCACATTTATTGTTTAATAAAAATGGATATTGACATCTAAATCTCAGAATTAGATAGATTTGGGGCTCTAGAGCCAGATTGTGTGGGTTTAAATCCCAGCTCCAACCCTCACTAACTGGGAGATCTGGCGCGAGTTATTTAATCCCTCTGAGACTCAGTTCCCTCCTTTGTAAAGTGGGACAATAATGGTACTTCCTCACAGGATTGTTGTGAAGATTAAATGAATTAACATATGGAAAGCATTTAGTTACTGGCATGTGGTGAGTTCTCACTCAAGATTAGCGATTATCTTTACTGTTAACCACACATTACCAGGTGGCCCAGGGACTCCTGCATGACTCCCCATGGGGACTTGCCTCCAGAAAACTTACTGCAAGGAGGGCAGAGAGCAGAAGCCATGCTTCTTGCAGGCAGCTTGCTTCCCAGAGAAAGACAGAAGCCAAGAACTGGGCTTTACAGGTCAAGTTCTCTTTACAAACCCACCATGGGAAGGAGACAGGCCAGGAGTGTGGTGCAATTGAACCTTCCACCCCATGGAATGAAACACGACCTGCCCTCCCATCCCCAACCTATCCCTAGTATATTGGGCACCAGCATCCCAGAAGCCCTGTTCTAGAACCCATTCTATTCTGCCCTGGGATCTGTCATCAAGAAAACTTGCCTTAACAGTTGAGAAGTGTTGAATAATTTGTTTGCTTTCTGATCCTAGAAATAGATCATATAAGGAAAGTCTAGAGGAACCAGATTGTTTGCCCTGGAAACTCAATGCATGATGTTCCCGAGTAGAGGAAGAAAGTCTGTGAGGTAGCACTGGTGAGTAAGAGAAGAGATTACAGGTGAGCTGGGAACAGTCGGCCAGAGCCTGTTTTCTTTTAAGAGGGAAAGGCTGAAAGTGCAGCATGCTATTTTAACTAGAATTATAGTTGGCCAGGAATAATTCTCCCTTTATCATTATTATCATTATCACTGTAATTATAATAAATAATACTTGATGGTCGAAAAAAAATTCAGATTGGTTTCCAAAGGTTCTGTGCCTTAGACAGTAAAAGCAGGAAGGCCTTTACTCACCTGTGTGGTGCTTCTCCTGATAGGACACAGTCTTTTCAGACTGCATAGGGCTGGCAAAGGTCACTACATCTGAAGAAGTTTATGGAGAACTGATGTCTCCAAGAAGTGCTTTACAGTCAGAAAGTTCTGGAGTCATTTCAGTTTTTCAGTTCCAAGTCAACTTGTGTGGCTGTAGATAAGTCATTTGCCCTTTCTGGGCCTTAATCACCTATAAAGCAAGGACACTGGAGCACCTCTCCAAGAATCATTCCAACTCTGACCATCTCTAATTTTATATTTCTCATTTATGCTAGTGAACCCAATGGGCAGTGTTCCTGTGATCTTAACCCCAGGGGAACATGTGGGCATTTTATCCAAGAGTGGCCTTTGTTATCTGGTCCTTTAGTGACTCAAACAGTGGAAAATCCAGGATCTTTGTTGTTGGTGATGGTGGTGGTGGGGGCACAATTTAGAACAGACAAGTCTTCTGCACCCCTCATTTCAAACATGGACACTGCCCAATCTAGTACCTAGAGCATAACAGGCCCTTAAAGAATTTTTATTAATTTGTAAGTCTCGCTTGAAGACTCAAGTCCACCAATGATTTCACTGAAAACAGTATTTGTAGGTTTTAATTTTCCCCATTCTGAGAAAGAGCTTTTATTTTTTTAAACTTTTTTTATAGAGATAGGGTCTCACTATGTTGCCCAGGCTGGTCTCCAACTCCTGAGCTCAATTGATGCTCCCACCTCTGCCTCCCAAAGTGCTAGGATTACAGGCATGAGCCTCCATGTCTGGCCCAAGAAAGGGCTTTTAGGAACTCCCTGCCTGGGAACGCAGGCCTATCCTGTCTCACTGGTCAAGGCCCTTGGGCGTGGGTTTTCACTCACCAGCATCAGCTGAGTACCCACTATGGGACTGGCCTGAGCTTGGTGAGGGGGCCTCAAAGATGAACAGGAAGGATTTCTGCTCTCAGTGAGAGGAAATCAGTCATGAGAAAGATTGAAGGAAGTGACACCTGAGCAGAGGTTCAGATAGGAACAAAAAAGGCATGTCAGGCAGACAGACAGCATGAGCAAAGGCCTCCGGTGTGAGAAGACTTGGAACTACAGAGCAGCTAAATGTCCAAGCACTGCTGGTGTGTCAGGATCTGGGGAAAGAGGATGGACATGGGCCTGGACAGGTAGGCAGGGACCAGCTGAGAAGGGCCTATGGCTTGGCTAAGGAGTTTGGACTTGTCCTGAAGGCAGTGGGGGCCGAGAGAGGGATGTCACTGAAGATATTTCAGCAGGGGGTTGTGACATGTCCAACTACTCTGATAGCAGAGTAGTGTTATCTTCTAAACTGAAGGCCTTCAGGACAGTTATGGGCCTTACCATAGAACCAAGAAGAGCCCCTATGGAATATACAGGGTTGTCTAGTACTCCACCTCAGGTTTGTTGTTGTTATTGTTGTTGTTTGAGACTGGGTCTCACTCCTGTCACCCAGCCTGGAGTGCAGTGGCATGATCTCGGCTCACTGCTGCCTCAACTCCCCGAGTTCAAGTGATCTTCCCACCTCAGCCTCTGAGTAGCTAGGACCACAGGCATGTGCCACCATGCCTGGATAATTTTTTGAATTTTTAGTACAAAAGAGATAGGTTTTCACCCTGTTGCCCAGGCTGGTCTCTAACTCTTGGGCTCAAGCAATCCTCCAGCCTGGGCCTTCCAAAATGCTGGGTTTATAGGCATGAGCCACCATGCCTGGCCCACCTTAGGTTAAAGAAAACCATGGCTAATCAATAGTATTGGGTCTCAGCTTGTCATCATTTCCTCAGAGAGGGTTTGTCTCCCTGGACCAGGTTAGCTCTCCTTGCCACATGATCCTGTGGCACCCAGAACATCGTCTCCTGACAATGTCACTCTTGTTCAATGCCCATCTTCCCTTCAGGACCCTAGGTTCCAAGACAGCTGGAATTTTGGTCTTTCTTACTCACTGCTGTCCCCCCAGTTGCTTGCCCAGTGCTGGCACTAGTAGATGCTCAATAAATATTTCTCGAATTAAGAACAAGAGTCACACTGGAGGGATGATCAGAGAGGTGAGCCAGGGGAATGTGATTTCCCTCCTGGCGATCACTGTAAATGAAACCCAGAGGCTGGGAGAGTTTCCTAAAACAGAAAGTTTTAATCCGGGCTCTGTCATGTGCCCACTAGATATATTTCACTCTAGTGTGCCTTGACTCCTCACTTATGAGGTGAGGTAGGTGGACAAAAGCGATTGCTAGGTCTCTCTCTCTTTAACCCCAACATTTTATGCATGAAAAAATATTCCTTGCCTATGACTCTTCTCTTTCTAGGGTTTCTGTGTTTCAGAAAGATATGGCCATTGGTAAATTAAAGAAGAATAACATCATGATTTTAGCCAGAGAAACTGAAATAATCTTACAAAGATGAATAATATTTAAAACGAACAGGTACATCTGGGCTGTCTGGAATTTGTTCTGAGAAAGGAATATTTATTTTTACAGGATGAATTAAACTGAGTTCCACCCACTTTTATAAAAAGCAAGATTTTTTTTTTTTTTTCAGAGAGAAAGAGCCAGAGCATAAGAATCAGCCCCACCTCCTGCGCTCTCCCTCTGGATTTTGCTGAGATTTGGTGAAATATCTGAGACCTGTTCCTCTCCTCCCTGCTTCACACTTAAAGACAGAGCCCAGCAGAGCTGCTGCCAGGATCCTTCCCCCAGTGCCCATGTGCACAGCTGAGCTGCCGGAGGTGCTGAGTGAGAGGACTCCTCCGTGGGGGGAAAACCCAGCCAGCAAGCAGGAAGCTACTCACCGGAGGTCTCTTCCAGACGAACTGGATGGGGAACTTCTGGCTATAAAAGAGAGAGGTCTCATCCGGTGGGAACTCAGGGTCCACATAAAGAACTTTCTTTTCTAGACATTTCTTGTGAAGTTGCTCGAATGTCTTCTCTTTCACTCCGATAATAGGAAAATTGCGGCTGATGATGGCTGAATAGATGCCACTTGGGTTTCCACCCCCAGCCTCAGTGGCCTTGCTCTGGGCCGGGTGAGGAACTGGCCCTGGGGACCGGGGCTCAGCCGCTGTCCTTGGAGCCACAGATGCGCTAATGACGGTCGGCATGGCAAGTGGCTTTGGAAGAAAAAGCTTTTTAAAGAAAATAAGATACAGCTACCTTCAAGGAAAGGAAGCAACTGCAAAGGGGAAGTTGGAGTAATTCTGTCATCTGAGAGAAAAGTGTCCACATCCAGTTCAAAGTTGAAAGCCCATCAGAAGGTCGTACAGGTTATGTCCATCTTAAAAACCGAGCTGTGATTCTGAAGCCATAAGTTCTCCTGAGAAATGAGTGCTAAAGGATTTCTGAAGCAATGTTGACTTGGGGGTCTCCTACCAGCAGCATGCATGCCAGAGGGAGAGAGAAAGAGAGTGAGGGTTGTGTTTCAGTGGCCTGAAGATGCTTGAGCCAGGAAAACTAAAAATAGATGTGAAGAAACACTGTGAGTATGAGAGCAAGAGAGACTGCATGGTAGAGAGAGAACCTGGCTAGGGACATTTCTGTTGCCATGAAGTGCTGGTGTTGCCAGAAAATGAAAAGGGAGTATCTGAGTAAGGTGAACACTGGAAAGAAGCTGAGAACTGCTGACATGTTATTGAGTAGGCAGTTATACAGACCACCCAACTACTGGCCATCAAATGAATGGAAAACAATATTGCAAAAAAGCTAGTTAGGGTGAACGGGAGGTACTGAATTCTACAAAAATATTCTGTGAATTTTAGAGAACATGATTTTTAGTCCTAAAATTTTAGGATATCAGAACATTATTCAATGTTAGATTTGGTATCTTTTTTAGAATGTTCTTGGGTCAGCGCTCATTGGAAATGTCTGCATGGAAAATGCTACTCAGCAGAGTCCTCATTTGAGAAAATCCCTGTCTCTACCTGCACACTTGACCTTGCCACCTCTTGTCTCTCCCCATCCACAAAATGAACACTGGGACTGAATCTGCTAAAAAGTGGTCCTGCTGGGCCATGTGGCTCACGTCTCTAATCTCTGCACTTTGGGAGGCCGAGGCGGGTGGATCACATGAGGTCAGGAGTTCGAGACCAGCATGGCCAACAATAGTGAAACCCTGTCTCTACTAAAAATACAAAAATAAGCCGGGTGTGGCGGCGGGTGCCTGTAATCCCAGCTACTTGGGAGGCTGAGACAGAAGAATTGCTTGAACCCAGGAGGCAGAGGTTGTAGTGAACCCAGATCACGCCACTGCACTCCAGCCCAGGTGACAGAAAGAGACTCCGTCTTAAAAAAAAAAAAAAGTGCACCTGAGCAGAGAAAATCCTCACTTAACATCATCGATAGGTTCTCGTAAGCTGTGACTTTAAGCAAAATGATGTACTGTATAGTGAAACCAGGCTAACTGATATAAACAAGAGTTAAGTCCCTACAGCACACGGTATGTTTTCGTTAAAGTCACAGTTTACAAGCACCTATCAATGATGTTAAGTGAGGACTTACTGTACAGGTTATATGTTGACTCATTCAGCCATGCCACATTAGGCATCTGAGACAGAAGTTGGAATTAGATACTGAACCAGACTGTCTGTCAACTCCTGGGATGTCACACCTGGTTTCAGGGCTCTTAGATGAGAGCATAAGTGGCTCTGGGGAAGGGAAGTGCCTGCCTGGCCTCCACCTTGTCTTCTACCCACAATAGCTGCTCCCTGGGCTGTAAGGAGATGAGCACATTTCAAGTATGGCAGAGTGGAGGCATGTCCTAGGCTGCAGTCATGCCTGTTCCCATGCGACCAGTCTCAATAATCCAAGATTAGAGGCTATGGAAGAAGGTGGGAAGTGACAGGTAAAATAGGGAGTACTATCAGCCTCCTGATCCCTGGGATTGCGGCTTTGAAGGACTCTATGTCTGGGCTTGCAGGAACCATCAGCCTAGCCATCTGTCCCTCCAAGAAAATGCCCAGGGCTTTTTACTAGTCTTGGAGAGGCAGAATAGAGGACAGTGGTCTCTGGTGACTGACCACCTCGGTTCAAAGTCTAGGTTGGCCCCTTATTGGCTGTGCCTGTGTAACTTTAGGTGAGTTATTTCTTCCTTTCTGTCTCAGATTTCTCACCTATAAAATAGGTACAATTACAGTCATTCTGTTATTAGGTTTTGGTAACAATTAAATAATTTATGTAATACATTTTACACAGTGCCAGGATTTTCTTAAGCACTCAATAAATGGTGTTGTTAGAGAAGACCTGAATTTAATATTACTTTGGAGTTAGATCAGGTCGAATGCTACATTTACTCGCTGACGCAAATCAGCATCCACTCAATGGGCATTAACTGAATATCTGCTATGTGGACAGCACAGGAATAGGTATAATCTGCCCAGGCTCATGTGGTATGCAGCATCTCCAATCAGAAGCTGGCCTATCTGCCTGCAACAAAAAGACTGACTTCCACCCTCAAAGTCACCAGTGGCATAGACAGCAAAGGTGGGGTTTCTTTCCCCCACTGTCATAAGTTTGGGTCCCAGCCTAGCATTCTATCCCACCCTGAAATTCAGAGCACTGACCCACACTGTATTGTTTTTGCTTATTTAACTTCCCGTTTGCCCATAAGACCGTGGAGCTGGGAAGTGGGTTCCCATTTCCCTCTCAGGTTTAGAAGGCCCTTAATAAATGCGTGTTATATATCTGGTGAATGAAATTTTCCTATGCAAAGAGAAATTTCTTACACTTCTGGCTTTGCCAGTGCAATCAAAGTTTCTCTGCTGATCTGCTCCAGGCGAAGGAGCTGTCTTGGGCCGCATACCCACTGAGCTTTCTTTCCTCAGCTGTCTCAGCCAGCACCATCTGTGAGTAACTAACAGAAGTGTGTGACACCAGCGAGCCTCTTGTCAGAGCAGGGTGGGCATATCAAACACAGAAAGGGCAAGGTGCCATTCATTTTGCTCTGTCAGTTGTTGTGGATAAAACATTCTCTCAGATGAACAGGTCCAAACTCAAGGTTTATTCAATGGCACAGCTGTGGAAACCAATGCTATCAGGGAGAAGTCCAACTCGAGCCCATGAACAAAGGGCAGATAATGAACACATAAACAACTGCACATTTCAATTCCCAGAAGCCCCTTCAAGGATAAAGAACTAGTTTTTATAACATATTTCACCCACGGTCATGTAATATCTGTGGCTGGAATGGTTTCTGCTGCACAGCATTGCCAACTAATGGCTCTGTCTTTTCCACCAAGAAGCATTTCTTTGATTACTAACACTATTGGAAGCAATGTCTTTGCTTATCATTATAATACCTCTCATTCATTAAGTGCCTACTGGGAGCTAGCCACTTCACAGAGACCTTTAAAAAACTTTTTATTTTAAAATAATTTTAGACTTACAAAAGACTTGCAAAGACTTACAAAAGAGTTGCAAAGATAGTGTCCTCCAGTCTCTGATCATTCCACAGTCTTTGTCTCTCATGACCGTGACACTTTTGAAGAGTACTTGTCAGGTTTTTGTAGAATGACCCTAAATTTGGGTTTCTCTGATATTTTTCACATGATTAGACTGAGGTTATGGATTTAGGGGAAGACTGTCACAGATGTGACATGGCTACCTCCTCAAACCATATTTGGGGGCACATGATATTGATAGGTTTTATTACAGGTGATGTCAACTTTGATCACTTGCCTAAAGTGATGTTTACTGGGTTTCTCCCTGGTAATGTTACTATTTTTCCCTTTCTGTACACATAAGATATTTTAAATTTGTAGAAAAACTCTGCAAGTTTCACTAAGTCCATTTTACAACTGAGGAAACTTGAGATATCTGCTGTATTTTGACAGTTAAGTATCAGAAAACTCACAAAATTTTAGAGATTATCTCTCTTTTTTTTTTTTTAGATGGAGTCTCTCTCTGTCACCAGGCTGGAGTGCACTGGTGCAATCTTAGCTCACTGCAACTTCCGCCTCCCGGGTTCAAGCGATTCTCCTGCCTCAGTCTCCTGAACAGCTGAGATTACAGGCATGTGCCACCATGCCCTGCTAATTTTTGTTATTTTTAGTAGAGATGGGGCTTCACCATGTTGGCCAGGTTGGTCTCGAACTCCTGAACTCAAGTGAACCCCCTGCCTCGGCCTCCCAAAGTGCTGGGATTACAGGCGTAAGCCACTGCACCCAGGCTAGAGATTATCTCTTTTCTTTAACAAAGCCCAGAGAGGTCAAATGCCATGGCCAAGATCACTCAGCCAGTTCACTGTAGAAGCAAACTAGACTCCAGGTCTCTTGATTTCCTTGGAAGTAAATGCTTGACTAAGATTTAATTGATGTGAATTAGGTATAAGATCTCTGTATCCTTGCATGTAAATAGTCAGGCTCCCCTTTCCCTGGCTCTGATTGGACAGCAATCTAATACCGTCGGCCTGGGTGGAAACAACTGTCAAGAAGCAGCTGTTGCACTTTGGGAGGCAGAGGCAGGTGGATTACATGAGGTCAGGAGTTCGAGGTCAGCCTGGCCAACATGGTGAAAACCTTTCTCTACTAAAAATACAAAAATTAGCTGGGCCTGGTGGAGCATGCCTGTAATCTCGGTTACTCAGGATGCTGAGGCAGAAGAATCGCTTGAACCCGGAAAGCAGAGGTTGCAGTTAGCCGAGATCGTGCCATTGCACTCCATCCTGGGTGACAGAGCAAGATTCTGTCTCAATAAAAAAAAAAAAAAAAAAAAAAAAAGCAGCAGCAGCTGTCTAATTCTGGCAAGTCTTCGTGTGGCACTATAGCCTTTAGCAAGGCTTGTCATGAGACAAGCAGATCTGATATAAGATGCCAATGTCTCTGCTATTTCTCCTAGAATGCTAGCTATATGGCCTCCATTGTCAGTGGCTAATATGATAGCCTGTTTCCAGTGGAGCTGCTGATGGCTTTCTACCCACTGGCCTGAGAAGTTATTTTAGTCTAGAGTAGCCCTTCGAGGGTTTGGTAGGTGGAAATCCTAGGAATCTCATTACTAAGGCTTTCAGGCAGAGTGGTTAATTAGCTAAAAACTATTCAACTCCCAGTGTTTATGTGCTTTGACTGTGTTTCTGCTGCTTATCATTTTGATGCCTTGATAGTGAAAAGGATGTGACAAAGTGAAGGAATTCTGCACACAGACCAAACTCCAGAATTGTATTTTTCTTAAAACCAAGAAAATTCTTCTATATGATCCTAATACAATGCTCAAAAGTAAAAAAATTACCATGTAATCAAAAGATCCCATTCCAATGTTGCCAACTGTTCCAACAGAGGAGGTAAGGCCAGGCACAGTGGCTCATGCCTATAGCCCCAGCCCTTTGGGAGGTCAAGGCAGGAGGATTGTTTGAGTCCGGGAGTTCAAGACTAGCCTGGGCAACATAGTGAGACCCCCACATATTTTTATTAAAATTAAAATATTTTTTATATTGTTGCCAGATTGCCACTCTGAAAGATTATACTTACATTTTTCTGTTGGGTAGTTTGTGTTTTTAAACTGATTTGCCAACTCATTCCTTGACATTTACATCTTGAAGGAAAGACACACTATGCATTCATTTTAGAGCTTTTTTAGGAACCCTGTTGAAATGAATAAAATTTCTTATATAAAATCCAGTTTCCTATGAAACCATATTAAGAATTAGCCACAAAAAAGTAACAATACCTGTAGGCCAACTCAGCCCCATGTTGCTCTCTGGTACACAAATTCAGAAATGGGAGGTAGGTAAAGTGTGAGAAGCAATAAGAGCAGAAAACCATTAAAAACACCCAGGCTGTCTCCACTTGTCTCTAGCCAAATGTTTCAATATAGATTTGGGTCAAAACAGAGCAGTTCCTCATTAACTTACTCTACTAGTTACTGCTCCATTCCTCCAATAATATTTTAAATGGAAGACTAGACGTGCAATAAATGTTGACCTAAAGATAGTTCTTATTCAACTGTAAATGCTATTAAAAACTATCATTTATATTAGGGAGGAGCACCCAGTCTTCTGGCTAAGTTTTATTTTAGGTTGGCAAGGGAAATTTGAAGATAGGCACCATGGCTTCAGCTAATATAAGCTTGCTCCTTTCTTCTCAACTGCAAAACTTACAGAAATAGGAGCAAAGAATCTGTGCAGGTCTCTGTGAGCTTACATATGGTGCAGAGCTCAAATCTCAACTCATACTATGAAATGTGTCCACAAGGAAATGCACAATGTTGATTGCCTTTGGGAAGAATCTTGTACCAGAAAAGCAAATCAGATGGAAATACATTCAATCGTAATTTTTTAATCAATTAAATCCACCAGCTAACTAATCACAGCTAACAGTTACTGAAAGTCAGGTATAATAGTGCTCTGTCAGACAGAAGAGAAACAGAACATGCTCTTGAGGGACATACAATCTAGTAGGAGAACGCAGACATACTGAAAACATTAAGGTATGATCCCTGAGAATGCTAAGTAGAGCACAGTTATAAGTGGGACAGCATTACGGGGAAGGGCAAAATCACTGCTAATGGGTATGGGGGTAGGGGTGTTCACGCAGTTAGGCTTCATGGGAAAGTGGGATTTAAGTTGGGCCTGGAAGGATGGTAAGGGCAGGAGGATATTGGCGCCCAGGGATCAGAAGGCACAGAGGTGGCCGTTAGCAAGTTGCTAAGTGGAGGAAGCCTGATAAGAAGAGGTGTGTGCTGAGGAGTGCTGAGGAGTCGAGGCTGCTAAAACAGATGCTGTGGCAGGCAGCAGGGAGCCACTGAGGTCTGTGGAGCCTTGGGCACCATGACACGACTGGTATGTTGTAATGTTCTGCCCCATGCCAAGCCATATTAGAGCCTGGGACAAAAGGAAAACTCAGTAATACTAATCCTGTCTTTATTTTAAATTTTAATATTTTGTTCATCATGGTTTTTTTTGCATTAATTCTGATTTTTAAAAATATTGGATTGAAATATTACTTACTTTGATTACTGTATTTTTTTGGCATCCCTTACATTTTGTGCCCAAGGCCAGGGTCTCCCTTGCCTCATCCTAGTCCCAGTCATGAGTTCTACTTCTGAAGTCCAGTGGTGGGTACATGGGTATTTATTTCATTGTTATTAATTATAGCTTACTCATGTTATAAATATTATTTGGTTAGTAAACAGCACTTAATTAAAAAAACAATGTAAAAGACATGGATTTTAAGATTAATTAGAAACTATTGAGCCTGAGAAGCATGAAAGAGAAAAGAATCCTTCGTGCTGCCAAGTCGATCTCTAGGGGAGAATAACTCCCACGGCTGCAGCGTATGCAGTGCACACAGAAGAGGGCTGCTCTGCCCAGTCCATGTGGGTGGAAGATAACTGGGGGGAGTACCAGAGGCTGCTGTCCACTTGGACACTGGCCTTGAGCAACTCAGCTGCTGCAGCCAGAGCGCCAATGCTGCATGGCCTGAGGCAAGCCCTGGCAAATGGGCTGCCCAGGTAGGCTTGGCCCACGTTAAAACAGACCCACGCAGCCCTGCTGAAGGAATGGAAGCAATAGAAGACTCCTGAACGCTATAAATGTCTCAGGGCTATGTATCAGGGAGAAAAGGAGATGTTTGATACAAGGAATATTGTTAGTACATCTTAACATGTAAAATCTGAAATTTTGAAACATGAAATCTATTGTTCATTAGTATAATGGTGACGAATGAAAGATTATTTTGATTCAGGGAAGGCAAACAGATTGCAGCAAAAATCTCAAAAAAGGTGAGGGGAAAGGTTGAAAGGGGCAGGCAGGTCCCTGCTCACATCACCAGGGGCAGTTCTTTGTCATATGATGCGGACCTCCCAGTCAGTGGCAATGTTGAGTGAGAGCTTCTCCAGGCTCAGGATGGATGTTTTGGCACAATACGTAAAAGCCACAGGCTGATCTTTACCATCTAAATAGCAAGACAATAAAAGAGGGAAATTTTGATGAATCTCTAGAAGGGAAAAGTCTTTTCTCCAAATCTGAAATGTTTTCTCACTGTATCATAAAACCTTATACCCCACTCCAAATTAATAGCACTTTTACCCATGAACTTCCATGAAGTTTTAGAAACGTGGAAAACTTCATTGTTTTGACCGCAAGATTGGTTGAAAAGAAACCGTAAGGAATGAATAAATTTGTCCAAGAACTTCAGGAAGCAAGGAAGGATATAAGTCCCATCCTGCCCTTTCATAAACTCCAAACACATGGGTAGGATTTTCCAGGTCTTCAGGCAGCTAT
Organism: Homo sapiens; assembly: GCF_000001405.40. Classification (NCBI taxonomy): domain Eukaryota; kingdom Metazoa; phylum Chordata; class Mammalia; order Primates; family Hominidae; genus Homo; species Homo sapiens. The sequence goes on along the minus strand of NC_000015.10, from coordinate 42,351,700 downwards.
AGTTTAAACAAATATTCAGAGAAGCTATGATATTATTTCAAGCCCCAAATAAGTTTCCTTAGAAAAACATTAAAAGTGAGCAGAAAGATCAATTCATGAAGAGAAGCAAGATGGCCTCATTTATTCTACAGACTAGTATATTTCACCTCTACCTGAAAGCACACACTCAGGCTCAGCATATTATCTCCGTTTGGGGACTAATCATCTCACTGCAGATACTTCTGTTTATAAAAACAAATGGTGAGGTAAGAATGGACTGCTTTCTCACCAGATGAGTGGGTAGTCACAGAAGATGGCTCCTTCCTGAAGCCTAAGACCAAGATCTTCTCCACCACACACTTGCTGGGATAATGACCCCTCTGGTCAGCAAAACTGGAATAGATACAAACAGTATTAAAAGGAGAGGGATGGGGGTTTGAAGTGGCCACCAGCTCAACATCTCCAGCCTTGTGAGTTCCTCTCCCATCTGTCCCTTGGAGGCATGATCCATATGGGAGTCATATTTACTAGGATGAAGAGATAATAAAAGACCCAGGCACGGTGGCTCACGCCTGTAATCCCAGCACTTTGGGAGGCCGAGGTGGGCAGATCACTTGAGGCCAGGAGTTCAACACCAGCCTGGGCAACATGGCAAAATCCTGTCTATACTAAAAATACAAAAATTAGCCAGGAGTGGTGGTGGGTGCCTGTAGTCCCAGCTACTTGGGAGGCTGAGACACGAGAATCCCCCGAACCTGGGAGATAGAGGTTGCAGTGAGCTGAGATCGCACCACTGTACTCCAGACTGGGTGATACAGTGAGACTCCATCTCAAAATAATAATAATAATAATAATAAAAGACGACTCGCTGGGCATGGTGGCTCATGCCTGTAATCCCAGCACTTTGGGAGGCCAACGTGGGCGGATCACTTGAGGTCAGGAGTTCGAGACCAGCCTGCCCAACATGACGAAACCCCGTCTCTACTAAAAAAATACAAAAAATTAGCCAGGCATGGTGGTGGGCATCTGTAATCCCAGCTACTCAGGAGGCTGAGGCAGGAGAATTGCTTGAACCCGGGAGGCTGAGGTTGCAGTGAGCTGAGATCATGCCACTGCACTCCAGCCTGGGCGACAAGAGCAAAACTCCGTCTCAAAAAAAAAAAAAAAAAAGACAACTCTGTGTACCAAGGAACAGCTAACTGGTGGCCAAATCAGGCTCTTTTTAACAAGTTATTTGAAAAATAACTGAAGAACACAAAAGTTACAAATGTGACTTGGATATTATAATCAAATTGTAATAAATCAGATATTTAGTGAGCTGGTGAATGGATGAATGAATGGAATTAGTGGGAACTTAAATTAAGTCCTTTTTCATTTTTTAGAAAGTCGGGGAGATGGGCGGAGTGGCTCACGCCTGTAATCCCAGCACTTTGGGAGGCCGAAGTGGGCAGATCACCTGAGGTCGGGAGTTCGAGACCAGGCTGACCAACATGGAGAAACCCTGTCTGTACTAAAAATACAAAATTAGCCAGGCGTGGTGGCGCATGCCTGTAATCCCAGCTACTTGGGAGGCTGAGGCAGGAGACTCGCTTGAACCTGGGAGGCAGAGGTTGCGGTGAGCCGAGATTGTGCCACTGCACTCCAGCCTGGGCAATAAGAGTGAAACTCCATCTCAAAAAAAAAAAAAAAAAAAAAAAAAGTGGGGGAAAGAAAGGTGAAGACAATAAGGGAGGATTGTTTATGGTAGAAAGGTTGAAAAATACTCCAGAAATGCGCCGGGCACGGTGGCTCACACCTGTAATCCCAGCACTTTGGGAGGCTGAGGTGGGTGGATCACCTGAGGTCAGGAGTTTGAGACCAGCCTAGCTAACATGGTGAAACCCCGTCTCTACTAAAAATACAAAAATTAGCCGGGTATGTTGGTGCATGCCTGTAGTTCCAGCTACTTGGGAGGCTGAGGCAGGAGAAATCACTTGAACCCAGGAGGTGGAGGTTGCAGTGAGCTGAGATCACGCCACTGCACTCTAGTCTGAGCGACAGAGTGAGTGAGACTCTGTCTCAAAAAAAAAGAAAAGAAAAGAAAAGAAAAAAATATTCCGGAAACGGCCTTCACCATTCATTTCTTTAAATAGTAACTTAAAACATACCTGTGCATTTGATTTGAGGATGCTGAACGGATAGTGTGATTTACTTAAGAAAACAAACAGTTTCTTTAGCTGCCATTACCTATTGATCAGAACACTGGAACAGAATGAAAACTTCCTGTGCAAAAATTGCTTCTGGTGGAGGTATTGGAATGAATGGCCATCATCAAGATATAACTCACCCACTGAAGAACCCTGGAGAATGAATCACAGAGACAGAATGTGCTTATATGATAGCTTTACAGGAAAAGAATGTCAGCTCCTAAAGGGTAACAACAGAGTAAAAAGTTTGTGAAAAATTCAAGCTATATAAAGTAGTCGTACAAATACCTAACATATTCAATAGCCAATCACTCCTGAGTAGATAGTAAAACAATAGGAAAGTCACATAAGAGGAGCACAAAGAGTTAGGCTTTGTTCAAAGAATTTAAACTGTGAAGTATGTTCAGTGGTATAAGTGGATTCCCTGAAAATACTCCACCAGAATGTGACAACAAGGCCAAGAAAGTTCATTGAATGACAACGATGTTAAAAAAAATTAATACATAATAGATGACATCAACTATCTTTAGAAGACCCTCCACTCAGAGAATGGTATCTGCTTCCTTTTTTTAAATTTATTTTTATTTTTAGTAGGAGGATATGGATCGCTAGTCTTTTGTATTTATTCTGGGGCCTCACATGGGTCTGGGACCCATAGTTTGGCCCAAGAAGACATGCCTAAGTGAAAAAGATAGGGGAAAAAAAACCCTACAACTGAATTATTTTATAATATTGATATCAATGCAAGTGAGTATTAATATAGTAAGAGTAAGGGTTGGTGTTTGGCCCTGTACTAGGTTTGAACAAATGGACAGGAGAGGAATCTGCTACAGGCCTCACTAGGCTTAAAAAATCTGAAAAGGACACATCACTTCTGGATCCTCCCAGGCTTTGCCCAAGGGGGTTTTAGTTGTTGGAGCTACCTGATAAGAAATCACTGGTTGGGACTGGGATCTCTGAAATGGTGCATAGACATGGGTACCGTTTTATGGGAGACTGGGTTTCAGGGCTAATCCACGTGGGAAGGCTGTCTATGGCCCAAAAAGCATTCACTCCAGTAGTAATCAACGTCAAGTTGAAGAGCACCAACACTCACAGTGCCCAAGAGGAACATTTCTGTCATTCCTAGATCTCAAAGGTTCCCTTAAGAACAATTCCAAGGAAGGCAGACAAGCTGAACAATGATTCAGAAATGATTCAAACCTTGATTTCTAGATAAATGTCAGGAGCTCACCACTTTTACGTAGTGTCACACACTCAAAAGGCTATCACTGTAAAGAAAGAGTAGAAACAAAATGAGTAACAGATTTACCAAATACCTTAGTGCTTAGAGCAACCCGGAGTCCATAGGAGGATTCAGTCATCCAGCCTGTGGATTTTCCTACAGTTGTCTTTATTGGTATCACACTTCCACCTCGCTGAAACACTGGAATCTGTAACAGAGCAGCACGCTCAGGGAAGCAGTATTCATATAAGAAAATTTCAAGGTAGAATTTAAAAATATTTCATTTTATAAAATTCACAGTCTACAAGTACGGATTTGTAGGCAAAATAAATTTTGGGGCACAGAGATGGCAAATATGGGGGTCCTGGCATTAAAAGGAAAAGAGCTCTAACGCTGAAGAATGGTCCACTTTTTAATTATTAGGGAAACTTCCCACCCTTCATTGGTTTGTTATCTATACCTGTCTTTGCTGTTTTTTCCTCTTAAGTGATGAATTCCTTTCTGCCCATCCTATAAGTGGCTTTTCCTATTTTGTATTTTAAATTTTCCTATCAGTGTAGTATATACATGCTTATTTCCAGAACCCTGCTGAAGAGTGAAGTTTTCTGTCTGTGTGAGTGGGCCCAGAAGTCTGTGTATGTGTGTATGTATAACTGATGGTGGTTTCTTGGTTTGGACAGATGACTTTTGTCCTCACTCACTGCAGCCTGTCCCCTCTTGCTCCCTGTTTGGATTACATGGATTACCTGGATGACTGACTCAATTCTGAGGGTAAATCTGTGAAACTGCTGCTCTTACATTAGAGACTACCAAGGGTACTTTAAGAGACCCTAACAACAGGCCCATAACTATGAGTCTTCTGGAATGGCACTCCAGGTAGCAATGCCAGGGTAGGTTTCCCACCTCCTATAAGGAAGCTGCCTGTGTCAGAGAAGGGCTTGTGCTTTGCTCTGACTCAAGAATGAGCATGCAGGAGAGTACAAGAACATACATGAAGTTGAGACTGAGGACTCAGTAGTTCAGATGTCCCACCTCTGCTTAACTTGCCTCGGCAGTGAGAAGTAAAGCACTTCCATCTCCCCACACATGCCCCTTCCTCACTGGCCAATCTCTCTCTTCTTTTTTTTTTTTTTTTTCAAAGAACAAGGCCATAAGTTAGAGTGAAATGGGTTCCAGAATGGGAGTCCAGCCCAAGGGAATGCACCTGGGGGCTTGTCTCAATTCTGCCACAAGTTTGCTGTGTTCCTGGACAAATAATTTAACTTCTCTGAATCTCAGGGTTTTTTACCTGTGTGAGGGATTAGAGTAGATAATTGTTAAGTTCTCTTCTAGATCTGAAAGTTGGTATCTGAAACTATTTTTTTAAATAATGGGGTTCATATTGCTGCTGATGGTTTACAAAATAATATCAGTATCTATTAATCTTCACACTACTTTGGGCCTGTAGTAGTGTGGCAGTGGTTGTAATTCAGGTGTAGAAAGAAAGTTCCCTTTAGAAACTCAAGATAGCCTGGATGGACCACTTTGATTTTAACATCATAACTGATGCATTCCCCTGGGCCCAGGATTACAACTGAAAACTCCTGTTTTTTGCCTTAATCCTGTAGAATGATATTCCAGATGGCACATATGGTGACTACCATGTTTTTTGTTTTCAGTGTTTTTGTTCTTCTTAGACACACAAATGTAAACATACGGGGAAGAGGTGTGTTTGTCTCTGATGTCTCATTCTGTGAAATCAGAGTAGATGTGATTTTTAACTTTTTTTCTCACATTTTACAGCTTTGATAGAATTCATATACCATACAACTCACCAATTTAAAGTATACAATTAAACAGTTTTCAGCATATTCAGAGTCATGCAACCATCACCACACTCAATTTTAAAGCATTTTCATCACCCCAAAAAGAAACCCTGGACCAGTTTACAGTCATTCCCCATGACTCCTTAACCCTCCTCTGCCCCAGCACTAGGCACCCCCGGACCTACCTTCTGTCTCTATGCATATGTGCTATTGTGCAGAACACTAGCATCCTTGGTTCTTTTTACAGAGGAACACATTATGGACTGAATGTTTGTATGTCCCCCAAATTCATATGCTGAATCCCCAAGCCTGAGATATTTGGAGATCAGGCCTTTATGGAGTTAACTAAGGTTAAAAATGTGGTCATAAGGATGGGGTCCTGAAACGACAGGAACAGTGTCCTTGTAAGAAGAAAACTGAGACAGCACCTTCTCTTTATCTCTCTCTGCCATGTGTAGGCACAGCAAGAAGGTAGCAGTCTATAGGCCAGGAAAAGATCTCTCACCAGGAACAGAATCGGCTGGCACCTTGATCTGGAACTTCCAGCCTCCAAAACTTCGAGAAAATAAGTTTCTGTTGGGTAAAACCACCCAGTCTGTGGTATTTTGTCATGGCAGCCCTAGCCGACCAATAGAGCATGATAGGTAAAAATAGTAGTCTGAAAATAACTTACAGTGTCCAAGGCTACTGGGATCTTTACAGTACACCCTCCTTCCCAATGAGCAAATGTCTTATAGTCATACCAGACCTAGAAAGTAACAGAGTCCAGTAAAAAAGAGTACATAAGCAACTCTGCTCACCATTTCATTAGTCAGCAAAATATCCACTTACCTGGATTTCAAATAACCAGAAAGCTAAAATAAATATAACTTAAAAAATATATTGGGTAGAAGTTAGGAAGAATACGTGCTTTTAGGAAGATCCCAAAAGACTATGGCTGATTAATTTAACTAAAAGGCCATTTGTTTTCTATTCATCCAAAAGCTACCGACTGAACAATCTACCATGTGCCCAGCACTGTGCCAGGTGCTGAATATACAAGACTGAACAGAAAAGACATAGTTCCTGTCCTCATGGATCTTATAGTCCATTTGGCTTATAAAAACTTAATGCTTCTAGTAGTGAAAGAGGTGATGGAGAAAAGAAAAAAAAACAACAAAGAAGACAAGCACATTGCAGGCAAATCAATTACAAAAGAGGCAGGAGAAAAGGAAGCATCAGAGAAGGAAACATATCTGGGAGGAAAAAAATGGAAACTTGAATTACTATTATAGTATCTTTTTTTTTTTTTTAAACAAAGCACAATTCAAAGATAAGGTTGTTATCTATCAAGGGGGTTTAGTTGCTGAAGTACCAATAAGGTCTCTAAAGTAATTTGATGGGATAAATTCTTAAGATATCATCAGAAGCAGAATGAAAGCAAACATCTTTTTCTTTCTTCTAGCTCAGTACACTTTCTGGCAGCCCTGGAGTCTATTTTGCAAGTTCACCTCCAGGGATTACCACATCCTTTATACGGCAGGTTTGTGAAGCAAGAGAAACAATCACAGAACAGTCCAGGAAATAGTGCTGAAGGAACATAATACACACTCACAACGACGTGTTTGGAATGATGATAGATCACGAATAAAACTCTGTGACTAAGTCGGAAAGGGAGCCAGTTCCTCTTAATGGGAACCCACCACTTTGCTGGAATCAACTTGAGAAATTCTCAGCAAAAATATCTGGCAGGGCATTTACTCAGCAGTTGTTGCATTTAACCTTTTCCTCAGGTTTCTACTTGGCAGGGGAACCTTAGTAAAGAGCCCTCATCTTCAGAACTCCAAATAACTGGAGAAACCAAGAGAATAGACCATAGTTCATGAACATTCTGGAGAGAAGCCTGGTTACTGTTCTGTCAATAATGACAAGCATAGCAGATGGAACCGTCGCCCCTCAAAAAGATGTACTCACGTCACAATCCCTGGAAGGAATGAATATTACCTTCTATGGTCACAGGTTTGATTAAGTTAAAGATCCTGAGACAAGGAGGTTATCCCAGATTATCCAGGTGGGCCTTCAATGTGACCACAAGTGTCCTTATAAGAGATAGACAGAGACACACAGAGGAAAAGGCAACATGAAGATAGGCGAGACTGCAGTGACGTGGCTACAAACCAAGGAAGCCCAGGGTTGCTGGCAACCTCCAGAAGCTAAGAGGGAGGCATGAACAGATTCTCCCTCAGGGCCTCCAGAAGAAACCAACCCTGATGACACCTTGATTTCAGACTTCAAGCCTCCAGAATTGTGAGAGAATAAAGTTTTGTTGTTTTAAACCACTAGGTTTGAGGTAATTTGTTACAGAAGCCTCAAGAAACTAAAAGAACAACCAAACATGTAAAGCTATGTTGAGGGAGAGCACGGCGCTGGATGTGGTTTCATGGGGTTGCCAGCCCAGCACCTGACAGTACTGAGCAGCAAGCGTGGCCTGGCTCAGCTACCTTGCCACTTGCCTTGACAGTCCATGACTATGTGGCCTGGCAGTCCCATGCCAGCTCCATACCTGCGTGGCTCTTCCCCTGCCTGCTGAACCCTGTGGCATGCTCCCGTGCTCAAGGATGCTCTCTAGGGTCTGTCTCCTTCCTGCTCTCCCTTCCACACCCTCCTCCCTTAGTCTGGTGACCTGAGTTTTGCTCCAGCTCTTCTCCTGGCCCTTCTGGATTTATCTGTGGCCTGTCTCTGAAGGCTGCTCTTATTACCCATGGCTCTCTGCCTGCAGACCGCTGGTATTCCCTCCTCTCCCCTGTGCCCTGCCTGGGTTCAGTGCCCTGGGCTCCAGCAGGTCTAGGATGATATTTTATACCTGGGACAGTAATTAGTGACAATAACTAATAAAAGAGCAGAGGAATGTGGGAGGGGAGTCACTATTTTTACTTTTTACCCACTTCAGTGAGTGTATTGAGACCAGCTTTTGGTACCAAAAACTCAGGCTTCAGATAGAGCCAGACCAAAGAGCAAAGTCACTTCATATCTGCTTTCCCCCAGAGTTTGATACCTCATAGCAGACTGAAGATTTCTTCCTACCCCAAGCCTCGGTGTGTTTATCAGGACTCACTTTTACTAGTCAAAGTGTGAAGACTAAAAATCATTCTGATCCTCCTTGGAATCCTCACCAATTCATCTTTCTCCCTCCTCTCCTCCATTAAGTTTCTTGACCTCTGAGGACAGTGGTCATGACTTATTATAATAATTACTTGCTATAGTCATCTGGGGTGTGTTCACAAACACATGATGAAGAAATCTCTTTCCTAAAAGAAAAGAAGGGATGAGAGATATGAGACATATCAGATATGTGGCTGTTATTACTCTTACCTCATTTGATCCTGGAAGAAACACATCAACTGTGGTGGCTTTTGGTTCTGTGACTGGATGAACCAATAATGCACTCCCTAAGTAATGGAGAGGAAATAAAGTTGAGTATCATTATAAGAGGTCTAAAAATCTCCTTTCTCTTTAACTGAGTGCTAGCTATCATGGTGTTACAGACCTCCCAGCTGTGAACTTTGGAGAGGCAGAGACTGACTTGAACCAATGATTTGTTAGAGAGATGCACTGATAGAAAGAGGGCAGGCGCTCAAAGAGGTGAGCTCAAAAAGGTCATCGCCTGTCATTAATGCACTCTGGGTATACTGAGATTATAGGAAGGGACTCTGACACAGTCCATCGGTCTCATTTTGTGTCTAACTGCTAATGTGTCAGTAGTCAAAGCACCCCCATTGCTCCTTTCCAAGTGCTTTACTGTTTGCTGTCAGTGAAGCTGAAGATGGGGAGCCCACAACTATTATCCAGAAGTGTGGTCAGTGTGGGTGCTCAGACCCTCTTGCTTGGAGTTATCATCAGAGAGGCTGCAGTTTTCTTTTTCTTTTTTTTTTTCCTTAGAGACAGGAGACAGGGTCTCACTCTGTTCCCCAAGTGGGAGTGCAGCAGTGCAATCACAGCTTACTGCAACCTCTAACTCCTGGGCTCATGTAATCCTCCAGCCTCAGCCTCTGAGTAGCTAGGATGACAGGTACACACCCAACGTGCCCAGCTAATTTTTAAATTTTTTGTAGAGACAGGGTCTTGCTATATTGCCCAGGCTAATCTCAAACTCCTCAATTTAAGCGATCTCATACTCGACCTCCCACAGTGTTGGGATTACAGGCATGAGCCACCATGCCTGGCCTCTAGTTTTCTTAAAGGCAATCTGGATTATTAAATTTGCTTTGACTTTGGCACAACACGTATGTAAAATTCACCCACTTACTACTTTGCTCTTTTATTCAATAAATACTTATTTCGAGTGCCTACTGCATGCCGGGCACCATGCTAGGCTCTGGGGATATAGTGGCCAATAAGACAAGCGTGGCTCCTGACCTTACGGAGTTTACAGTTAGTGAAAACAAATATTAAAAAATAATTACAAATTAATTAGAATTAAGACAAATACCAAAAGAGACCAAATTACAAAATGGAATGAAAGTTACATAATAAGAGGGGCTGATTTTTACTAGGTAGAATAAGGTATAAGGAAACCAGGAGTGGTCAGGGAAGTTTCTCCAAGGCAGTGACTATTAAACTGAGACCTAATGATGAGTGGAGACTTAAAAGAACTCAGAAACGGGGCTGGGCGTGGTAGCTCACACCTGTAATCCCAGCACTTTGGAAGGCCGAGGTGGGTGGATCACCTGAGGTCAGGAGTTCAAGATTAGCCTGGGCAGCAAGACGAAACCCCATCTCTACTAAAAATAGAAAAAATTAGCCAGGCATAGTGGCACATGCCTGTGATCCAGCTACTCGAGAGGCTGAGGTGGGAGGATTGCTTGAGCCCCGGAGGCAGAGGTTGCAGTGAGCCAAGATTACACCACTGCACTCCAGCCTGGGTGACAAAGTGAGGCTCCATTTAAAAAAAAAAAAAAATAGAACTCAGAAATGAGAGTCACCCTTTGGGGAACAGTATATTTAGCCTGGCTTCTTGAGCCCTGCTACTAAGCTGGTAAAATTCTATGTTCTGGATTTGATAGTTAATCTTTGTTAAAGAAGAGGTCAACCAAAGAAAAACCCTATTATTGCATATGAAATAAGCTCTTCTGGTTTTTTACTATCACCACCTGGGCTGTTTTTTTCTACTTCCCTTCCCCCAAGTGATCTCACAGGATTAGAGGAGTGAACCCAGAACAAGAATCCTAAACGACATCCACAAATAAGTCAGCAAGAACAATATTATGAGAAATGCTACATCACAACAGAATGGAGGTATGATCCTACTAATAATGCATTAGAAATCTTGGTGAAGGAATTTCCTATATTTTTATTTTTTGTCTTTCTTGGAATTAGGAACTTTTTTATTGCTCTTATATTAGAAAATATAATAAAAACGTAATTACACTTTTTATAATGACTGTAATTAATCAAGAAATGCTTGGCCAGGCCTAGTGGCTCACGCCTGTAATCCCAGCACTTTGGGAGGCCAAGGTGGGTGGATCATGAGGTCAGGAGTTCAAGACCAGCCTGGCCAAGATGATGAAACCCTGTCTCTACTAAAAATACAAAAATTAGCCGGGCATGGTGGCGGGCACCTGTAATCCCAGCTGCTCAGGAGGCTGAGGCAGACAATTTCTTGAAACCGGGAGGCGGAGGTTGCAGTGAGCCGAGATAGCATCACTGCACTCCAGCCTAGGTGACAGAGTGAGACTCCGTCTCAAAAAAAAAAAAAAAAACAGAAATGCTCACCCAGCATGTATTCATCTTCCATATCAAAAGTCTTTAGTTCATCAGGGAACTCTACCCACAGAGGCCTGGGGAAAGAAAAAAAATTATTGTTTTAACATTATAGACATCTTATTGCAATCAATCACTTATATTTTTAGTTTTTTTTTTTTTTTTAGATGGATCTCACTTTGTTGCCCAGGCTGGAATGCCGTGGTGCTATCTTGGCTCACTGCAGTTTCCGCCTCTTGGGTTCAACCGATTCTCCTGCCTCGGTCTCCCAAGTAGCTGGGATTACAGGCACACACCACCACGCCCAGCTAATTTTTGTATTTTTAGAGACAGGGTTTCATCATATTGGTCAGGCTGGTCTCGAACTCCAGACCTCAGATGATCCTCCCAAAGTGCTGGGATTACAGGTGTGAGCCACCAAGCCTGGCCTATTTTCAGTTTTATAACTATTCAAAGGAAATGGGAACGTGCCAAAGAGCCAAGACTCTTTTTCATATGATTCAAGCCTAAGCCTGGCAAAATAAGTTATTCTTCATGAGAAGATACTGATAGGTTAAATACTGAATGAATTTTATTACAAAGCCACTTCCTTTTTCTTTGAAATATCTCTATTCTGTCTCCTATCAAATATTCATACTTTAGTCACAAAGCAGTAGCAGTTTTTATCTTCTGTGTCCCCAACAGCCAGCACCCTGTTCACCGCGCTGCTCAATAAGCTTATTGAAACTTGATTAAACATGTAGCTTTTCTTCACCTTTCTCTTGAAATCACTGTAATTATTGCATTCTTTAATCACTGAGATCTTCTATTACAGATTGGTTGCTGGGGTCCCTGAATGGATGAAGCTTTTTTACCTCATGACAGGTTGGGAAGCCACGTGTGCATGGTAGAACAGAGAATACCAATATGGCAGGAGGCCATAGCGCTCTCTGATGGCTTCTCGGATGAGTCGGGTGTGTTCCTCCCCAAAGAGCCAGGGCTCTCGTCGCTTGGTGTTCATGGTGGCATGGCCACGGAAGAAGGGCTGGTAGGCTCCAGCCTGGTACCAACGCACTAGCAGCTCTGTCTCTGGATTCCCAATGAACCCGCCTATGTCAGCTGGAAGCAAAAGAAGGCCAAGTGAGGCAACCAAGCTTTGGATAAATGATGCACACAGGGAAATTAAGGTCTTGAAGACCGACAGGAGAAAAGTGCAGTATATGCACTTCAAATGACAGGATAAAGCCGTGGCCTCAAACAGGTGACCCCCTTACTACATAATTCAGCCTGTTTGGGGATCTGACAATGGGCTCTTAGAATATTACTTTCTTGTCGAAAGGTCAGAGGCTTTATTTCAAGATCAATATTCCTGTATGTTCCCCAAACCAGATAACCCAGACACTGAAAAATGTCTGCCTGATTAAATAACTGTGTGTGTGTGTGTGTGTGTGTGTGTGTGTGTGTGTGTGTGTGTGTGTGTGTTGGAGGGGGGTGGTTGGCAACTGATTTCCTTTGGAAGCAACAGCTGAACTAAGATAAAAACAGAAAGAACTGAAGAGAAGCAGATAATCAGAAGTAGAGGTTCTGATTATCAGAATAGAATTCCATGCTGGGCCACTGAGTGGTATATACATATTCCTTGTATTGTACATGGACCAATGCAATAAAAACACATGCATCAAAAGAATGATATTAATTTGCTTCTACTCCTACAGGAAACAAAGAGCAGCTGGAACTGCAGCCATCTTGAGCCCCCTCCATATTGAGATCGCTCATCTACAGAGAATTCTTAGGATGCAGGGAAGATAGTCCATTGGAAAATCTTATTTTAACTAAATTCATCTTTCTCAAGAGCATATGTTTTTGTTTTAGTACAGTTAAAATATGCCACAGAATTTTAAATCTGCTGAGTAAAAAGAATTTCTGTAAGGCTGACTTTCTGATTTGCTAAATTCCTTGTAGTTCTATTTTTCTCACTTTCAAGAAGAAAAGATAGCTGTCAGGAAGAGAAACTTAGTTATCAAGAGCGTCTAGGAAGGAAGTGATAAGAAAATGGCTCTGGCTCCCTTTCTGACAACTTGATTTCATGCCCTCAACAGAGACCAGATAGAAATAGCTCTGAGGCATGCCTTTCACTCTCCTCTCTAATCCGCTCCTCTTCACTTTCTCACATTTTTTCTTTCCCACATTTATGTCTGCCCACAACAGCTAATGAGAAGGGATTTGTAACCAGCTTTGATGAAAACACCCTCATTTTTTATTTCCTTGCACTTCAAGCCTCAAAGGACTCATCTTACCTCCGCAAAAAGAGATCCCAGTAATGCTGAGAGTGAGTAACATTGGGATAGAAATTTTCAAGTTGCTCCATTCTGCTGTGTTGTCGCCTGTCCACACGGCACCTTTGGTCACCAGCAACAATGTATTAAAATCACAAATCAACCCATGCGTTCAATTTCCTATGTAGATTCCTTATTTGTAAAAGACAACTTAATGAAAAGGAAAACCAATTTCTTGCCTTAAAATAAATAAATTCTAATTTTCTACAATGAAAAGTATCAATTTTCTAACGTGAAAAGTTATTAAAATCTACAAAACAAACATTCTAGGAAAATATTCTGAAATTGCACTTTTTTTTAAGTATAATTTAGGTCTGATAGAGGAACCCTTTGAAAAATCAACTTTAAGATTTAACTTGCATATAATACATGTGGTTTGTTTTTTTTTTAGATGGAGTCATGTTCTCACTTGCCCAGGCTGCAGTGCAGTGCCGTGATCTCGGCTCACTGCAACCTTTGCCTCCCAGGGTTCAAGTGAGTCTCCTGCCTCAGCCTCCCAAGTAGCTGGGATTACAAGTGTGCACCATCACTCCTGGCTAAATTTTGTATTTTTAGCAGAGAGGGGTTTCACCATGTTGGCCAGGCTGGTCTTGAACTCCTAGCCTCAAGTGATCCACCTGCCTTGGCTTCCCAAAGTGCTGAAATTATAGGCGTGAGCCACCATGCCCAGCCTCTTCATGTATCTTCTTTTGAAAAGTGTCTATAGAAATCTTTTGCTCATTTAAAAAAAATATTTAAGTTCAGGGGTACATGCACAGGTGTGTTATGTTGGTAAACTCGTGTGTCACAGGAGTTTGTTGTACAGATTATTTTGTCATTTTGTCTCCCTGATGTTAAGCCTAATACCCATTAGTTATTTTTCCTGATCCTCTTCCTCTTCCCACCCTCTATTCTCAGGTAGGCCCCAGTGTCTGTTGTTCCCCTCTATGTGTCCACGTGTTCTCATCATTTAGTTCCCACTCCTAAGTGAGAACATGTGGTATTTGGTTTTCTGTTTCTGCATTAGTTTGCTAAGGATAATGGCCTCCAACTCCATCCATGTTCCTGCACAGGGCATGATCTCATTCATATATATAAAAATAAATTTAATAAAAAAGAAAAAAATATCAAAGACCAGATCACAGGCAAGATATCTCATTCCTTTTTATGGCTGCATAGTATTCCATGGTGTATACGTACCACATTTTCTTTATCCAGTTTACCACTGATAGGCATTTAAGTTTATTCCATGTCTTTGCTATTGTGAACAGGTGCTGCAGTAAACATACACGCGCATGTGTCTTTATGACAGAATGATTTGTATTCCTTTGGGTATATACCTAGTAATGGGATTGCTGGGTCAAATGGTAGTTCTGTTTTTAGTTATTTGAGGAAACACCACATTGCTTTCCACAATGGTTGAACTATTTTACACTCCTACCAGCAGTGTATAAGCATTGTCCTTTCTCTGCAACCTTGCCAGCATCTGTTACCTTTTCACTTTTTAATAACAGCCATTCTGAATGGTGTGAGGTGGTATTTCATTGTGGTTTTGATATGCTTTTTTCTATTGATCAGTGATGTTGAGCTTTTTTTCACATGCTTGTTGGCCACATGTATGTCTTCTTTTGAAAAGTGTCTGTTCATGTTCTTTGCCCACTTTTTAATGGGGCTGTTTGTTTTTTCTCTTAAATTTGCTTAAGTTCCTTATAGATGCTGGATATTAGACCTTTGTCAGATGCATAGTTTGTAAATATTTTCTCCCGTTCTGTAGATTGTCTATTAACTCTATTGACAGTTTCTTCAGCTGTGCAGAAGCTGTTTAGTTTAATTAGATCCCATTTGTCAATTTTGCTTTTGTTCCAATTGTTTTTGGTATCCTCATCATGAAATCTTTGCCTATTCCCATGTCCAGAATGGTAATGCCTAGGTTGTCTTCCAGGGTTTTTATATAGTTTTGGGTTTTACTGTTAAGTCTTTAATCCATCTTGAGTTAATTTTGTATACAGTATATGAAAGGAGTCCAGTTTCAATCTTCTGCATATGGCTTGCCAGTTGTCCCAGCACCACTTGTTGAATAGGGAGTCCTTTCCCCATTGCTTGTTTTTGTCAGCTTTGTCAAAGATCAGATGGTTGTAGGTGTGCAACCTTATTTCTGGGCCCTCTATTCTGTTCCATTGGTCTACATGCCTGTTTTTGTGCCAGTATCATGTT
Organism: Homo sapiens; assembly: GCF_000001405.40. Lineage (NCBI taxonomy): Eukaryota > Metazoa > Chordata > Mammalia > Primates > Hominidae > Homo > Homo sapiens. The sequence goes on along the minus strand of NC_000015.10, from coordinate 42,336,258 downwards.
GTTTTGGTTACTGCAGCCTTGTAGTAGTTTGAGGTTGGGTAGCATATTGCCTCCTGCTTTGTTCTTTTTGCTTAGGACTGCCTTGGTTATTCAGGCTCTTTTTTTTTTCTTTTTTTTTTTTGGTTCAATATGAATTTTAAAATAGTTTTTTCTAGTTTTGTGAAGAATGTCATTGGTAGTTTGACAGGAATAGCACGGAATCTATAAATTGCTTTGGGCAGTATGGCCATTTCAACAATATTGATTTTTCCTATCCATGAGCATGGAATGTTTTTCTATTTGCTTGTGTTATCTCTGATTTCTTTGAGCAGCGTTTTGTAGTTCTCATTGTAGAGATCTTTCACCTCGCTGGTTAGCTGTATTCCTAGGTATTTTCTTCTTTTTGAGGCAATTGTGAATGGGACTATGCTCCTGATTTGGCTCTAGGCTTGACTGTTGTTGGTGTATAGAAATGCTAATGATTATTATATGTTGATTTTGTATCCTGAGACTTTGCTGAAGTTGTTTATTAGCTTAAGGAGCTTTTGGGCTGAGACTATGGGGTTTTCTAGACAGAGTCATGTCATCTGCAAATAGGAATAGTTTGACTTCCTCTCTTTCTATCTGGATGCACTTTATTTCTTCCTCTTGCCTGACTGCTCTGGCCAGGACTTCTTCCAATATCATTTTGAATAGGAGTGGTGACAGACGGCATCCTTGTATTGTGCCAGTTTTCAAGGGGAATGCTTCCAGCTTTTGCCCATTTAGTATGATGTGGGCTGTGGATTTGTCAAATATGACTCTTATTATTTTGAGGTATGTTCCTTCAGTACCTAGTTTGCTGAGAGTTTTTAACAAGAAGGGATGCTGAATTTTATTGAAAGCTTTTTCTGCATCTATTGAGATGATCATGTGGTTTTTGTCTTTAGTTCTGTTTATGTGATGAATCACATTTATTGACTTGGGTATGTTAAACCAACCTTGCATTCCAATGATAAAGGCTTCTTGATCACGGTGGATAAGCTTTTTGATGTGCTGCTGAATTCAGTCTGCCAGTATTTTGTTGAGGATTTTTGCATCAATGTTCATCGAGGATACTGGCTTGAAATTTTCTCTTTTTTGTGTCTCTGCCAGGTTTTGGCATCAGGATGATGCTGGCATTATAGAATGAGTTAGGGAGGAGTCTTTCCTCCTCAATTTTTTGAAATAGTGTCAGTAGAAATGGTATCAGCTCTCCTTTGTACATCTGGTAAAACTGGGATGTGAATCTGTCTGGTCCTGGGCTATTTTTGGTTGGTAGGCTTTTTACTACTCATTCAATTTTGGAGCTCGTTATTAGTCTTTTCAGGGATTCAATTTCTTCTTGGTTCAGTCTTAGGAGGGTATATGTGTCCAGGAATTTATCCATTTCTCCTACATTTTCTCCTTTGTAATTCCTAATTGTGTTTATTTGGATTTTCTCTCTTTTCTTCTTTATTAGTCTAGCTAGCAGTCTATCTATTTTGTTATTATTATTTTTTTTTCAGAAAACCAACTCTTAAAGTAGGTTGTCTTTCTTATTATTATTGAGTAGTAAAAGTTCTTTATATATTCTGGATACAAGTATTTTGGCAGATATATCTGTATATGTATATTTCAAATATTTTTTTCCTCAGTCGGTGGCTTGCCATTTCATTTTCTTACCAATGTCTTTGAAAGGGCAGACATTTTTAAATTTTGATAAAGTCTAATTTGTCATTTTTTTCTTTTATGATTCATGCTTTTTGTGTTCTTTCTAAGAAATGTTTGTCTGTTTCAAAGCCATAAAGATTTTCTACTGGCCAGGTGCAGTGGCTCACGCCTGTAATCCCAGCACTTTGTGAAGCCGAGGAGGGCAGATCACTTGAGGTCAAGAGTTTAAGACCGGACTGCCCAACATGGTGAAACCCTGTCTCTACTAAAAATGTAAAAGTTAGCCAGGTGTGGTGGTGGGCACCTGTAATCCCAGCCACTCAGGAGGCTGAGGCAGGAGAATCACTTGAACCCGGGAGGTGGAGGTTGCAGTGATCTGAGATGATGCCATTGCATTCCAGCCTGGGCAACAGAGTGAGACTCCATCTCAAAAAAAAAAAAAAGATTTTATTCTATGTTTTTTTCCAGAAGTTAGGTTGTATTTTTAGCTTTTAAAATGAGTTAATTTTTTAGTTTAATTTTGAATATGGTATGAGGTAGGGGTGTAGTTTCATTTTTTTCCCCACACAGATATCCAGTTGTTTCAGAACCATTTACTGAAAAGAAATTGTAATTTCTCCATTAAATTGCCTTGGAAACTTTGTTGCAAAGCAATTGATCACATATGTGTTGGATACTCTGGATTCTCTACTCTGTTCAATTGATCTATGTACCTATTTCCTCCCACCTCCACCAGCCCCTGCTTCCAAAGAAAACCCTAAAAAATTTGAGAGAAGTGTTACAGGCCTTAAAGGGGAGACATAATAACAGTAGCAATAACAATAATTAACATTTATTTAACCCATACTGAGCCAGGTGTTATGCCGAATAGTTTGCTGGTATTATCCTACTTAATAATCACAACAATCCTATCAGATAAACACTATTATAAACTCAATTTTATAGATGAGGGAAGTATAGCAAGCAATGGATGCATAATCTACCCAGAGTTACACAGTTATTAAGTGGTAGAGGCAGGATTTGAGCCCAGGCACTCTGATGCCTAAGCCAGTGTTCTTGTTCTTATTTACTGAAGAGTTGCTAAGAGTTTGTGATGAGAGATTATATACCACCAAAGACAGCCATAAAAGGGAAAGTCTTATTTTATGAAATATATACTACTTCTGAAGCATTTTTGTCTATCTTCTACCAAAATAGTTTTGGTAGCTATTTTTGTTTTAATCTTTCATAGAAATTTTAGGCCGCCCTATGGCCAGGAAAAAAAAAATTCTTTTTTTTTTTGAGATGGAGTTTCACTCTGTGGCCCAGGCTGGACTGCAGTGGTGCAATCTTGGCTCACTGCAACTTCCACTTCCCAGTTGCAAGAAATTCTCCTGCCTCAGCCTCCTGAATAGCTGGGACTACAGGCATGTGCCACTATGCCTGGCTCATTTTCGTATTTTTAGTAGAGACAGGGTTTCACCATGTTGCCCAGGCTGGTCTCAAACTCCTAACCTCAAGTGATCTGCCCACCTGCCTCAGAAAAGTACTGGGATTACAGACATGAGCCACTGCTCGTGACCAAAAAAAATATATATATATATATTTTTTGAGACAGAGTTTTGCTCTTGTTGCCCAGGCTGGAGTGCAATGGCACGATCTCTGCTCACTGCAACCCCTGCCTCCCAGGTTCAAGCGATTCTCCTGCCTCAGCCTCCCTAGTAGCTGGGATTACAGGTGCGCGCTACCACGCAGCTATTTTTTTTTTTTTTTTTTTTAGTAGAGACAGGGTTTCACCATGTTGATCAGGCTAGTCTTGAACTCCTGACCTCAGGTGATCCACCCGCCTCGGCCTCCCAAAGTGCTGGGATTACAGGTTTGAGCCACTGTGCCTGGCTCAAAAAAAATATTTTCCAGGGATTGTTCTTTTAAAAAAGTATTCTAATTTCCTCTTGACTTCAAGCGAGATATGTACGTATTTACATAATGATTTTGAAATCCGTATGGAGACATTCTCATCAAGAAAGAAAGCTCACATAAACATGCAGATATTTTCATGTCTCATACTATTGTTTAGTCAGAAGTTCTCTATGGCTATTGATCATCGCATATGACTTAACAAAGTAGTGTTTCCTGTAATGTCTTGCTACACAGTGAAGCAAAGCTGATAGCTTCACACAGAGTACTGCAGGCTAAGCAATGGACCAACATAAGAGATCAACAATAACCTAATATTTAAATCTTCTGTTATCTTTTTTTAACTGTTGCTGGTAAATGTTTTCATTAAAAATACTTTTTTTTGTGATTAAAAATGATACTTGTAGACAATTTGTAAAATAAAGTTAGATAAAAGAAAAAAATGAAAATCACTCAAAATCACCAAGGTATTACATTTTCTTATATTTAACTGTCTGCCTATCTACCCACTTATTTATTTAAATTACTATCTTCCATTAATCTTTTATAAAATTGAGATAATAAGAAATAAGACTTGATGTTTGATAGATCAGTAAGGTGACTATAGTTAGCCTTGATTGTGTGCATTTTAAAAAAGCTAAAAGAGAATAATTTAAACGTTCCTAGTATAAAGAAAAGATACATATTTAAGGTGATAGATATCCCAATTACTCTGATTTGATTATATGAACATATCAAATTATCACACATATCCTGAAAATATGTACATCTAATACATATCAATACAAAATTAGGTTAATATTATAAACACTTAGGTGTTCCTTTTTTTATTTATCATATCAAAAACATTTTTTCATGCAATTAAATCTACCATTTAAAATAGCCTTATGAAAATTAAAAAAAGAAAAAAAATTTTTTAAACATAAATAGCCTCACGATAATCTATCATGTTGCTATACCATACTTTTATAACTATTCCCTTATTGTTATGTATTTAGATTTTCTTTCTTACTTTTGTTTCAAGGACTACCACTGTGTTGAATACCTCTGTACATGAATCTTTGCCTGAGATTGTAATATTTTGGCCCTTTCCAGAATGCCACAGGGCCAGGTTTTCAGGGGTGGAGTGGGAGGCTTAATAATGTCCACAGGATAGTAAGGGCTGGATTCTTTAAACTAGGATCTAAGCTCTCCGTTGCTTATGCAAGGCCAGGGGACTTAAAATAGCCTTCCTGCCACAGGGTTGTTAAGTTGAACCAGATCTGCATTAGCTGGTAAACTGCATCCAGTTATAGATGACCCTGACCACACGCAACAGCCAGGTCTATTTTAAGCCACATTTCTAAGTGGAACAGTTGGTTAATGGAATGTGTTAGAGGTGTATCTCCCTGGCTTTGATAAATCAAAGAGACAGGACCAAAGATGACTATCCCAGCAAACTGAATACTTAGAAGTTACTCTCCCAACAACGAAGTGGCCATTTCTTCAGTGAGAAACAAGTATCAAATGACTAAAATTTGTTTATTCTGTCTTATAGGACAAAATCCACACTTTAGGGCATACCACTGTCTACAATCAAAGGCCTGACCAATGGCTATTGAAAAGGAAGGCATCAGCTGAGTGTGGTGGTTCACACCTGTAATCACAACACTTTGGGAGGCCAAGGTGGGCAGATCGCTTGAGTCCAGGAGTTCGAGACTAGCCTGGGCAACATGGTGAAACCCTGTCTCTACCAAAAAATACATATACATATATAAATTAGCTGGGTGTGGTGGTGTGCACCCGTAATCCCAGCTACTCATGAGGCTTCGGTGGGAGGATTGCTTGAGCCCAGGTGGTCAATGCTGCAGTGAGTCATGACTGTGCCACTGCACTCCAGCCTGGGTGACAAAGCGAGACTCTGTTTCAAACAAACAAATGAAAAAAAAAAAAAAAAAAAAAAGGAAAAGGAAGGCATCAGCACAGTAACATCACATTCTATAAATGGTTAAAAAAAAAGTTGCTAATGTGTTTTTAAGTCTGATATGAGCCATTCCTTACCATACTTTTGTGATCCAGCAAAGAAAGAACGTGTAAGAACAAAGGGTCTCTCCTTCCCTTTAGATCGTTTTATCAGTCCTTCTGCAGTAGCCATTTGCTATATCACCAAACAAGAAAAATTTCAAAGAGATGATTGGATTTGTACAGACATCCCCAATAAGCTATCTAACATACAAAAAGCAAACAGTAGGCAGGAGCATGAAATGGAAAATATTAAAATAAATCCATCAAATAATTTTCATGGTATAATGAAATTACTCTAAATTCCCCTATTAAAAGAATGGAAAATTTTCTTTGGTTAACAATAGCAATGAAATAATAATAAACAATCATCTAGCATTTCTTTGGTGCTTACTATTGCTAGGCATTTAATATAATTTTCTCATATAATCTCCGTAACAACCTCTGAGACAGACAGTTTTCATTGGTACGAAAAACTGAGCTTCAGAGAGGTTAAATGACTGGTCCTGACCTATATAAGACAGCTCACTAACTAAAGCAGTCTACAGTTACTGCAACAGGCTGTTAAAGAGGCAAACACACACAATCTGAAAACTATGCTTATATTTAGCCAAAAGATCCCATTGGAAAATACCAATAGGTAAGAGGGCCACAGGAATACAGTCACAATTTGAAAATAACAAAGAACCATGGGTATACATGAGGTCAAGTGTCTGCCACGTCTTTTGGATGTAGTTGGCAAATGAAAGATAATTTTACCACCTTTATTGAGGAAGCTAAGTACTTAAGGAAGGCTTTACATTTTTAAAATATACTTATTGAAGCTGTGTGTCTGTGTTCTAAATATTGCTCCTCCAGTGTGAATATAAGATTTGCTGTATTTAGATATCTGTGAAATCTTAAAACACTTGTTTTAATTACCTTCATTCACATATTTATATACTGCTTGCATCAATAAAAGTTTGAGGTAGTGGCCAGTGAGTGCCACTTATTAATGGCTCCTATCAAGGCAGAAGCTTTATGTTATAATTAATTTCATAATATTTAAAAGTTCATCAAGTTCATCATGAAAAGAAAAGAAGCAAAGGGAGAAATAATAAAAAGTCTTGTATTGGCTACTACCTAAGACTCATTGCAGTTGTCAGAAAAGACACACAAAGAGAAATGAACAGTAGAGAATAGCCATTATATCACAAAGCAAATGACCTTCAGCCAAAAGGTGGGTCACACAAGCCCAGTTTAATTCTTTTTGGATGTCTTACATGATAAAAACCGTAGATGTTGTGGAGCTCTCTGTGCTCCCAATTGCCATGATGAATGGCATTCTTCTGCATGGTTTGCTCTGGCCCTCTAAAGACAGAAGGCTCATTCATGTCATTCCAAAGGAAGAGGATGTCCGTAGATCCCTAGGAAGTAAACCTTGGTCATGACACTCCTACATTGATGATGTCTATATAATAGCTGTCACCATTGCTACCTCATTTTAAAAATTATGTTTATTATCTATGCTCTGTCCTCTGCTCCACTGCTAGAGTATAAGTTCCACAGGGAACAACATTTTGTCTGTTTTGTTCATTAATAAATCCCAAACATCTAGAATAGTACCTGGCCCATAGACAGATCTCAATAAATATTTGCTGCTGAATAAAAGAATGCTGCCCTGTGTTGTCTGTGAAATATATATTGCCTGGCAAATTCATTCCAAGACCTCCCTGCAGGACTCCTATGGGAAAGGTTGTGAATGTTCACAATTGGGCTCCTTCTCATTCATCAGATGCTACAACTCTTAACTAAGGGCAACTATAGCTGAACATGACAAGATTCTACCTTCTCTCTAATACTTTGAAAGACTTGACAGCCAATATACCTGTTTGTTAACATGATCTATAGTTTGTATCCTACACAGAACTGTTCAGTTTAGAGTGGGAAGGGACAGTTGAGTCATCTAGCTAACATGGTATTGTAGAATCCCTGGTCTTTTCTAGAATCACTTATCTTTTGGCGTTTGACTGAATAGCTAAAAAGACAGGGAGTCCCTCAGGCAGCTCATTCTATTATTTTTCAAAAATCCTGCTCCTTGTATATAACATTCCCCTCGCAGAGCCTACCTAGCTTACCTTCTGAGACCCCACAGAATACATCTGTCACCTCGCCCACAAGAAAGTCTTTCAAATTCCTGGAGGTGGCTTGTTTTTTTTTTTTTTTGAATCTTTATTTCTAAACATGTGTGTTCTTCTATGTATAAGGGGGTAAATGATTTCCAAATATTTAACTACCATATCTTTCCTTTAGAACCATCTAAAGCAGGGATTGGCAAACATTTTTGGTAAAGGTCCAGATAGTAAATATTTTCAACTTTGCAGGCCATGAGGTCTCTTTTTCAATTATTCAACTCTGCCATAGTAGTACAAAAGCAGCCACAAATAGGGAAATGAATAGGCATGGCCAGATTTGGCCCAACGCTTGTCTATCCCTGTACTAAGTTGTTTATTAGTGCCCTAATACTTGATGCCAGAAACTACAGTTTAGTGGTTAAAAGCTGGGCTTAGGGCACAAACAGACCTGAGTTCAAATTTTGGTTCCACCACTTACTAGATGCATGACCTTGGCAAGTTTTTAAGCTTCTCTATGTCTCAATTTCCTCTTCTATGGGGTTAGATTTAGTTATAGTTCCAACTTCAGAGGGTTATTATGAAGACAAATGGTATGATGCACATGAAGTCATCCTTAGCACAGTGCTTGGCACACAGCAAGTACTCCATTTGCATTAGGTATCATCATCATCAACACTGCCATCATTAATATCATCATAATTGGTTGAAAACAGTTCTCCAGATGTGGCCTCTCCAGTTTCCTCTGTGGTTCTTATCAGATTATTTAAAAATCATACTTCACTTTTAATGACAAATACGTTGTAAGATATTTTCACATGTATCATCATATTTAAATAACAGTTATGGAACACAATTTTATATAAAATATATATAGCAATTTGAAAATATAATAAACCTCTGCTATAAAGTACTTTGATATATCATAGAGTCTATTATAATAGAGGTCAAAATCACAGGTTTTGTGCATTTGCTTATGCATATGGCACCTCTCCCAGCACCCCCAGAGTCTGTAATGTGGTGGCCATACTTGCCTTTTAATAAAAGCATTATATATCAAAAGCTACTCAATGAAAAAGAATAGTTTTATTCAATCACTTTTTCCACTTCTTTCACTCTTTCAGGTAACTAGAAAAGAACAAAGGAATAAAAACCAACCTGATAAACAGGGAAAGCAAAAAGACTTGAATACCACTCTCTGACCTTGGGATTGGTGAAATCCAGGTAAGAGGAGAGACCTGTGGAGGCAGAACAGTAGATAGCCTGTCAAGAACAGTGGTCCTCACAGTAGGATGCATTGTAAAGAAGGTATCAGATGTGAGAGCTGGGAAATGGGCACCTTACATAAACACGAAAGTTGGCTGACAGAGGCATGGTCTGTTGAGAAGTGAAGGAAGGTAATGCTGGGCTCCAGTGACAATCACTAGATCTTTCAATACCAGAAGCCCAGGGGAATGCCAATGCACAAGTATCATGATAGAGCCTGTCCCTCACTGATGGCCTAATATAGCCCAAGGAAGGATGGCAAATATCCTGCAGTGATCTCTTGGTTCTTAAAGAGAACAGGGAATTGTGTTCAAGGGATGTAAAGGGAAAAAAAGAAAGGCACGGGGTTTCTCTACAGTGCATGGATTTATGATAGATAGTGCTGACTCTTTATTTCTAAACAACGTATTTTCCTTTTGTCCTTGGGGAGTTTCTACCAAGGCTTTAAATTAATAACTTTTAATAACTTTTGAAATGAAGAATCCATAGTCATCAGGGTGGCTGAGGTGACTCATGAAAGCCTGGGAAGTCAAAACTATGGGCTAAAAGGGTGAAGAGCAATCACAAGGAGAGAGCTTGCAGGACCCACTTTTTTTCTTTCTCCTCCTCTGCTTTTCTTATTCCCCGACTTTTTATCTCTGTTTGCTTGGAGAAACAGCATGCCACTGAGGTTTGCTTGTTTATTTTTCATTCATTCAATTATTGATTGATAAATACATACAAAGCATATAGTACCAGGTATTATAAAAGATACAAAAGAAGGCAAACCTATCTCTTCATTAAATTATATGCTTAAAATGTAGCTAGAGGAGCAAGAGACATCTACAAGGGAGCAGAATGATGACCACGCAGCCTTCATTAATTGGGACAGAACATGTGGAAATAATAAGTGTATAAAGTGATTTCATACCTGGCCAACACACCCCTTCAAAGTCTTCCCCTTCCTGATTCTTCACAAAGAAGCCCTGATCTTTGGCCTTCACATATACTGAGTAGTCAGGATCAATCTTGATGTGGGGATCACTGATGACCACAAGCTGTCAGGACATGAAGGTTTGGAGGTCTCATCAGTTTTATGTAAGACAAATGTTCACGTATATGTTTTCGCCATAGTTTGGGGGTTCAATTTTTACAAACAACTACAACTAGTATTGAAATATTTCAGACAAAAAAACAAAAACAAAAACAAAAAATAAATATTTCAGACACCAGTAAAACCCTATAACCTTTCATGTGCTTATGAGAATTTCAACTGATACCAAAACTGGGCCAATGCTGGCCAGGCACAGCGGCTCACACCTGCAATCCCAACACATTGGGAGGCCAAGGTGGGAGGACTGCTTAAGGCCAGGAGTTTGAGACCAGCCTGGGCAACATAGTGGAACACTGTCTCTACAAAAAAATTTAAAAATTAGCTGGGTGTGGTGGTGTCCACCTGTGGTCCCAGCTACTCAGGAGGCTGAGGCAGGAGGACTGTTTGAGCTGGGGAGGTCGCGGCTACAGTGAGCCATGATCATGATACTGCAATCCAGCTTGGGTGACAGAACAAGACCCCATCTCTAAAAAAGAAAAAAACAAAAACAAAAAAACCAGGCCAATGCTCTTTTATAATTATTGCTGCCTAACCAATAGATGTTCTTTAAATAGCATTAAGTGTCTATCTGTCCATGATGCTGAGTGCTGCATACTATACATACAGAACTAAGTAGGCAGGGTACCTGCTCCCTAGACATTTAGACGCTCAGATAACATTGATATAAGCAAACATTAAAGAAACTAAGAGAATAACATGTTAAAAACAAAGTCCCCAAGCCCAGTGGTGCAGGCATATTAGGAAGGAGATTTGAGAAAAGTTGTAAGCCACAGCGCTGTGTCTCTAGCATCTCTCTGTGACTTTACAATACCATCACTTCCACCAGTCTAGGGCCTCAATAACACTTTATTTGGCCAGAACACCATCTAATCCTCCTTCCTCATCTCTATTCTAATCAGTCCTGAATATTAAAGTTTAATTCTTCATTGCTCAAACATTTTCTTAAATTTTTTTTTTTGTTTGTTTTTTGAGACAGAGTCTCGCTCTGTCGCCCAGGCTGGAGTGCAGTGGCACGATCTCGGCTCATTGCAACCTCCGCCTCCTGGGTTCCAGCGATTCTCCTGCCTCAGCCTCCCAAGTAGCTGGGATTACAGGTGCCCGCCACCATGCTGGACTAATTTTTTTTTTTTTTGTATTTTTAATAGAGATAGGGTTTCATTATGTTGGCCAGGCTGATCTCGAACTCCTGACCTCAGGTGATCTGCTCACCTCGGCCTCCCAAAGTGCTGGGATTACAGGTGTGAGCCACCGCACCCAGCCTTAATTTTTAAATTGTGGTAAAATACACATAACATAAAATTTACTATCTTAACCATTTTTAAGTGTGCAGTTTAGTACTGTTAAGTATGTACAGTCATAATGTTGTGTAGTCAATCTCCAGAACTCTCTCATGTTGCAAAACTAAACCTTTATACTCATTAAATGATGATTTCTCATTCCCTCCTCCTAGCTCCAGCAACTACCATTCTATAATACTTTCTGTCTCTATGAATATGACTACTCCAATTACTTCAAATTAGTGGAATCACACGGTATTTGTCTTTTTGTAACTGGCTTATTTCACTTAGCATTTATCCTCAAGGTTCATCCATGCTGTAGTATCTATTAGAATTTCCTTCGTTTTAAAGGCTGAATAATATTCTGTTGTACGTATATACCACATTTTGTTTACATATTCGTCTGTCAATGGAGTTGCAACCCAAGCAGCTTGGGTTGCTTTGACCTTTTGACTACTGTGACTAATGCTGCTATAAACATGGGTGTATAAATATCTTTTCAGGTTCCTGCTTCCAGTTCCTTTGGGTATATACCCACAAGTGGAATTGCTGGATCATACAGTAATTCCATTTTTAAATTTCTGAGGAACTATCATATTGTTTTCCATAACAGCTGTACCATTTTGCATTCCTACCAACGGTGCACAAAGATTCCAATTTCTCTACATCCTTGCCAACACTTGTTATTTTGTTTTTTTTTTAAATAGTAGTCATCTTAATTATGTAAAATGGGATTTCACTGTGGTCTTGGTTTGCATTTCCCTAATGATTAGTGGTGTTGAGCATCTTTTCTTGTGCTTGTTGGCTATTTGTGTATCTTCTTTGGAGAGATGTCTATTCAAGTTCTTTGCCCACTTTTTAACTGTTTTTTTTTGTTGTTGCTGAGTTGTAGGAGTTTGTTATATATTCTGGATATTAACCCCTTATTCAAAAACTTGTAATGTTTCCAAATGCATACAAAGCAGTTTACACAAAGGTCCCAACCTTTCTGGTCAGATCCTCCACTATTAGAACCCTCACATGCCTGGCTGTCAAACTTGCCTGTGCACTGCTTTCCGAACACCCCTAATGCTCCTTCCTCTGGCTGCATTGCCCTCTTCCCTCTCCCTGCTTACTCATTAGTTAGGGACATGCTTCAGGGCTCATCTAAAATGCACTTCTAGGCCAGATATGATGGCTCACGCCTGTAACCCCAGCACTTTGGGAGCCTCAGGTGGGCGGATCACCTGAAGTCAGGAGTTCAAGACCAGCCTGGCTAACATGGTGAAACCCCATCTCTACTAAAAATACAAAAATTAGTTGGCCATGGTGGCACATGCCTGTAATTCTAGATACTCAGGAGGCTGAGGCAGGAGAATTGCATGAACCCAGGAGATGGAGGATGCAATGAGCTGAGATCGCACCATAGCACTACAGCCTGGGTGACAGAGTGAGACTCTGTCCCCAAAAAAAAATTAAATAAAAAATAAATAAATAAAATAAAATGCACCTCTGGAACAAAGCCCTGCTTAAGTCTTGAGGATACAATCTTCTCTTTCTTGGCCTGCCCCTACCCTGACCTTTCTTTGGCCCTTATGTTACTTTCCTGTATTGTAGTTGGATACTTGCCTTTTCTTCACTCACTGTAAGACCACAAGGAGCTCATCTCTGTATACCCTTCAGCACTACCATAGCATCTTGAAGGTTCAAGGCCTCATTAAATAACTACTTATTAAGGACAGAAGATCTGGAGTCAGGCAGACCATGGTTCATATTCTTGCCATGCTATTTATTCACTGTGTGCCTTTGTGTAAATTTTGAAACCAGTCTAAGCCTCAGCTTCTTCATCTAAAATATGGGGTAACAAGACCTACCTTATAGTTTTGTCATCGCTGGATGGAATAATGTGTTTTATCATATTGTCTAGCCCATAACAGCTTGATATATGGTAACTATTTATTAATTGGGAAATTAGGAGTTAACTGGATGGGCTCTGGCTGTCTGTGAAAAGCCTGGTGGGGAGGTCAAAGGAATGGGTTGAAAAGTCAACCTTACTTTCAAGGAGAGGGACTTTATTCACTCACATGATACACATAGGGTTTCGCCCCCCTTCTCCTCTCTCCATTTTCTTCTCTCCTTCCATCTTTTCATTATTGCTATTACCACCACCACCACTCCTGGAACTGGAAAGCAGCATTATACATGTTCCAGGGGCTTCTCTCCCTCCCCATTTTCTATTTCCGTTCTTTTCTTGGCCAGATTGACAGGTGGAGTCCACCAGGGAAGCATGCAGGAAAAACAGTGTAATAAAGAATTTGATACCATATTTGATATTTGACTTTTAAGCGTTTTCAAGCCCTGCTACTCCCCCCTTACCCTTCGGCCCGTATCTGGACAAGCTGACAAAGAAAGCTCTAGTGCCCCCTCCTTTGGTGCCAGCAGGGGGTTCAAACTATCTAAGCCTCAGCCTGCGTGCAAGAGCCCTTGCCCTGTCCCCACCCGCTAACCACCATAAAAGCTGAGCCAATCTCCTTTCTCAGTTCTCTCAAGCCATTTTCAAACCAGCTTGGGAGCCACCCCTGCTCTCCCCAGAAAGCCTCATTATATGAGTAATAAACTTTTTAATATACTCTTAGTGCAAGTGTGGTGTCACCAATTGAGACATGGAAACTAAATTTTGAGTGGGGGGATCACATTACTACAGGGTGGCCACAACAAACGGAACTGAAAATGCTAGACCCCTTCTTCATTATGGTGACCTAGATAACTAAGCCAGGAATGGATGGGGTCATCACCTTTTTACCATTCACTTTCTCTCTTATCACAGTGACAATTATATTTGAATCTACTATTTTCACAGCCATTTTTTATCAGATGTTTCTCCACCACTGATGTGCCAAGGCAAGTCTAAAACATTTTTTAAAACTCTGTAATTAAAAGGTTCAGAAATGTTGGCTTATTTTACCTTACGCTTTTTGCTCCTGAGCAGCTCTTGCATCCTCTTGGGGTTTGGGAATCTGTTTTTGTCCCAGGTGAAGTACCTCTTGCCCTCAGTGTGCTCTATGTCCAGCCACATGGCATCATAAGGAATGTCATGCTCATCAAACCCTGCATCCACTGCTTTTACATCCTGCTCATCTTCATAGTTCCAGCGGCACTGGTGGTATCCCAAAGAGAAAAGAGGGGGCATGGCTTGTGTGCCTAAAAGAGGGAGATGACAACTGAGTCAACTGCCATGGCAATGACCATTATTCATTTGATAAACATTTCCTGAATGTCTACAGAGTATTCAGCACTGAGCTTATGCTTAGAATAACAAGGAGAAGAAAGCACAGTCCTTGCCTTTAAGGAAGTGACAACCTGGCTAATGAGGCAGGAGTGTAAATAAAGTGCTCTGCCCTGAGGTATAATTGCCAGGTTAAGCATCAGTTTAGTGCTACCAGAACACAGAGAGGTTAATAAATTCTGCCTGTGGTGAAGTATAGGGTCTTGAAAGGCTTCACAGAGGAGATAAAACCTGGTTTGGACCTTGTAGAGTTAGTGGGAATATACCAGACAGGAAGAATAGATAGAGCATTCCGGGCACAGGGAACAGAAAAAACACAGAGGCAAGGAAGTACATGACAGGCTTACAGAAAAATAAATATTCAAGGGTATCACTGTGAGAGAGACCAGTAGAAGATGAAACTGAATAGGGTCAGATTGTCAAGGGCCCTGTAATTGAGGTTAGGAATTCTGAATCTTGTCTTATGAGAAGCCATCAAAAGTCTGGCAAGATGTAATCTTAGCAGACCTATATTTTAGAAAAATTAAGTCAGGGTGCAGCATTGGGACTCACTTAAAGGTAAAGAAACTGAAGTTGGGAAGAAGTTTCAGTAAATTATTATCAAAATGTTTACTGATAACGTGAAGGACTTCTGGTCAACCACTTGCATGTATCTCCTTCCCCTCCTAAAGTCACACTAAAATCTGAGTAAAGAGAAGAAAAAAGGAAGAAAGCCACAAAAACAAAGAGAATGGGAGTGGAGTAATTTCAACAAAAATTTGGCAGGTGGCAGGCAGGAGCAGGGTGGTAACTGTTGGCCAAAGCCAGGGAAGCTCTCCCCAGAGTGGTATTGAGGAGGCTATTGACAGAAGAGCTCACCCTGCTCCCAAACACCAGTAGACATGCCCACTCTCAAAACTAGAGTGGAAGCCTCATCTAGGCACACAGAGCCTCACCATGAAATATGAATGGAGGCAGGTGTGGTGGCTCACACCTGTAATCCCAGCACTTTGGGAGGCCGGGGTGGGTGGATCACTTGAAGTCAGGAGTTCGAGACCAGCCTGGCCAACACGGTGAAACCCCGTCTCTACTAAAAATACAAAAATTATCCAGGTGTGGTGGCGGGCACCTGTAGTCCCCACTACTTGGGAGGCTGAGGCAGGAGAACTGCTTGAACCCAGGAGGTGGAGGTTGCAGTGAGCCGAGATTGCACCACTGTACTCCAGCCTGGGCAACAGAGTGAGATTGTGTCTCAAAACTCACATTTGAGCAAAGTCTCCAAAATCAGAGACAGTGACTCAAATAAGGAAACAGAAAAGGATCTCCAAGAAAACAGGAACAATGCAAGGAACCAAAGTAAATATCAAAACATTATCATTAGTATCTCTAGAGAGATGAAATAAGGTATTATACCCTTAAACAAGACTAGGATAGCATAAAACAAGTGTAGGTTGAGTATCCCTAATTTGAAAATCCAAAATCTGAAATACTTTAAAATCTGAAACTTTTTTTTAAAATTAATTAATTAATTTATTTTTAAGATGGAGTTTAGCTCTGTCGCCCAGGCTGGAGTGCAGTGGCACGATCTCAGCTCACTGCAACCTCCGCCTCTGGGTTCAAGCGATTTTCCTGCCTCAGCCTCCCGAGTAGCTGGGACTACAGGTGCATGCCACCATGCCCAGCTAATTTTTGTACTTTTAGTAGACAGAGGGTTTCACCATGTTGACCAAGCTGGTCTCAAACTCCCGACATTAGGTGATCGCCCATCTTGGCTCCCCAAAGTGCTGGGATTACAGTCATGAGCCACCAAATCTGGCCTCTAAAATCTGAAACTTTTTGAACACCAACATGACACTCAAAGGAAATGCTCATTGGAGCATTTTGGGCTTTGGATTTTCAGATTGGGATGCTCAACCAGTAAGTTTAATGAAAATATTCAAAATAATCCCAAAACTGAAACACTCTAGAGTCCCAAGCATGGAATACTCAACCTGTATACAATTTATAAAACAATAAATGTCATTTAACGTGGTGTGCTATTTTGAATTCCTCATCAAGTTTTAGAAGTGGGGTAAAAATACTTAGAAGATCTCAGTGCTTTGGAAGGCTAAGGCAGGAGGATTGCTTGAGACCAGGGGTTTAAGACTAACCTGGGCAACAGAGCAAGACCCCATCTCAACAAAAAAATTAAAATAAATAAATAAAAAGAATTAGCTGGGCATGTAGCACATGCCCACAGTCCCAGCTACTCAGGAGGCTAAAGCGGAAGAATTGCTTGAGCCCAGGAGCTAGAGGCTGCAGTGAGCCATGGTCACGCCACTGCACTCCAGCCTGGGCAACAGAGTGTTTTTTGTTTAAAAACAAAAAAACAAAAAAGAGGCTCATCAGACTTGAAATTATACAGAGCAGCATTGATCATGAGTTTGTCTGACTGAAACAGGTTAAATAAATTATGTTACCAGCAAATTTGCTACTTGAAAAAAATAGGATGTACACATTTCAGGATAATAAATGTTTTGCCATTGCTTTGCATAAAATGAAAACAAAAACCAAGGAACCATCAGAGGATAAGAAAGAGCTCCTTGAAAGCAGAAACATGATAGCATAAATGGAAAGCCTAGAAGATAAAATTGAGAAAATTGCTCAAAAACTAGGCAAAAAAGGAAAAGGAGATTATAAAATCCGTAGAGTAGAAAGAAAAAAAGGAAGGGAAAAATTAATCTAAGGAATAATACAAAACAGTTTCTCAGAACTGAAGGACACAATTCTCAGGATTGAAGGGGTCCACATCTAACATCCAGAACAATAATTATTTTAAAAGACCTAGGGCCAGGCATGGTGGCTCACACCTGTAATCCCTGTAAAGCACTTTGGGAAGCTGAGGTGGGAGGATCCCTTGAGCCTAGGGTTTTAAAACCAGCCTGGGTAACCTAGGGAGACCCTGCCTATATAAAAAATGAAAAAATTAGTTGGGCATGGTGGCACATGCCTGTTAAGTCCCATCTACTCAGGATTCTGAGGTGTGATGATCGCTTGAGCCCAGGAGCTTGAGGCTGCAGTGAACCATGATCACACCACTGCACTCCAACCTGGGCACAGAGCAAAACCCTGACTCAAACAAACAAACAAAAGATCTCCATCAAGGGATTTTATTACAAAATTTCAGAATACTGGAAATTTGGAATGTTAGTGATAAAGAGAAGGTATTTCAGAGAGAAAAGATAGATTATATACAGAGGAACAAAGGAATAGAATTAAGAATGGTTTTGGAGCAAGAAGGTAGAAGACAGTAAAAGAAATGCCTTCAAATTCTGAGAGAAAGAATATTCAGTCTTGCCAGGCAAATTATCAGCCAAAGGTAAAGGTAGGAAAAAAGATGGTTTCATACCTGCAAGGAAGCAAAAAGAGTACCTCCAATGCAAATGTTCTTAGGAAACTACCAGAAGATGCTACAAACAAATAAACACAGCAAGGGAATAAACCAGAAAAGAGAAAAACAGGGAACTGAAGAAAGGAGGGATACAACACCAGAAAACAGCAAAGGTAAGTTCTGAGATGAAAGCTGTGCAGGGAACCTAGAGAACAATGGTCCAGATGGGAGGAGGAAGATGAAGAGCTCTGGTAGGGAAGGAAGTCTCCAGGGAAAGAAGTAGACTGGATAAAGTAACAGACACCCTTGAGCATGTGAAAAATGTAAACATTGAATATTGATTTAACCAAAAATTGTGATATAACTAGATTGGATGGGAGACGGAGGAGGGTATGGTATATGATTGAGCTAAACCCTCAGCAGGAGTCAACAAATAATCTTTACTGTCTTTGAACATGGTGGGAGATCCAGTATTTTGGAAGTGCTTTATCATAAACCAGCATTCTCACTAATAACAATGTTGAATGTAGCTGCAGGTGGGCTTTGATAGCACTTATTCCTGCATGGGTGCCCATATCCATAAATTGTCATTCCTCCCATCACAATTGGAACTGAACATGGGCTAGACTTAGCTTGCTTTTAACAACTGAATGCAGCAGAAATGATGCTGCAATACTTTTAACAGCTTTACTGAATTCACGTACCATGCAATTTACCCATCTAAAATGCACAATTTAATGAGGGTTTTTATGGCATATTACATTATTGATTCTTAAAAATTGTGTTAAAATATATATAGCAAAATTTGCCATTTTAACCATTTCCAAGTGTCCAATTCAATGGCATTAATTACATTCACCATGTAGTACAAGCATTACCACTATTTCTAAAACCTTTACATCACCCCAAGCAGAAACTCTGTAATCATTAAGCAGTAACTCCCTAACACTCACACCTCTCAGCCCCCTCTCATCTCTGTCTTGACAAATTTGCATATCATAGCTACTTCATATAAGTGGATTATATAATACTTGTCCTTTCGTGTCTTATTTCATTTTCCATATTTTCAAGGTTCATCCATGTTGCAGCATGTATCAGAACTTCATTTCTTTTTATAGCTGAATAATATTCTGTTACATGTATATACCACATTTTGTTTATGTGTTCATCTTTGATGTGCACTTGGATTGTTTCTACCTTTTGGCTATCATGTGTGGGCGAAGGATTACCCAGGTGCCGAGGCAAGAGACTGAAGGCACAAACTGTAGCAGTATAATAAAGAAAATAGTTAGAATAAAGAATAGTTATAATACAAATTAGATATAGAGATGATCATGGACAATTATCAATCATTAGCGTAAACATTATTAATCATTAGCTTTTAATATTACTCTTTGTTGCATTACTAATATAACCTAGAATAACCAGCGGGTATAGGGTCAGGTACTCAAGGGACATTGTGAGAAGTGACCTAGAAGGCAAGAGGTGAGCCCTCTGTCATGCCCGCATAAGGGCCGCTTGAGGGCTCCTTGGTCAAGCGGTAACACCAGTACCTGGGAAGGCCCCGTTAATTAGCAGATAGTGAAAGGGAGTCTCCTTTCCTTGGAGGAGTTAGGGAACACTCTGCTCCACCAGCTTCCTGTGGGAGGCTGGATATTATCCAGGCCTGCCAGCAGTCATCTGGAGGCTTAAACCCCTCCCTGTAGTGCTGTGCTTCAATGGTCACGTTCCTTGTCCACTTTCATGTTTCTCTTTTAAGTTCATAGTAGATAGCGGTAGAATAAATAGTGAAAGTCTTAAAGTCCTTGATCTTTCTTACAAGTGCATAGAAGAAAACGCATAGAAGAAAATGCTGCCTTCCCTCTCTGCTTTGGCTGCCTAAAAGGGAAGGGCCCCCGTCCCATGATCACGTGACTTGCTTGACCTTATCAATCACTTGGACGACTCACCTTCCTTACCCTGCCCCCCTTGTCTTGTATGCAATAAATATCAGCGCGCCCAGCCATTCAGGGCCACTACCAGTCTCCGCGTCTTGGTGGTAGTGGTCCCCTGGGCCCAGCTGTTTTCTCTTTATCTCTTTGTCTTGTGTCTTTATTTCTTACAATCTCTCATCTCCGCACATAGGGACAACACCCACTAAGCCCCATAGGGCTGGACCCTACAATTGTGAATAATGCTACAGTGATCATTGGCATACATGTATCTGTTGAGTCCCTGCTTTCAATTCCCTTGTGCATATATCTAGGAGTAGAATTGCTGGGTGTATCAGTTAGGGTTCTTCAGAGAACACAGGGTTTTTCAGAGAAACAGAATTAATAGGATTTATATTGAATATATTTATATACTTATAAATATGTATACATACACAGAGAGAGATACAAATACTTATTTATTTAAAGTAACTGGCTCGTGTGATTGTAGGGGCTGGCAAGTCTGAGTTTTGCAGGAGATACTGGCATACTAGAAAACCAGGGAGGAGTTGATGTTGCAGCTTGAGCCTGAAGGCAGGCTGGAGACATTCTGTTTTCCCCAGGGACCTTAGTCTTTTTCTCCAGGCCTTCAACTACTGGATGAGGCCCACTCTCATTATGGAGAGTAATCTGCTTTCCTCAAAGTCTACTGACTTAAATGTTAATCTCATTAAAAAATACTTTCACAGAGACATCTAGACTGGTGTTTGAATACCTGGGTACCACGACCTAGTCAAATTGACACATAAAATTAACCATCATACTGAGTCATATGGTAATTCTATGTTTAACTTTTTGAGGAAATGCCAAACTTTTCTGCAATGGCTGAACCATTTTACATTTCCACCAGCAATGTTCCAATTTCTCTGCATCCTCGTAAACACTTATGCTTTTCCATTTTTTTGGATTTAGCCATCCTAGTGGGTGTGAAGTGATATTTTACTGTGGTTTTGATTTGCATTTTCCTAATGACTAACAATGCTGAGCATATTTTCATGTGTTTGTTGTTCACTTATTTATCTTCTTTGGAGAACTATCTCTTTAAATCCTTTGCTCATTTTAGAATTGGGTTGTTTATCTTTTTGTTGTTTAAGAATTTGGTAAAGATTTATTTATTTATTTTCCATTTCTAGTCTTTTAAAGTATGGCTTCTTTTCTTTTTTTAAAGGATATGGCAAATATTTATTTTTTTCCATTTCCAATCTTTTAAAGTAGATACAGATATGCTTAGGATAAAGCTGATTTTAACAGCACAAAAAAGTTGAGCACAAAGGATAGGATTAAATTCAGCAATCCAGAGTGATAAAGAGGAAAAGATACTGAGTACGTGCCTTTGACAGACACATTATCCAAGTTGATTACCTAATAGTTGGAGGTTGAAGTCCTTATGCTGCAAAAGTGAGAACAATTTGGTGTATGAAGTGTATGGTGGCATTTGTAGCTGTAACTTGTTCTCTATTTATTAAGAACAATTACCATAGTTAAGTGTAGTCTTAGTAGACAACCTGCATTTATTTAAATTAAACATAATATTTTCCACAGTAGTGTAAGTAAGGCCACAATATTTATTCTGGGCAAACCCTTTAATGTAGTGATTTTAATATCACTGTCATTCATTCTTTTGGAATATAAAGTGTTTTAACAGAATTCAGGTTACAGATAATTTTTAAAATGCTATATCATGACTAATATATTAAAACGATACTTACATATTTATACTAATATCCAAAGAAAACTCACTGCCAAATTGTTACAGTAGATATTAATCAGTCTGATACCCTTATTAACTGATTCTATAGGTATAAGTATAGGTCAGTGTGATTTTAGTGTCTATTCTTTCATTTTACTAAATTAGGAAAGCAGTATTTACAGAACAAATAAAAACAAGTGAAACAGCCACCCAAGGACCATAACAGCTCCTGAGTTAGCTGTGTCACAAGCTCAGATAGAAATCCCCACTATACGCACAAAGCTGGATTCAAATTATTCATCAAAAGGTGCTGGTAGAAGTTGTCAGATGCCTTCCAATATAGATCCCCAATCCCATGGCCACCAGATGAGACAGCAGCAAAACCCTTTGGAAATTCTGCTGAGAAAATGCCCCCTTTCCTCATCAGGCTTTAAATTCCATGCTGGGTAGCTACGTGCTTCAGGTGCTTTAAAGAGGAACTCCTTGTGGGGAATATTTTCTGGCCAACTTGTCCAATCCCATATCCAATCTGAATTTTTCTTCAAGATGCTTTCAACTTCTTTCCTTTTCTCAGTATCTTCCTCAGACTGAGAGCTATTTTTCTCCAATGTCTGTAAAAGAGGTAGGCTGTCACAGAACTTTTGGAGCTACTCTGTCCAAATTCATTTTAAGCATCCAGCTGTATTTTTTCCATGTCACTATTACATTAATTTTGTTGTTGTTGTTGCTGTTGTTTTTAGAGATAGGGTCTCGCTCTGTTGTCTAGGCGGGAGAGCAGCAGCATGAACAGTGCTTACTGCAGCCTTTCTCTGGGAAGCAAGGCAGAGGATTACTTGAATTCAAGGAAGCACTTTGGAGGCTTCCCAAAGCACTGGGATTACAGGCGTGAGCCACTGTGCCCAGCCCATGTCACCATTATAAACAGAAACTGATGTTGGAGCACTGTTCCCCTTCCTATCATTGCTAAAGTACAGTTCTATCCAGGAGCCCTGCAAGCTCTTTCCCTACAGCCTGGGGTCCCTGCTCTGTGATATGGTGCCCAGAAGGTGGCTGTAGCAGTCTGGGTCACTGTTTGGTTGTGGTCTAGAGGCTGCATGCGCCCTCAGTGGCAGACGAGCATGAGGGATATGGGCCCAGTGCTCAGCCTGTCTTTTTGTTGCTCAGTGGTAGACAGTTCTTCATGTATTCTGGATAAGAGACCCATATCAGATATACAATCTGCAAACATTTTCTCCCATTCTGTAGGTTGCTTTTTCACTTTATGTTCTTTGATGCACAAAAGTTTTTAATGTTAGTGAATTCTAACATGTGTTTCTTGTCATTGTTCCTCACGATTTTGTTGTCATATCTAAGAATCCACTGCCAAATCCAAGTTCATGAAGATTTACCTGTTTTCTTCTGAGAGTCTTATGGTTTTAGCTCTTATATAGTTGAACCATTTTATTTTTTTGTATATGATACACATATAACATATTTTTGAATATAGGAGTCCAACTTCATTCTTTTGCAAGTAGATATCCAACTGTCTCACACCATATGCTCAAGAGACTATTTCTTCTTCATCGAATGGTCATGAACCTTTATTGAAATTATAATGGTGACATGGACAAAGCACTGTGGCTTGTGCCTGTAATCCCAGTGTTTTGGGTGGCCATAAGCGTATGGGTTTACTTCTAGATTCTCAATTCTATTTCACTGGTCTGTATGTCTATCCTTATTCCAGTAGCATGTTCTTTTTTTTTTTTTTTTTTGAGACGGAGTCTTGCTTTGTCACCCAGGCTGGAGTGCAGTGGCATGATCTTGGCTCACTGCAACCTCCACCTCGCCTTGTGGGTTCAATCGATTCTTCTGCCTCAGCCTCCCGAGTAGCTGGATTACAGCCCACCACCATGCCTGGCCAATTTTTGTATTTTTAGTAGAGACAGGTTTTCGCCATGTTGGTCAGGCTGGTCTCAAACTCCTGACCTCAAGTGATCCACCCACCTCAGCCTCCCAAAGTGCAGGATTACAGGCATGGGCCACCGTGCCTGGGCAGTGGCATGTTCTTTTGATTGCCATAGCTTTGAAGTAAGTTTGAAATTGAGAAGTTGTATTTGATTTTCACTCTGCTTAAGACATACCCAAGACTGGGCAATCTACAAAAGAAAGAAGTTTAATTGTAGAACTTACAGTTCTACATGTCTGGGGAAGCCTCACAATTGTGGCCGAAGGCAAGGAGGAGCATGTCACATCTTCTGTGAATAGCAGCAGGCAAAGAGAGTGCTTGTGCAGGGAAACTCCCCTTTTTATAACCATCACATCTCATGAGACTCATTCACTATCACGAGAACAGTACGAGAAAGATCTGCCCCCATGATTCAATTACCTCCCACCGGGTCTCTCCCACAACAGGGGAATTCATGATGAGATTTGGGTGGGGAAACAGCCAAATCATATAAGAAGTATAAATTTTTCAACTTTGTTTCTCTTTTTAAGGATTGTTTTGGCTATTCAGGTCCCTGTGCAATTCTATGGAAGATCAGCTTTTCCATTTCTGCAAAAGAAGCCATTGGAATTTTGATAGGGATTGCAGTGAATCTGTGAATCACTTTCTATATTACTGCCATCTTAACATTGCCTTCCAACCTATGAACATGGGATGTCTTTCCATTTATTTAGGCATTCTTTAATTTCTATCAGGAATGTTTTATAGTTTTCAGTGTACAAGTCTTTCACCTCCTTTGTTAAGTGTATTCCTAGGTATTTTATTCTTTTGGATATTATTGTAAATGGAACTGTTTTCTTAAATTTTTTTGGATTGTTCATTGCGGGTATATAGAAACAGAACTAATTTTTTTTTTCGTTATTGATTGATATGGTTTGGATTTGTGTTCCCACCCAAATCTCACGTCGAATTGTAATCCCCAATGTTGGAAGAGGAGCCTGGTGGGAGATGACTGGATCATGGAGGCGGATTTCTCCCTTGCTGTTCTTGTGATAGTGATTTCTCACAAGATCTGGTTGTTTAAAAGTGTGTGGCACCTCCTCCCTCTCTTTATTCCTCCTGCTCCGACCAGGTAAGATGTGCCTGCTTCCCCTTTGCCTTCCATCATAATTGTTAAGTTTCCTGAGGCCTCCCCAGCCATGTTTCCTGTACAGCCTGCAGGACCATGAGCCAATTAAACTTATTTTCTTTATAAATTGCCCAGTTTCAGGTATTTCTTCTTAGCAGTGTGAGAGTGGATTAATATATTGATCTTGTACCCTGCAACTTTGCTGAATTTACTACCTCTAGTAATTTTTTTGTGGATTCTTTGGGATTTTCTATATATAGGATCATATCATCTCCTATAATCTTATTTATTCTTTTCCAATTTTGATATCTTTTATTTATTTTTCTTGCCTAATTTCTCTGGCTAGAAATTCCAGTACAATGTTGAATAATAGTGGTGAAAATGCAATGCCTTGTCTTGTTTCTGATCTTAGAGAAAAGCTTGCATTCTTTTAAAATAAAATGCTCTAATGCTAAAGCCAGTTGCATATTTTAATGGAGAAGAAAACATAGAAAAGTTGAAGTTGGGATACTGGTCATCTGAGATAAAGGTAGAGATAGCCCAGGGGCTAAAAGCTTCAAGGAAAGCAGATGGCAAGTATTAGGAACTAGACAGTAGAGCATTCTAGACCCAGTGCAATGTTTTACTGAACTGAATGGGATGAGGATGGGAACAGAAATGCTTGCTAATTAAAATGCTTGGGTAAGTTATAAACTCTACATAGTATACAACAAATATTAACTTACCGTGATGACACATGGGACATTGGATATGTAACAGAACAAGAAACTGGCACTTCTTCGTGCAAATACCTGTAAGGTGTGAGTACTGTTTGAAGACATCAGAAGGTGTAGGTCCTGTCAGCAGAAAAACATCAATGATGCCACTCTCTGACATCCAGTGCACATGAGTGCGAGATCTGACCTTTTGTTTAGCAGCAACTGGGCCCATCTGGGTCAGTGTGTACTGGAAAAAGAATGGAATAAAAATTTGAGAAATTTCCCTCTAACCTGCAACATCCAGCCACATATAAGTAACAGTCTGATCCTTTAGTAGATACTACTGATATTCACTGATTACACTGTAAAGCTTTTGTTGGCAGAGAAGTGCCAATACAAAGATAAGAGCTATAACTCCACTGCAGTGGTTTTGTTTCTTCTTTAAGTATGACATGTAGCCATGATAAATAGCTCACCTCTACTGCAGGCTCTGTATTGATCTCCACCAGTGTTTCCGAGGCATTCAGCCAGAAAATACCTATAGTTCTGCCCAGTTTGTGGGCCAGGAGATAAGGTACTGAACCATAAATGCCCATTTTATCATATATTTGGTATCCATAGACATCCAGGTTATAAAGACGGTAAGCATCTCCATCACTGAAACACAAAGATTATCATCAATTACCATCACAAATATATTATTAATATTAATAAATAGAACAGCTCTACTCTTCTCTCTAAACACTTAGGTCCCACGCATCTTTGGAGGCTCAACTCTTGCCACTTCCCTAAAGATTTCCTGACCCAACTTAGGTGAACGTGGTCCTCTTCCCTTGACTCCTTTGGCACCACTTCCTGTGACATTAGCACATACGATCACATCTTAGACATCTTTTCTAAATATCTCCTTTTTCTTTTTTCCAGATAGGGTCTCACTCTGTCACCCAGGGTGGAGTGCAGTGGTGCGATCTTGGCTCACTGCAAACTCTACCTTCCAGGGTCAGCAGTTCTCCCACCTCAGCCTCCCAAGTAGCGGGGAATACAGGTGCGTGCCACTACACCCAGTTAATTTTTGTATTTTTTGGTAGAGATGCGGTTTCACCATGTTGGCCAGGCTGGTCTCAAACTCCTGACCTCAAGTGATCTACCCACCTCGGCCTCCCAAAGTGCTGGGATTACAGGTATGAGCCACTGTGCCCAGCCTAAATATCCTTTGAGTGGAGGACTCTCTCCTATGAATACTCCACAATAGCAAGCACACAGCAAGTACCCACTGATGAATTTTGTGAGTACTTCTCTGCGGTTAAAAGAATTGTGTCCAGGCTGGGTGCCGGTGGCTCACGCCTGTAATCCCAGCATTTTGGGAGGCCGAAGCAGGTGGATCATGAGGTCAAGAGATCGAGACCATCCTGGCCAACACTGTGAAAGCCTGACGCTATTAAAAATACAAAAATTAGCTGGGCGTAGTGGCGCATACCTGTAGTCTCAGCTACTAGGGAGGCTGAGGCAGGAGAATCGCTTGAACCTGGGAGGCAGAGGTTGCAGTGAGCCGAGATCACGCCACCGCACTCCAGCCTGGGCGACAGTGCGAGACTCTGTCTCAAAAAAAAAAAAAAATTGTGTCCAACAGGCTTCCACAGTGCTTAGCAGGGGAAGATGGGGAACTGAATTGGGGGTGGGAGCACAGAGCTGAAATCAGTGTGAGAGCAGCACAGTTTCTGCTGGACTTGCCACTGTGCCTACCTGAAAGTAAACAGCACCTGAACCTGGCAATCTTATCAGACTCTGTTTCTCTTTGGTTTTGTTTCCTCTTAGTCTGATGCCTCGGGCATCTATTTGTCAATAGTGTTAGCCTGACATGATATCCCTGAGGAAACTAAAGGTGATATGAGATACCACATTTTTCCATTCTCTGGCTCACTCTCCCATTTTGGTAAAAGCCTTTTTCTGGGTCAGTGATTTTTCACAATATATTCTCCCAAGGCTCCACAAAAGGTCTTGAGAGGTAAAAGTGAAACCCGAGGATAAAGATCTTCCCTCTATTCTGATCACAGCAGCTCCATAATTTTACTTCCTCTATATTTCTAGGTTCAGTATTATAGTTTTTACAGTTATCTAATTTTTCCATTAAAAAAATAAATAAAACTGGAAAACCGGCCAGGCACGGTGGCTCACTGCTGTAATACCAGCACTTTGGGATGCTGAGGTGGGTGAATCACAAGGTCAGGAGTTCAAGACCAGCCTGGCCAACATGGTAAAACCCTGTCTCTACTAAAAATACAAAATAAATTAGCCAGGCGTGGTGACAGGTGCCTGTAGTCTCAGCTACTCAGGAGGCTGAGGCAGGAGAATCTCTTGAACTCTGGAGGTGGAGCTTGCAGTGAGCCAAGATTGTGCCACTGCACTCCAGCCTGGGCGACAGAGCAAGACTCTGTCTCAAAAAAAAGGAAAACCACTGCTCTGAGTGATCATTCAAGGAGGGTTCTTAAAGATCCACAAGCAATATAAAGGAGGAAAAGGCCTGGCACATATTAGCACTGGCTCAGACAGCTCACAAATGTTTTCAGATCATCTCAATACAAAAACCAGAGACTCCCATAAGAATTCTTGTTTTCACTTACCCAGTATTTTTAAGTTGGTGTGATTCTGCATGTTGTGGGATCCCATAAAGATGCTCAAATCCATGCAAGGAGAAATCCAAACCAATAGAAGAAGGGCCTGTAGAGACCAGGATACTGAGTTTTGTTTCTGAAAAGAACACTCACTTAAGGAGATTCAGTTAATTCTGAGTGCAGAGAGATGACTAGACTAAAGGCTGAGAGACCTGGGCTCACCTAGATCAATTAGCAAATGCTGTGTACTGACCCTCTGTGAGATATTATATTCAGGTGTTGTGGGGATACAAAAATGTGTAAGGCAAAGTTCTGGTCATGTATTAGTTCTGTTGCCTTAGCTGTGTGATGAAGCTCTCTGTGTCCTCTTCACAGTAAATCTCGTCTCTATATAAAACATCATTACAAAGTTTTAGATTTTTTCCTAATCGAAATTTTCCTTATCACATATTTCTTTGCTTTAGGAAGCAAAGGATATTGTGCACTTTCAGTCTACACTAGATGAAATGACTGATTGTCTTGTGCCTGATCATTCTTACTGCCAGCCTCGTCTGTGACTACCTACAGGGAATGCAAATGTCAAGGGCACCAGGAGGGCCATAACTGGTTCCTCAAAATACTCCTCCTCTGTGATTATATAAATTTCCTTTAACCAAAGACGAAGTCTTTAACAATTATTTTAGAGCTATGGGAAAAATGCAAATGACTAGGAGGTATAACGTGGACTTTAATTTATGCTTAGGTTAAAGTATTTGACATCAAATGGTCCTTATTTGTAGGAGCTTGTGGAAAAGGGATGCTACAGAGAAGGTGAAAAAGATTATGACATGGCCGGGTATGGTGGCTCATGCCTGTAATCCCAGCACTTTGGGAGGCCGAGGCAGGTGCATCACTCAAGGCCAGGAGTTCAAGGGTGCAGTAAGCCATGATCATGCCACTGCACTCCAGCCTGGGTGACAGAGTGAGAACCTGCCTCAAAAAAAAAAAAAAGATAAAAAGATGATGATGTTACAGAAAGGAGGGCCTGAGAACCCATGCCCCCACTTTTAATTTGGGGCATTCTGTCAGCCCTCATCATTATACTATGCTATAGATAATGATGGCTAGAATGGGAATTTTAAAGGTGTTAGAAAGGGTTTGTTATTCTACAGAATAGGGAGGAGGAAAGAGGAAAGTGAGTATTTTTCTAACTGCATAAGCCCCAAGTACCTGAAAGATATCTCCTAAAGAGACAAACTCGCCCCTCTACCCTAATTCCATCACTAAGCCTGGTGAGAAATGTGACAGATGGGCATGTGATACCCATGTGAATGATGGGGAGGCCTAGAAAAGGTTGAGAACCATTGGCTTGAAATGTTGCAACAGAGTGGCTCTAGAACTTGGGTTTCTCATCACTTCACTCTCATAAAAATTTAATGTGGAATTTGTAGCTGTCTTATCTGATGAACAGTGCAAGCAGTGTGCTGACCCATGACCCTGTATGAGACCATAAGCTCCGTGTGGCCTATATTTCTTTTACACTTCCTACAAAAGGCAAATAATTGCTATTTCTCTGATGCAATGCATTACTGAAGGATAGCAAATCTGATCTGGGATTTCTGTTCTTCTGTTAAAGTCACCTGTTTTAGGTGCCAGAGATCAAGGGGCTTTTTGATAGAATTATGTAGACATTTTTAGAATGATCTGTTTTAATACTATACCAGTTTCAATTTTACCATTAGCTTTGATATCCACAAATTTTCCAAATTTCTCTTCCCACAGGCCCAGATCTTCTTGATTTTCCTGTTGGTACAAAAAAGGGAGCAAACTGAGTTTACAAATTGCAACAAATGTGTTTACCACAATAGCTCATTTTATTTGGATTATTTTTTTAAAAGACTGAGAAAGTGAGTTCATCTTTTAGAAGACCAGTGTGTGACGTCAGTACCTTTAACAAATCAAATCTGTGTTCTATATACATGTCAGTAATAATCTTTATGGGCCATAGCTGACATAAATATGTTTTTTATTGTGGTAAAATATACACAACATAAAATTTACCATTTTAACTATTTTCAAGTATAAAGTTCAGGTTCAGTGGCTTTAAGTACATTCACATTGCTGTGCAACTATTGAACTACTAAAAATACAAAAATTAGCCGGGTGTGGTGGCTGGCACCTGTAGTCCCAGCTACTCAGGAGGCTGAGGCAGAATAATTGCTTGAACCTGGGAGGCGGAGGTTGCAGTGAGCCAGTATCACACCACTGCACTCCAGCCTGGGCGACACAGCGAGACTCTGTCTCAAAAAAAAAAAAAATAGACATGGTGGTTTGCTGCACCCATCAACCCATCATCTACATTAGGTATTACTCCTAATGCTATCTCTCCCCTAGCCCCCCATCCCCCAACAGACCCCGGTGTGTGATGTTCCCCTCCCTGTGTCCATGTGTTCTCATTGTTCAACTCCCACTTATGAGTGAGAACATGTGGTGTTTGGTTTTCTGTTCCTGTGTTAGTTTGCTGAGAATGATGGTTTCTAGCTTCATCCATGTCTCTGCAAAGGACATGAACTCATTCTTTTTTATGGCTGCATAGTATTTCATGGTGTGTATGTGCCACATTTTCTTTATCCAGTCTATCACTGATAGGCATTTGAGTTGGTTCCAAGTCTTTGCTAATGTGAACAGTGCTGCAATAAACATATGTGTGAATGTGTCTTTATAGAATGATTTATAATTCTTTAGAAATATACCCAGTAATGGGATGGCTGGGTCCGATGGTATTTCTGGTTCTAGATCCTTGAGGAATCACCACAGTCTTCCACAATGGTTGAACTAATTTACACTCCCACCAACAGTGTAAAAGCATTCATATTTCTCCACATCCTCTCCAGCATCTGTTGTTTCCTGACTTTTTAATCACTGCCATTCTAACTGGTGTGAGATGGTATCTCATTGTGGTTTTGATTTGCATTTCTCTAATGACCAGTGATGATGAGCTTTTTTTGTTTGTTGGCCACATAAATGTCTTCTTTTCAGAGGTGTCTGTTCATAACCTTTGTCCACTTTTTGATGGGGTTGTTTTTTTCTTGTAATTTTAAGTTCCTTGTAGATTCTGGATATTAGGCCTTTATCAGATGGACAGATTGCAAAAATTTTCTCCCATTCTGTAGGTTGCTTGTTCACTCTGATGATAGTTTCTTTCGCTGTGCAGAAGCTCCTCAGTTTAATCAGATCCCATTTGTCAATTTTGGCTTTTGTTGCTATTACTTTTGATGTTTTAGTCATGAAGTCTTTTCCATTTCTTATGTCCTGAATGGTATTGCCTACGTTTTCTTCTAGGGTTTTTAAGGTTTTAGATCTTATGTTTAAGTCTTTAATTCATCTTGAGTTAATTTTTGTATAAGGTGTAAGGAAGGGGTCCAGTTTCAGTTTTCTGCACATGGCTAGACAGTTTTCCCAGCACCATTTATTAAATAGGAAATCCTTTCCCCATTGCTTTTGTCAGGTTGTCAAAGATCAGGTGGTTGTAGATGTGTGGCATTATTTCTGAGGCCTCTGTTCTGTTCCATTGGTCTACATATCTGTTTTGGTACCAGTACCATGCTGTTTTGGTTACTGTATCCTTGTAGTATAATTTGAAGTCAGGTAGAGTGATAACTCCAGCTTTGTTCTTTCTGCTTAGGATTGTCTTGGCTATATGGACTCTTTTTTGGTTCCCTGTGAAATTTAAAGTAGTTTTTTCTAATTTTGTGAAGAAAGTCAATGGTAGCTTGATGGGGATAGCATTGAATCTATAAATCACTTTGGGCAGTACAGCCATTTTCACAATATTGATTCTTACTATCCATGAGCATGGAATGTTTCCATTTGTTTGTGTCCTCTCTTATTTCCTTAAGCAGTGGTTTGTAGTTCTCCTTGAAGAGGTCCTTTACATCCCTTGTAAGTTGTATTCCATGGGCATTTAATGCTACAAATTTCCCTCTAAACACTGCTTTGGCTGTGTCCCAGAGATTCTGGTACATTGCGTTTTTGTTCTCATTGGTTTCAAAGAACTTGTTTATTTCTGCCTTCATTTCGTCATTTACCCAGTAGTCATTCAGGAGCAGGTTGTTCAGTTTCCATGTAGTTGTGCAGTTTTGACTGAGGTTTCTTAATCCTGAGTTCCAATTTGATTGCACTGTGGTCTGAAAAACTGTTTGTTATGATTTCCGTTATTTTCCATTTGCTGAGGAGTGTTTTACTTCCAATTACATGGTCAATTTTAGAGTAAGTGCGATGCGGTGCTGAGAAGAATGTACATTCTATTGATTTAGGGTGGAGAGTTCTGCAGATGTTTATTAGGTCTGCTTGGTCCAGTGCTGAGTTCAAGTCCTGAGTATCCTTGTTAATTTTCTGTCTCGTTAATCTGTCTAATATTGACAATGGGGTGTTAAAGTCTCCCACTATTATTGTGTGGAAGTCTAAGTCTCTTTGTAGGTCTCTAAGAACTTGCTTTATGAATCTGGGTGCTCCTGTATTGGGTGCATATATATTTAGGATAGTTAGCTCTTCTTGTTGCATTGATCCCTTTACTATTATGTAATGCCCTTTTTTGTCTCTTTTGATCTTTGTTGATTTAAAGTCTGTTTTATCAGAGACTAAGATTTCAACCCCTGCTTTCTTTTTTTTTTTTTTTCTTGGTAAATATTCCTCCCTCCCTTTATTTTGAGCCTATGGGTGTCTCTGCACGTGAGATGGGTCTCCTGAACACAGCACACTGGTGGGTCTTGACTCTTTATCCAATTTGCCAGTCTATGTCTTTTAATTGGGATATTTAGCCCGTTTACATTTAAGGTTAATAATGTTATGTGTGAATTTGATCCTGTCATTATGATACTAGCTGGTTATTTTGCCCATTAGTTAATGTAGTTTCTTCATTGTGTCAATGGTCTTTACAATTTGGTATGTTTTTGCAGTGGCTAGGGCTGATTTTTCCTTTCCATATTTAGTGCTTCCTTCAGGACCTCTTGCAAGGCAGGCCTGGTGGTGACAAAATCTCTCAGCATTTGCTTGTCTGTAAAGGATTTTCTTTCTCCTTTGCTTATGAAGCTTAGTTTGGCTGGATATGAAATTCTGGATTGAAAATTATTTTCTTTAAGAATGTTGAATATTGGCCCCCACTCTCTTCTGGCTTGTAGGGCTTCTGCAGAGAGATCCGGTGTTAGTCTGATGGGCTTCCCTTTGTGGGTAACCTGACCTTTCTCTATGGCTGCCCTTAACATTTTTTTCCTTCATTTCAACTTTGGTCAGGCTGATGATTGTCTTGGGATTGCTCTTCTTGAGGAGTAGTATCTTTGTGGTGTTCTCTGTATTTCCTGAATTTGAATGTTGGTCCGTCTTGCCATGTTGGGGAAATTCTCCTGGATAATATCCTGAAGAGTGTTTTCCAACTTGGTTCCATTCTCCCTGTCATTTTCAGGTGTATCAATCAAAGGTAGGTTTGGCCTTTTCACATAGTCCCATATATCTTGGAGGCTTTGTTCATTCCTTTTGATTTTTTTTTCTCTAATCTTGTCTTCACTCTTTATTCCATTAAGTTGATCTTCAATCTCTGATATCCTTTCTTCCACTTGATCAGTTTGGCTACTGATACTTGTGCATGCCTCATGAAGTTCTCATGCTGTGTTTTTCAGCTCCATCAGGTCATTTATGTTCTTCTCTAAACTGGTTATTCTAGTTAGCAATTCCTCTAACCTTTTTTCAAGGTTCTTAGCTTCCTTGCATTGGGTTAGAACATACTCCTTTAGCTTGGAGGAGTTTGTTATTACCCACCTTCTGAAGCCTACTTTCTGTCAATTTGTCAAACTCATTCTCCGTCCAATTTTGTTCACTTGCTGTTGAGAAGCTGTGATCGTTTGGAGGAGAAGAGGTGTTCTGGTTTTTGGAATTTTCAGCCTTTTGCGCTGGTTTTTCCTTACTTTCATGGATTTATCTACCTTTGCTCTTCGATGTTGGTGACCTTCGGATAGGGTTTTTGTGTGGACGTCCTTTTTGTTGATGTTGATGCTATTCCTTTCCGTGTTAGTTTTCGTTCTAACAGTCAGGCCCCTCTGCTGCACGTCTGCTGAAGTTTGCCGGAGGTCCATTCCAGACACTGTTTGACTGAGTATTACCAGCAGAGGCTGCAGAACAGCAAAGATTGCTGCCTGTTCCTTCCTCTGGAAGCTTAGTCCCAGAGGGGCACCCGCAAGATGCCAGCCGGAGCTCTCCTGTATGAGGTGTCTGTCAACCCCTGCTGGGAGGTGTCTCCTAGTCAGGAGGCATGGGGGTCAGGGACCCACTTGAGGAGGCAGTCTGTCCCTTAGCAGAGCTCGAGCACTGTGCTGGGAGACCCGCTGCTCTCTTCAGAGCTGGCAGGCACGAATGTTTAAGTCTGCTGAAGCTGCACCCACAGTTGTCCCTTCCCCCAGGTGCTCTGTCCCAGGGAGATGGGAGTTTTATCTATAAGCCCGATTGGGGCTGCTGCCTTTCTTTCAGAGATGCCCTGCCCAGGGAGGAGGAATCTAGAGAGGCAGTCTGGCTATAGCAGCTTTGCAAAACTGTGGTGGGCTCCACCCAGCTCAAAATTCCAGGTGCCTCTGTTTAGACTGTGAGGGGAAAACCGCCTACTCAAGCCTCAGTGATGGCGGATGCCCCTCGTCCCACCAAGATTGAGCATCCCAGGTCAACTTCAGACTGCTGTGGTGGCAGTGAGAATTTCAACTCAGTGGATCTTAGCTTGCTGGGTTCTGTGGG
The DNA here is from genome assembly GCF_000001405.40 of Homo sapiens. Taxonomy (NCBI): domain Eukaryota; kingdom Metazoa; phylum Chordata; class Mammalia; order Primates; family Hominidae; genus Homo; species Homo sapiens. The sequence goes on along the minus strand of NC_000015.10, from coordinate 42,301,571 downwards.
GGTGGGATCCACTGAGCTAGACCACTTGGCTCCCTGGCTTCAGCCCCCTTTCCAGGGGAGTGAAGAGTTCTGTCTCGCTGGTGTTCCAGGCGCCACTGGGGTATGAAAAAAAAAAACCCCTGCAGCTAGCTCGGTGTCTGCCCAAACAGCCACCCAGTTTTGTGCAGCCCTGGTGGTGTAGGCACCTGAGGGAATCTCCTGGTCTGTGGGTTACCAAGACCATGGGAGAAGTGTAGTATCTGGGCCAGAATGCACCATTCCTCACAGCACAGTCTCTCATGGTTTCCTTTGGCTAAGGGAGGGAGTTCCCTGATCCCTTGTGCTTCCCGGGTGAGGCAATGCCCCACCCTGCTTCGGCTCGCCCTCCATGGGCTGCACCCACTCTCTAACCAGTCCCAATGAGATGAGTCAGGGCACTTCAGTTGGAAATTCAGAAATCACCTGCCTTCTGTGTTGATCTTGCTGGCAGCTGCAGGCCGGAGCTGTTCCTATTCAGCCATCTTGCCAGCCACAGCATACCACATTTTCTTTCTTTCTTTCTTTTTTTTTTTTTGAGATGGAGTTTCACTCTTGTTGCCCAGGCTGGAGTGCAATGGCATCATCTTGGCTCACTGCAACCTCCACCTCCCAGGTTCATGTGATTCTCCTGCTTCAGCCTCCCTAGTAGCTGGGATTACAGGCATGCACTACCACGCCCAGCTAATTTTGTATTTTTAGTACAGACAGGGTTTCTCCATGTTGGTCAGGCAGGTCTTGAACTCCCAACCTCAGGTGATCCACCTGCCTCAGCCCCCTAAAGTGCTGGGATTACAGGCATGAGCCACACACCCAGTCCCATATTTTCTTTATCCAGTCTATCACTGATGGGCACTTGGGTTGGTTTCATGTCTTTGCTATTGTAAATAGTGCTGCAATAAACATACATGTGCATGTGTCTTTATAGTAGAATGATTTATATTCCTTTGGGTATATACCAAGTAATGGGACTGCTGGGCCAAATGGTATTTCTGGTTCTAGACCCTTGAGGACTCACTATACCATCTTCCACAATGGACTAATTTACATTTCCACCAAGAGTGTAAAAGCATTCCTATTTCTCCAAAGCCTCGCCAGCATCTATTGTTTTTTGACTTTTTAATAATCATCATTCTGACTGGTGTGAGATGGTATCTCATTGTGGTTTTGATTTGCATTTCTCTGATGATCAGTGATGTTGAGCTTTTTTTCATGTTTGTTGGCCACATAAATGTCTTCTTTTGAGAAGTGTCTGTTCATATCCTTTGCCTATGTTTTGATGGGGTTGTTTTTTTATTGTAAATTTGCTTAGGTTCCTTGTAAATTCTGGATATTAGCACTTAGGGTAGATTGCAAAAATTTTCACCCATTCTGTAGGTTGCCTGTTTACTCTGATGATCGTTTCTGTTGCTGTGCAGAAGCTCTTTAGTTTAATTAGATCCCATCTGTCAATTTTGGTTTTTATTGCATTTGCTTTTGGCGCTTTCATCACGAAGTCTTTGCCCACGCCTATGTCCTGAATGGTATTGTCTAGGTTTTCTTCTAGGGTTTTTATGGTTTTGGGTTTTACATTTAAGTCTTTAATTCATCTTGAGTTAATTTTTGTATAAGGCATATGGAAGGGATCCAGTTTCAGTTTTCTGCATATGGCTAGCCAGTTCTCTCAGCACCATTTATTGAATAGGAGATCCTTTCCACATTGCTTGTTTTTGTCAGGTTTCTCGAAGATCAGATGGTTGTAGATGTGTGGTGTTATTTGGTTATTTCTGAGGTCTCTGTTCTGTTCCACTGGTCTATATGTCTGTTTTGGTACCAGCACCATGCTGTTTTGGTTACTGTAGCCTTGTAGTATAGCTTGAAGTCAGGTAATGTGATGCCTCCAGATCTGTTCTTTTTGCTTAGGATTGTCTTGGCTATACGGGATCTTCTTTGATTCCATATGAAATTTAAGGTAGTTGTTTCTAATTCTGTGAAGAATGTCAATGGTAGTTTGATGGGAATAGCATTGAATCTATAAATTATTTTGGGCAGTAAGAAAACTTCAGGCCAATATCCCTGATAAACATCAATGTGAAAATCCTCAATAAAATACTGGCAAACCGAATTCAGCAGCACATCAAAAAATTTATCCACCACGATCAAGTCAGCTTCATCTCTGGGGCAAGGCCGGTTCAACATATGCAAATCAATAAACGTAATCCATCACATAAACAGAACCAAAGACAAAAACCACATGATTATCTCAATAGATGCGGGAAAGGCCTTTGATAAAATTCAACATCCTTCATGTTAAAAACTCTCAATAAACTACATATTGATGGAACATATCTCAAAATAATAAGAGCTACTTATGACGAACCCACAGCCAATATCACACTGAATGGGCAAAAGCTAGAAGCATTCCCTTTGAAAACTGGCACAAGACAAGGATGTCCTCTCTCACCACTCCTATTCAACATAGTAATTGGAAGATCTGGCCAAGGCAATCAGGCAAGAGGAAGAAATAAAGAGTATTCAAATAGGAAGAGAGGAAGTCAAATTGTCTCTGTTTGTAGACGACATGATTTTATATTTAGAAAACCCCATCATCTCAGCCCCAAAAAAATCCTTAAACTGATAAGCAACTTCAGCAAAGTCTGAGGATACAAAATCAATGTGCAAAAATCACAAGCATGCCTTTACATCCACACTAGACAATCAGAGAGCCAAATCATGAATGAACTCCCATTCACAATTGCTACAAAGGGAATAAAATACCTAGGAATACAGCTAACAAGGGATGTGAAGGGCCTCTTCAAGGAGAACTACAAACCACGGCTCAAGGAAATAAGCGAGAACACAAATGATAAAACATTCCATCCTCATGGATAGGAAGAATCAATATTGTGAAAAGTGCTCTTTTGAAGATACATGTGATTGGGGATGAAGAGAGAGAAGATTTCTGGAGTGTCCATTCTTCACAATTCAACAAAATAATCTTTTAAAAATAGAAATAAGACCATGCATCTCTGCTACTTAGAACCGTTCCAGAGTTTTCCTTTGCTCTTAGGAGAAACTCAGAAAGGTTAACATGGCTTGGAAGAAGGTAAGCTGCATGATAAATGGGGGACTTATATTTTTCAATGATGTCTCACCAATTCCATGAACAGTGCCTGGGATATAGGAGGTACTTAACAAATAATTGTTAGATAAAATAATTATTACAAATCTTTCCACAGCACTGCCCTGCGTGTCTTTCTAGCCTCGTTACATACCACCCTCCCCTTTGCTTTCCTTTCTCCAGATGAAATAAATATATATTGCATACATATTCCATTTCTTCAAATGGAATATGCTCCATCCTACCTCCACATCTTTGAATATGCAGTTCCCTCTACCTGGAACATTCTTTTCCCAACTTTTTGACTTGTGTATATACAACTTTTTGACTTGTGTAGACATCAGTTTCGGCTTTAACATTATTTCCCTCAGAAGGTCTTTCCTGACCCTCATCTTGGCCAGGTCCCTTGTATTCTCCTACAGCACCATTTTGTAACACTCCTCATGCTTGTAATTACTTACCCAATGTCTGTCTTTCCCAATAGATTCTAATTTCCATGAGAACATGTTTGGGATTTGTTTTATTCAAGGCTGATTCTCCTTGCCTAGCAATAATGCCTGGCAAAAAGTAGGCACTCAGGAAGCATCTGTTTTTATGAATGAATGAATGAATGAATGAATAAATGAATGAATGAATCAACGAGATGACAAGGTGAGCCGAAGAAACAAGTGGTCCTATTTATATGCAGTCGATCATTTAACAAGCACCCTTCTGTAGAAGGAAGAAAGAGAATTCCTTATATGCCCTATCATGATGATGATGGTGAAAAAGATAACAATAAATGGATCAATCTAGATTACCTGAGAGGTGTCCACTGATGTCTCCTCCTCATTTTCTTTAGCAGCTCTGTTTTAACGTAAATAAAGTTGTTTCACTCAATGGCAAGACTGACAGAATTTTGTTCAATGATAAAGATTTTTCATTTCCAACTTTTGAGACCTCAGTTATATCCTTTAATGTATTAAATATAACATCATTATAAAAATAAAAATGAACCCAGGTGCAGTGGTGCCTGCCTGTAATCCCAGCTACTTGGGAGGCTGAGGCTAGAGGGTCACTTGAGCCCAGGAGTTCGATGTCAGCCTGGGTAACATAGTGAGATCTCATCTTTAAACAATAAAAAACAATTTAAAAATGAGTTTATAAAATTGGACAGTAATGATGAACATTAATCTAATAGCTTCATTTCTTAATGTAGAAGTATTTTAATTTTGTTAACTCTTTAAAAAATACTTTTATCATTTTTTATTATAAATGTTAAACATGCTCATAATATTTCAACAAAATCTAAGTAAGCAAGGTAGAACATAGCTCCCTACACTCGGTGTAACTCTCCTCACTCCCAGAACACAGCACTATAATGTACAGTCTTTCAGAATGATTGTGACAATTTATTCTTCCACCCATAGTTGTATTTCAGTGCTCAGTTCCCCACATTCTTAACATTGCTGGACTTTATCAATCTTTCAGTTTTTGCCAATCTAAAATTGTAGAAAAAATAAATGCATTTCAGTTTGTATTTCTAAGAGCATGAATGATGTAGGCTAACTTTTATACATTTAATGGGCAACATAGTGAGACCATATCTTCCAAAAAAAAAAAAAAAGGAAAAAGAAAAAAAATATTTGAGTGAAAAATACATTACAAAAGAATATATACAGCATACTTTTATTACATAAAAGTTTTTTTAGAAAAGACGAATCCAAATAATATGTTGTTTGGGAATTCATACATATGTGGGAATCCAATTAAAAACCCCAAGGAGTCTGGGTGCGGCAGCTCACACCTGTAATATGGGCACTTTGGGAGGCCAATGCGGGTAGATTACCTGAGGTCAGGAGCTCGAGACCAGCCTGGCCAACATGGTGAAACCCTGTCTCTACTAAAAATACAAAAATTAGCTGGACGTGGTGGTGGGCACCTGTAATCACAGCTACTTGGGAGGCTGAGGCAGGAGAATTGCTTGAACCTGCAATTGGGAGGCGGAGGTTGCAGTGAGCTGAGATCGCACCACTGCACTCCAGCCTGGGCAACAAGAGTGAAATTCCGTCTTAAAACAATACAAAACTAAACTAAACCAAACCAAATCAAACCCAAGGAAGTGATTAACACAAAATTTAGTAAACTGGTTACCTCTGAAGGTAAGATATACTATGCTAACACCAATCAAAAGAGAGTAAGAGTAGATATATTAATTTCAGACAGAAGAGATTTCAAAGCAAGGAAAATTTGGGGGGATAAAAAGGGATATTACACAATGATAAAGGGATCAATACTCTAAGCAGACATAACAATCTTTTTTTTTTTTTTTTTTGAGACAGAGTTTTGCTCTTGTCGCCCCGCCTGGAGCAATGGTATGATCTCGGCTCACTGAAACCTCCACCTCCCAGGTTCAAGTGATTCTCCCACCTCAACCTCCCAAGTAGATGGAACGACAGGCACATGCCACCATGCCTAGCTAATTTTTTTGTATTTTTAGTAGAGACAGGGTTTCAGCATGTTGGCCAGGCTGGTCTCAAACTCCTGACCTCAGATGATCTGCCTGCCTCAGCCTCCCAAAGTGCTAGTATTATAGCCATGAGCCATTGTGCCCAGCTCAACGTAACAATCTTTAATGCGTGTATGAGTCTAACAGAGCATCAAACTATATAAGGCAAAAACTGATTTGTTGAGCTTTTTAGTCATTGTTAGGATGGAGTAGTGACTTCTAAGCTCCTTACATGCCAGACGGGAAACTGGAAGTCCTTGACTTTTAATTTTGTTCACGCTGTGTGTGTGTGTGTGTGTGTGTGTGTGTGTGTGTGTGTGTGTGTGTGTCTATAATAAAGCTTTTTTTCTTCTTGTGTTGCTTTCTGAGTAGAATCAAAGCTTAAAATGTGTAAGTAATCAAATCCATCAATCTTTTCCTTATGGCTCTTCAGTTTATGTCACACTCTCACAATTACAGAAATATTGTTTTATATTTTCTTCTATTTTTATGTCTTTTTATGTTTAATTTTTATTCATCTGCAATTGATTTTTGTTAATGTTATGAGGTTAAAATCTAACTTAAAATTTTTTCCAGTTAGATCATCTGATTTTCCTAACACAAATATAATTATAAATATAAATGTAAATCATGGAACTATAGCTACCAGTACAACCTCTATGGAAGGCAATTTGGCAATACCTATGAAAACTACAGGCGGGGCGTGGTCGCTCATGCCTGCAATCGCAGCACTTTGGGAGGCTGAGGCGGGCGGATCACGAGTTCAGGAGATCGAGATCATCCTGACTAACACAGTGAAATCCCATCTCTACTAAAAATACAAAAACAAAATTAGCCGGGCATGGTGGTGGGCGCTGTAGTCCCAGCTACTCGGGAGGCTAAGGTGGGAGAATGGCATGAACCCAGGAGGCAGAGCTTGCAGTGAGCCAAGATCATGCCACTGCACTCCAGCCTGGGTGACAGAGCGAGACTCCATCTCAAAAAAAAAAAAAAAAACTACAAATGCACAAACCATCTGATCAACAACTATCCTTTTATGACTCTATACTATAAATATACTTGTATATATGCACAATGACACATATTCAAGGTTATTAGTAAACTAACTAGTTGTAAAACAAGATTAGAAACAACTTTAAATCCCTCAATAGAGAATTTACTCAGTGAATCATGGTAAAGCCATACAACAGAAATTATGTAGCTGCTTTAAAGAAATTAAGAATTATCACATTGTTAACAGAAAAAAGCAAGGTGTAGAATAATGTGTAAAGGTGGCGCCATTTGTGTCAGGAAAGGAAAAGTCAAAGAATATATATAAAATGTGTATACATAAATTGTTTCTGAAAGGATACACAAAAAACTGGAAACACATTACTTTTTTTTTTTTTTTTTTTGAGACAGAGTCTTGCTCTGCTGCCCAGGCTGGAGTGCAATGGTATGATCTCAGCTCACTGCAACCTCCACCTCCTGGGTTCAAGAGATTCTTCTGCCTCAGCCTCTTGAGTAGCTGGGACTACAGGCATGTGCCACTATACCTGGCTAAATTTTTGTATTTTTACTAGAGACAGGGTTTCACCATGTTGGCCAGGCTGGTCTCGAACTCCTGACCTCAGGTGATCCACCTGCCTCGGCCTCCCAAAGTGCTGGGGTTACAGGCATGAGCCACCACACCCGACCAGAACACATTACTTTCAACGATGGAAAGTGGGCAGCTAGAGGACACAGGGGGAAGGAGATTCTTTACTATTATTACATAGAAATGTGTATTAATATATACTCCTTTGTACCATGTGCCTCTTCTACATAAGTAAGTAAAAGGATCAACTTAGATAGGAAAGAAAACAATGTTTAAAAGAAAACAGAACAAAATCATCGGGGTTTACAAAAGAAAAAAAAGCGTTTTTTGTTTGTTTGTTTTGAGACAGAATCTCGCTCTGTTGCCCAGGCTGGAGTGCAGTGCCACAGTCGCAGCTCACTGCAGTCTTGACCTCCTGGGCTCAAGTGATCCTCCTACCTCAGCCTCCCAAGTAACTGGGACTACAGGCATGTGCTATTAAACTCAGCTAATTTTTTTGTATTTTTTTGTAGGACAGGGTTTCACCATGTTGCCCAGGCTGGCTTCAAATTCCTGGGCTCAACTGATTTGCCACCTCGGCAAAAGTGTTATGATTACAGGTGTGAGCCACTGTGCCTGGCTAGAAAAAAGGCTTTACATATAAAGAACATGAGTAGTGGGTACACAGATATTTGTTCTGCTATTATTAGTATTTTTCAGTTAAACAAGTACTTGACTATTCATAAGGCACTAAGAGAGTAGGTGGAGAGATTATGGGGATTTTAAATTTTCTTCTTTTCAATATTTTCTAATCTGCCTATGATGAACAAGTATTAGTTCTGAGATGAGAAAATGAGATATTTTTAGTATCAAAATTTTAAAACAGAAATGAGTTGAAACTCAGAAAAATGACTATGTTGGAATAATGAATGTTGAATGCTTTCTGCAGATCATATAATACGTTTATTATCATGATAAAAATAGAAAGAACTATAGACTAAAAGATTTAAAAACAGTGTTCGTAAGAATGGAATAAGAATCTCCTCCTTACCACCACCTCCTAATTCATGTGAGCACCCCACATAAACAGCTTTGATCAAGCAGATGGTCCCAGAAAATTCCTGGACAACTATTCAAGTCTAGGGTAATTTGTGTTATTGCAAGGGAGTGAAGTGAAATTACGAAGGTATGCTAGTTCACATTAACATTTGTCAGGTCAACAGAGTGCTTTTATAGAAGGGTGTGCAGGGTAGAGAATGCCATCAGTTACACACAGGACATGTTAAGAGTGTAACATTTACAAAAGTTTGGGAATTATTTTTGTCATAAAGCTTGTATTCACCTTCACAGGTGAAAAGGTAAAATTTCTCAGAACAATACTAGAGCAAATAAGGCAAACCAATTTTCTATGGTGCTATGTTATCTATTTAGGCAACTGATATTCATTAACCAGGTTATGTTAAGGTCTTTATGTGTCAAGTAATGCATAAGAATACCTTTGTTTGTGAAGAATCTGTAGATGCTCAAAGTATAATTGGCCCAGGGAATTTATGCTAATCACAACCTCTTCTTCAGACACCAAGTCTACCTTGAATGGGTTTGCTGTGATATGGCACTTCAGGTCTCCTTTTCCATCTGCCAATATCAGACTGCCTGTGTCCCCAGAGCATGAAATCAGCCTAGAAAACAAAACAGGAAGAGAGAAACAAGCTGCTATAGGTTTACATGGCCCTATGTGATTTGTACTTCCAAGTAATTAATTAGTAAATCAATATTCATGTGACATAGCCATAGATAAGGCAACAGAGAAAAGTTAATGAGAGCATTGGCTTTGATGCCAAAGAGCTTAAATTGAGCATAACTCTATCATATACGTTATAACTTCGGATAACAAAGTTATCCAACTTTTCTAGGTCTTGGTTTCCTTATCTGTAAAGTGAAAATAACAAAAGCAACAACAAAGTTTTTGGAGAGAATTAAATGAGATCACATGTGTAAAGCTCTTGACACAGTGCCAGACACATTAAAAAAAAAAACACACAGTAAATGTTAGCTATCATCGTTGTCATCATCATCACCTTGGTCTGGAAGGTCTAGTAACTTTCTAGATTTTGGTGTGTAAAATCTAACTATTGTTTTTCTTTCTCATTCCAAACACATACTCAGAAACTGAGGAAATAACACAGATTGGGTCCATCTCTCCACAGTGAGATGGAACCAGGTCAAATTTTTATTTACCTATTTATTGCCTGATTCCCACCAGCCTCCAATTTCACAGGTACATTGTTAGGATGTTTTAGATCCACAAGAATTATGTAAGCTCAGACACAGCACTTAAAATCCCTCAAAGCTAGATATTTCCCTTTCTCCAGTGCACAGTGTCCCCAGTAAATGTTCACAGGACTCTTTCAGGAAGGTAAAAAGAGACAGTTTATGTTCTTATGATGTCTTTTCAGTCCTCCATGGATTCTATGCCTTCTCTTCAAGCAAGATGCTTAGGATCTGGAAATTAACTCTGGAGACAGCTGAGAGGCTGTCTCTCACTATCCATTGAACCCAGACAGAGTTCTTTTGATGATTCCATTAAGTAGGACTGTAGTTCATATATGTCAGTCTAATGCACCCCACCATAAATTGCTTACTGCCCCAAGCGTTAAACCATTTTGAGTACTACATGGGTCCTACCACACATAATGGAATTATGTTCACCTTGTCTCTGACAATTAAATGTTTCTACTCTGCCTCTGCTACCTGGAGTCTCATTATCTCCACTGAAATCAGGGAGACCATTTTAACGGCATCATTTCCCACCATTATCTCCAGCCCACAAAAGGAAGATGTTCACTACAATGCTTTCCAAGTGCTCCCTCATCAGTTTCTCAGTGAAGGGGGTATGTTCTGGATTCTCGTGGGGAACAGAATCCAGAGGGGCTAGATGAGCTGGTTGCATGAAACAAATCCACTTCAACATCTTTATCTCTCTAAGTCTGTGGATCATTTCCTCTACACCATGCCAAGGAATTCCTGATATCTCAGCTTCATTCAGAAGAATCCATAGCTGAGTTCAGATTATAATTAACCAACTATGCCATCAATTAGAGCCATTCTCAGTTGCCCAAGCTAGCATATCAAATCTACATTATCTGGTATGTGTACCTGAGTCAATAAATTTAGCCTGATCTACAATTAAGTTCCTTCTTTCTGGTCTAGGAATTCCTCAGAAACCATTTCCATTCATATTTCCCAGGTTTTTTTTGCATTATATAGTCTTATAATTTTTCAGGCATGCAAGCCTTCTCCCCCGGGTTTGACTGTAATTGGCTCTCTGGGCATGTTGGGATCTGACTCTGATGATGGGTCTGGAGGCAGTGAAGGGTGGTAGGGGTCGGGCACAGGAGAATTGGAATCCCCGTGCATGTATATTTTAGGTGAGGTCAATACAGGGTATCCAAGCAAGGCAGGATCAGCTTCACCTGCCTTTATAGGAGGGGTTGCTTCTGCTGAAATGGGAGGGCCAGTGAAATTTTGAGGTTTGACTATTTAGAATTACCCAACTCTTCCCAAATATTGTTATTCAATTTTTAAAAAAAATTGTTTATTTTTTTAGAGACAGGGTCTTGCTCCATCACCCAGGCTGGAGTGCAGTGGTGCGATCATAGTTCACTGCAGCCTTAAACCACTGGGGTCAAGTGATCCTTTCACCACAGCCTCCTGAGTAGCTAGGACAACAGGTGTGTGCTACCATGCCCGGTTAGTTTTTTAATTTTTTATAGAGATGCAGTCTTACTTTGTTGTCCAGTCTGGTCTACAACCCTTAACCTCAAGCAATCCTCCTGCCTTGGCCTCCCAAAGTATTGGGATTACAGGTGTGAACCACTGCACTCAGCCTGCTATTCAATTTTGAGGAGTCCTACGTTTTCCCAGTTAATGCCTGAAATTAACTTATGGACTAATTCAGTGACCTGCAATATCAAACTCTGCATCTGATTTTCAGCTATATGTACCTGCAGCTACAGAAGATATGAGGACTTTTAGGATTGTCACAGAAAATTAACAATCTTCTGACAATACCTTGAGCTAAGAATTTAAAGCCCTGAGACTATTGTTTTCTTTCTTTAAACTCTTCAGTGAAGTTGTAGCAGCCAAGCCACCTCAGAGCTCTGAATTCTGCATGATAATCAGAATGCAGTATGGCCCTACCTCTTGGTCTGCTTTCAATGGGCCACTTTATTTTAGTTGACCACCAGTGGTCATTTAAGTAACATTGCCACAGAATTTTGTGGTCTATTATTAGTTCTATTAGTTTGGCAGGGCTGCCATAAGAAAATATCAGAAACTGGGTAGCTTGAACAACAGAAATTTATTTTCTCATAATTTTTGAGGCTAGAAGTCAAAGATCAAGGTGTCAGAAAGTTGAGTTTCTTGTGAGGCCTATTTCCTGGGCTTGCAGATGGCTGCCTTATCACTATGTCTTCACGTGGTTGTCCCTCTGTGCCTGCATCTGTGTCCTAATCTCCTCTTCTTACAAGGGCACCCAGGTATAATGGATTAGAGCCTACCCTAATCATCCCATTTTAACTTATTTACTGCTTTAAAGACCCTATCTCAAAATATAGTCACATTCTGAGGTACTAGAGGTTAGGGCTCAACACCTGAATTTTGGGATAACACAATTCAGCCTGTAACAGTAGTATCCCATTCTCTATAGGTAAATACATCCTCACTGCCTCCAAATCCAGCTAGGTCAGCCAGCCAATCTCATACTCCCATCCTTGAGAGGCTGTTGCTTATATTCATTTATAATACCAACTACTTTATCAACCAAGGCTCAATTGTAGAAAACAAAAACAACTCTGGCTATTTTAAGCAGAAAATAAATGACTTCATATGGATAATTTGTTGCTTACAACATCACGGGAAGGGTTGAGGTAGTAGGTTCCAGGCTGCATGTCCAGGAATGACCCCCTAGAACAATACTGTGTAACTGTATGGCCAACTGACCTTCTATCTTAGCTAGAATCAGGAAGTTGAGTTATCAGAAGTCACTATGACAACTGCTGGGCTCTAGGATCATGCCACCTTAGCTATGATTCAGAGATGAGTAAATCATGGCCTTAACTAATGGCCTTAGAGCCACTCTACAGGTGCCAAATCCATATAAGCAAAATGGGGAACTCAGTTCTGAAATCAAGGTTTTTTTAAGTGCATCTGATTGGTGGAAACTGAATTATATCAGAACCTGTAGCTACAAGGGAGTCTGGGAAATGAAGAAACGTAGTTTTTAGCTTTCCAGTTACTACAGTAGCCAAAGGCCCTCTAGAAAGAACTCAGTACAGAAGCAGAATTAATACCATATTTACCATACCAAGTGAATTATCACCTGGACCCTAAAACATGGCAAAGACAGCACGGAAAGAGAAAATTACAGATTAACTTACTTACGAACACAAGTGTAAAAATTGTGAAGGCTGTACTATCCTTCAGGATAGTAGAAAATAACATACTGTGGCCAGGAGGTTATATGTATGCATTGATTCAATTGTCAAACTGCAAAAGCCTTGAGAAACAGTCTCTTTTAAGTTCTTATTTAGGGCAGGCATGGTGGCTCATGCCGATAACCCCAACACTTTGGGAGGAAGAGGAGGGAGAATCATTTGAGGCCAGGAGTTTGATACCAGCTGGGGTAACACAGCAAGACTCTGTCTCTATTAAAAGAAAAAATTAAATTAAAAAAAATTATGTTTACTAAGTTATTGGCATATAGTGTGGCTCAGTGAATAGATATATTTTAAACTTTTGATGATTCTATCATAACTGAATTCATTTCTCATTATAATGTATTGACCTTTTATAAGATTTTCATGGAAAAAATAATCTACATAAAACTACAGTAATGATATAGTAAAAATGAAAGCATCTGGCATAATCTGATATTCCTTTAGTGAAATAATATGACAATATAATGGAAACCAACCGGCAAAACTGAGTTGAAATATCACTGGAAAGTGTTATGAGAAGAGATTAAAGTTTTGCAGGTACTTGAAAATGCTTTAGTCCCCAAAGATTGTTTTTCACCTAGACACTGATTATTAATTTACCTTGACACTAAGTAAAATTACATGTTAGACTTCTGAGAATAACCTTAATTAAGTGAGTCCGTCCAATAGTATAAATTACTGTAAGTATGGGAGTTTGGCTAGCGTATTAGATCTCCGGAGCCCTGCTGCTAATCTGAGTGAGTAATAAGTAGCTTTCCTTCTACTTGCTCCCATAGTCTGGCTAATAAAACCACTTTCTTTGTGAGAAGGAGAGCAGGGATCAAAGTTCTGCTTCTCCCCGTTAAATAAATCCTGATGAATCAAATGGTGGATGAAGAAAAAACAGAATGGATAATAAGGAAAATGGATAGACTTATCCCCAAATAACTGAATACATTAAAAGTAATGGCAAAAACCACAATTACTTTTACACCAACCTAAATGACTGTAGTTTTGAGCAGCCAAAATAAGAAGTGCACATAACAAAATTTATTACTCAAGATATGATAAAAGAATATATCAAGCGTGTCTCTAAAATACCTCGCTCCTTGGCTTACCTTACAGTGCTTGGCTTGCTTGTGAGGACATCCGGAACTTCAAATCTGGGTTTTAGAGGAGTCTCTTCATTAATTTTAAGCCTGAAAATGTTTCCTTCTATACCATAAATTTCAGCCAGGAGAGGAACCTGGAAACAGATACAAGAGATTACCTTCAACAGGTTACCCAAGTGATGGCCAATTTTGCACCAATTACAATAATTAGGAAAGTATTTGTTTCAATTATGATAGGCCAAGCAAATTGGAGAACAATGGCAATTAAAAAAAAAAGCTCCCCAGTTTATGTATGTACTTGCTTGACTATAGCTACAGCAGCAACAAGAAATATCTCCTATGTGTTCTGTGGCTAGGTGAACATAAAATTGTCAAACCAGGATCTTCAGAGTGAAAGAAGTCTCTATTAATAATTACACTGAAAGACAGGCATAAACTGAAACTTGCCTTGGAAGATTGGGACATGTGGCTACTGTATCTATGATAAACTACAGATACATTAAGAATAAGAGTTTGCCTGTTAAAAGCAGAGTAACTAGATTCCAGCTGGATGAAAGATGAAGGGTGGCAGGCTACAGAAGAGAAAACAGTACAGAATAAAATGATGATCATTGGAGTTCTCTAGTGGTGGATGAAAGGAGGCTTGGTGCACTAAAATCAAACTGGAATTGATTTTTCACAGCTGGGAAAATAGACCCGGGGAACTTTTACAAGAGGCTGGGGAACCTAAGTAAAATTCTGCCTACCGTGGGACACGGAAACAATGTAGAATCATGAAGATAATAGAGAATTTGAAAAATAAAACACAGAACAAGAAGCTCTAGGAGAACAGAAATGACAGGACTCAGGCTACAAAATGAGCACCTAGAAAAATATTTTAAGACCATGGTTTTCAACTGGTGGGCCATGCCACACTAGTCAATTGCAATTTCCTCACGAAGTATGATGCCAAATTTTGGTTACTACTGGGTGCCTGTGTTGTTACTATTATGTCTGTTAAATGACAGCTAAACTCGGTAAGTTGTGTGACATAGCTTAGAATGGGTACAATGTGGTGCAAGTAAAAGATAAGAAATATGAAGAATACCAAGCCAGCACCAAAAACATGATGTTACTGGAACTTTGCCTCTTGCGAAAACAGGGAAGCAATCAGGGCAGTTAAACTGTAACATGATAATGAACAGTGAACAAGTAAACAGTGCTATGGCTGTGGATCCTTTTCTAGATATTCTAAGGCAGGGTTATGATGCAATAGTGATCATACTGTAATTACTGCTTGCATGTTTAATGTTCTTTTATGTATTTAAACTACTTTTAGCGTACAATCAAAATTTTAACATTTGGAAATATGTCCAAGTACAAAGTTCAAATTCTGTTAGATTATGTATTTTCTCACTATTTAAACATGTGTTTCCATTGCTCTCTCAAATTCCATTCAATTAACATTTATTTGGCATCTATTATTGCAATGATTGAACTTTTGGGGAGGCTGAAATTGGAGGAGATAAAAGAGATGCAAAGCTAACACAGAGCATTCTGTGATAAGTTTTAAAACAGAAAGGCAAGAGATTAAGAAGGGTTATTAATGATGACTGTAGGGTTAGAAGTTCTGGACATTTCTCTAGAGGAATAGAGATTTAAGCAGGGCCTTCAGGAATTAGTAAGACTTTGAGTAGGCAAAAATGGGCAAGAACTTCCTAAGCAGGGGGCATATAGGTGGTCTGCCTATATATGATTAACAATTTACATTTAGTTATTCACTCAGAGATTGTCCCATTTTTAGTAAAACAGCTTTCTCTACAAAAAAAAAAAAACTAATTTTTGTTTAAACCAAAGACTGATCTGTATGTTCTGTTCCTGAGGCTGCAGCCCAGGGGGGAAAAGAGAGCAATAACCCTGTTTTCACTATAATGACTTCATGTATAAATCAGAGTTAATCCTCATTTTAATTTAGCAATCTAATTTTAGCAAAAATCACTCTGAAATTTAGCAATATTTACAGTCATTCTTTCTTTAAATTTATTTATTTTGAGATGGAGTCTTGCTTGGTCACCCAGGCTGGAGTGCAGTGGCGCAATCTTGGCTCACTGCAACCTCCGCCTCCTAGGTTCAAGAGATTCTTGTGCCTCAGCCTCCTGAGTAGCTGGAATTACAGGTGCGTGCCATCACACCAGGCTAATTTTTGTATTTTTAATAGAGATGGGGTTTCACCATGTTGACCAGGCTGGTCTCAAACTCCTGACCTCCAGTGATCCTCCTGCCTCAGCCTCCCAGAGTGCTGGGATTACAAGTATGAGCCACTGTGCCTTATCTCTTATTATCACCAACATAGCTTTCTTGGTCCAGGCTCTACTTTCCTTAGACCTTAGTATGCATTTCCTCCTATGATCTGGGCTCATGTGTTTTTTCTTTCTTTCTTTCTTTCTTTTAAATATCAGCAGACTCCCAGAAGTCCAATAAGTAAAGCCACTTGGGTTAAAGACAGTGGGGAATGGCTCAGTGTCCCACCTTAGAGTCCCCTGCCTTCCCTGTACTGAGTCCTAAGTCACCTCTGTCGAAACCTTAGGGCTCTGTGGATGACAGTTTAAATGCCACTTCCCTGAGGCTTAACTGCCAGTTCTTTCCCAATCCTTCCACCACATCCTTGCTCTTTCAAAAAGTTTGGACATGACTGTTATATTCTTCTACCTAAAACAGTAAACATTTGTAGATATTCCTTTCCTATTTGCTAGGACCTGCTGGATATTTATAAATAAAATAATATACAAATAAACTATCAAATCTCTTCCTCCTGTTAGTGATGATTGGAAATGACAATGAAAAAATACATTAAGAAGTTAGAGATGCTGGACTGCTTAAATTGAGAATCTAGTATTAATCCTTAGATAATATAAGTAGTTACACTCAATTGTAGCCAGGTCAATTTATGTAAAATGAACATACATCTAATAATTTTAAATGGATAGTTAAAATGAGGTGAGAGAGCATGTGTTTTGCTCCCTTAGAAGTATTTAAGACATGCCAGTGGGTGGTACATGCATATAGCCCCAGCTACTCAGTGGGGCTGAGGCAAGAGGATTGCTTGAGCCTAGTAGTTTGAGGTTACAGTGTGCCATGACTGCACCTGTGAGTAACCACTGCACTCCAGCCTGAGCAACACAGTGAGACCCCATCTCTTTAAAAAATTTAAGATGTGTTAATATCCAATTACACAGAGAAGCTGAGATAAATCCTCAGAGAAAAGAATAAATTTTGGAGGTTCATTTTAGTACTACAAGCCTCTACTCAGTTTTTCACATACCTTTACTTAGAAGCCCGCCTCTCAGTCTGGGAAAAAGAGTATTAATTCTCTTTTTCTATCTTATTTCTCCCTTATTAAATAAAAACAATTAAAACTTGGTGGTTTGTTATCCACAAATCTAGTTTTTTTAATGGCCATATAGGCGAAAATACCAGATATTTTGTAAACATCATGGTGGTAGAAATAGCTTTGTCTATGTCTTCAAGCATAGTGTTGATCACAATTACATTAAAACAAAAACTTTTTATTCACCCAGAACTGGGAATCACAATTAGTAAAGACCATAATAGAATTAACAAACAGCCCTAGAACACATATTTAAATTTGCAGTGGGTGTTAAGTAGGAAAATTATGACTCCATCAACTCTTCCTTGGTAGGTTGATCTTGCTTTTCCTGAGGCACCAGGACTCTTCACTGTTATGTAAAGAACTGTTAACCTAAAAGACATAGAACAGTGAGTGGCCACCTCTACCAGCTGTGATCAAGACCTCCCGGGATCCAGAGGATGGTCTAATAGTTCATTAAATTGCTGTAGGACACTAATTGTCCCTTCTACAGTTGCAGCCAGTTGGTTTATTGCAAGCACTGATTTTCTACAAAGAATACTGGCAACCTCACGCTGGGCACTGGCCTGTTCCCCAAGGACAACTGGCCTGTCCAGGTGTGCTTCTGATTGTCTGGCCAGTTCCCAAATTAGCTGCCTGTTCCTGGCCATTTCTGCAGACACAGTACTGGCTAATAAGCGGTAGTTGTGCCTTATCTGCTGAGAAGGTGGCTGGTTGGGCAAAGCTTCATTTTCATTAGGCTTAGATGAAGAGGCAAGGGGTAACTTCACAGAGGTGCTCAGAGATATTCCTGCATCCTCGGAGAAGCTGCTGGAAGTGTTGTCTCTGGTGAAACCTTGCAAACAGGCTGCAAAAGAAAATAAACGTGTTGCCAAATGGTCACCTATATCATGAGAAAGCATCATAATTAGCAATATAAAGTAGATTGCTCCAGACATCCTTGCTAGCAATGCTATTTAAGCTAGACTCACAAGACAGCATACATTTTCCTTTGCCTAGATCACAAGACTAGATCTCTCTTTCTCAATCCAGACCAAATTTTCACTGACGATAGAAAACTGATAGTAGTAGGAAAACAACAACAACAACTGAGTTCTACAAAAGCAGTCAACACTTTCCTGATCACTTTCTATTTTCTGGAAACTTCTTTACTAAATATCTACCTGATTATTCTGTCATCAGGAATAAGCACAACACTATATTAGGACCCTATGTGAGAAAACTTATGCATCTGAACACGCAACCAGCTTTTCTCCAAAGCCTGGACGTTCCGACCTTGCAACAACACACAGGTCAACATTCTAGCTTGTTTTGGAACAGATCTATGTCCTGGAACATCATGTTTGCTATGGACTGAATGGTGTCTTCCCAAAGTTTCCTATTAAAGCCCTAACCCACAATATGATGGTATTCAGAGATGAAGCCCTTGGGAGGTAATTAGGTTTAGATGAGGTAACGAGGTTGAGGAAGTCCTCAGGAATGGATTAGTGCCCTTATAAGAAAAGACGGGAGAGCTTGTGTACACACTCTCTCTCCACTATGCGAGGGCACAAGAAGAAGGCAGCCATCTACAAACCAAGAAGAGAGCCCTCACCAGACAGTGAAGCTGCTAGCACCTTGATCTTGGAATTTACAGCCTTCAGAACTGCGAGAAATAAACATCTGTTGTGTAAGCTGCCTAGCCTGTGATATTTGGTTATGGCAGCCTAACCCAATGTTGAATGAAGCTTGGTTCTGCTTCCTGGTTGTTTATTAAGGAGCAGATTGGGGAAGGGAATTGAGAGGGAGAAATTCAAAAATTAACAAATCTTGACAACTCCAAAGTTACTGCTTTAAGGGTTTTAAAGGTGTAGGGGCAGGCAGGCACCAAGAGTGTTGGATTTGTCAGAATCTGCCTGATCAGTGTAATTTGAGAACTGCAGCTGTGAGCTGAATATGATCCTCTTAGACTCTGGGCTGTCCCTCTTGACCTGAAATAAAAAGCTATCATTCTGAATAAGTGGATGTATGCAGCTTATTTTAAAACTTCAGATCACACTCATACCATATCTTAATGTGCAATCTCCTTGAAACACCCATCTTATCCCAGAAACCATTTTTAATAGAAGTTCTTTGTTATTAAAAATTTTTTTTTTTGAGACAGAGTCTCACTGTGTTGCCCAGGCTGAGGGTGCAGCGGCACAATCTTGGCTCACTGCAACCTCTGACTCCCAGGTTCAAGCAATTCTCCTGCCTCAGCCTCCTGAGTAGCTGGGACTACAGGCACATGCCACCATGCCTGGCTAATTTTTGTTATTTTTAGTAGAGACGGGTTTTACCATGTTGGTCAGGCTGGTCTTGAACTCCTGACCTCGTGATCTGCCCGCCTCGGCCTACCAAAGTGCTGGGATTATAGGTGTGAGCCACCGCACTCGGCCTTATTTTTGTATTTTTAGTAGAGATGGGGTTTCACCATGTTGATCAGTCTGGTCTCAAACCCCTGACCTCAGGAGATCCATCTGCCTGGGCCTCCCAAAGTGCTGGGATTATAGGCATGAGCCACTGCACCTGGCCTAAACAGGAATTTAAAAGAGACCGTTTCTCAAGACTTTTGCAGCTTGGCAATTTAATCAATGTATATGTATAACCTCTCAGTCACAATAATTATTTTCTACTATCCTGAAGGATTCACTTTATTAGTACAGCCTTCACAATTTTTTAATTTATGTTCATAAGTAAGTTAATCTGTAATTTTCTTTTTCCATGCTGTCTTTGTCATGTTTTAGGTCAATTTTTTTTGGACAGTGTCTGTGTTGCCCAGGCAGCAGTGTAGTGGCACAATCTTGGCTCACTGCAACCTCTGCCTCCCAGGGTCAAGTGATTCTCATGTCTCAGCCTTTGGAGTAGCTGGGATTACAGGCATGCATCACCCTGCCTGGCTAATTTTTGTATTTTTAGTAGAGATGGGGTTTTGCCATGTTGGCCATAGCTGGTCTCAAACTCCTGGCCTCAAGCGATCTGCCTGCTTTGGCCTCCCAAAGTGCTGGGATTATAGGTGTGAGCCACCACGCCTGGCCTAATAGAGGCTCTTTCACTATGCAATGAGCTGCATATAAGATGCAGGCAACATTAGTGATCACCATCACCTCTGTTGTCTCTAACAGACTGACAGAGGGCATGAAACCTTATGTACCTACTAGTCATCTCAACACCACATGACAAGGAGGACATTAAAATGGAGTTCAGTGCAGAATTTCAGGGTGATCTCCCGAAATATGTATTTGCATACATTTGCCTGAGATCAGGGCATGCAGATTCCCTATGTGGTTCTGATATTTCTAATACCTGAGCATGGAGTTTGTTCCAAGAGGTCCTCAAAGTTCTCAGTCTTGGGAGCTACGTTGCTGATGTCCCAGGTAATTTGTCCTTGTTTATCAGGCTCCTCAGCTTCCTTTTGAGCCAGGTGCTGTCTTGTGCTGAGATCCTGTGTCTCCTCCTGGACTGTGGTTTCTTTGCCTTTGAAGGCATCCAGAGTTGTTGGGCTCTGGTCCTGGCACCTGACCTGAAGAGCATTGTTCCTCACTTTTTCAGGATCCAAAAAGAGAAACTGATCTACAGTAACGTGAAATGGCATATGTGGGTGTCCACCGCAAACTGGTATCACGCTGTGTTGAGAATTTTCATTTCGGCTCACCACTGATATTCCGGGTGATTTTGCCTCATTTACTTTACCTCAGCACGTCTTCATGACCAGGTGCTCAATATACTAAGCATCCTCAAGAATGGATAGGGATTCTTGCTCTGACTATGGACAACTACAACTCTCTCAGGTTAGACACAATGGAAACAGGAAAGAAAATGAGACAATGAGAAGAAAAACTTGACAGAAAGGTTCTTGACATCTGGTCAAGGCCTAAAGACTCCTGGAAGGCCTCTGATGGACTTGATGCATTTCCTGGAGCCAACTGCTTCTGCTGACCCTGAATAGAAGGGTCTGGCCGGGTGTCAGGCTATTAGACCACATGCAAACAGTGGTTGGCTCTCCAGGAAGGAAATTAGTGCTGTCCCATTTTTTTCTCCATGAACAGTTACCAAACTAGGCTACAAAAGGATATATAAAAAACATATATAAATAAGAATATAAAGGGAGACCTGAATCAGCATTAGAGGACCTATGGCTTTGGGGGTACCATGAGCTGAGAACTCAAATGTATCAAACACACTAGGCAAGGAGGAAAATTACTCCAGAAAAATGGGTGGTGTAAGAATCAGTACTAGATTTTGGAGAAAGGCTAACTGCCCCATCTGTGCAGCTAAGAGAGATGAGCTAAATGTACCGCCACAATAACTATGTTGTAGAAGTTGAGGACAGGGGATGGGGATAAAGAACACAGAACTGTTGATATGATTCTAGCTCATTATTTTGAATTTGGGCAAGAAAGTTATGGATGAAGATTCCATATGACTAAAATCTCTAAAACTCCATAATGAAGGTAGTTTTCCTTACTGTACAATTGTTCTTTCTGTCTGGGAATAAAGTTTGGACCCATTTCTAAATTAAAGGCCTTACAATTATTATGGAGAACCCACGAATATCAGTACAGCGCTGCAGGGCAGGAACTATAGTAGTCACATAGTTCACAGCTTTGCCACGAACGTCAGCTTCCCAGAACTGGGACTTGTTAGTGAGTTGGTGCCGTTATTATCCAAGCAGTTATGGGACCCAGACCTAATGGCCTTAACTGTCTTTCAGTGATATGAATTACCAGTTAAGTCAGATTGGTCTCAGAGGCCTTAGAAACTTAGGATGCCTTTAGAATGCAGGCAGGATCTGAAAGTGAAGGTCAGGTTGAAGGCATCAGGCAGTAGTGCACAGTCACACTTCCTAGCACAGCCCATAGTGCTTCCTCTATGACTGGCCCATCTAAAGTAACATGACAACTTCACGGGTGAGATAAAGCACTTAAGATATACTTCCCTAACCCTCTCACTAGGCAAAAACTATGGTAACCTCTAGTGAAGCAGCTCAGGTGAGGGAACACTTGTTACTTGGGTTTTCAACTGCATAGTCCTTTTGCCTGTTCCCTGTTCCCCCTGGCCCACCTGCATTTTGAGATTTGGACATACCCTGAATTTGTACCTTGCTCAGGCTAAACATGCAAATGGGCATTGTGTAACAGTGTTAGAAAGCACGTGGGTGACAGCGTCTGACAGATGCAGGAGAAAATTTTGGTTACTAAATGTGAGACTTTGGGCAAGTGATTTTCCAGACTTCATTTTCCTTATCTGAAAATTGGGATAATATAATGTACCTCTTAGATGTGTTACGAAGACTAAACAAAAGGAAATAATATTTGTAAGACATTTAGGAAAACATCTGATACACAGGCAATCTATATACTTATATTCATATACCTATTACAATATTATTAGTATAGATACGAAAAGATGACATTCATTTTCTTTCTTTCTTTGTTCTTTTTTGAGGGAGGATCTTGCTGTGTCACCCAGGCTGAAGTGCAGTGGCACTATCATGGCTCACTGCAGCCTCGACCTCCCGGGCTCAAGAGATCCTCCCACCTCAGCCTCCTGAGTAGCTGGGACTACAGGCATACACCACTGTGCCTGGATAATTTTTTGTACTTTTTGTAGAGATGGGTTTTCGCCATGTTACCCAGGCTGGTCTCGAACTCCTGGGCTCGAGCAATCTGCCCACTTCTGCCTCCCAGAGTGCTGGGATTACAGGCGTGAGCCACTAATCACTAAAAGGCTGATATTCCTTTTCTAACGAGGTTTATTTTTGAAGCATACATAGCTTTAATTTACTTCATTCAGGCCCAATAAATACAGAAACAAATTATTCTCTGTAGAAAATACTTCCATCTCACCTTACTTGCTTCATTGATGATTTGGAACCTGGTGCTGTCTTCATCTGTTGTGACTGAATCCAATAATGCCTGATAGGTGGACTTCTTGGAAAGCCACTGTTTCTGACGCCTATAGATACGGAGTATGCAGATGCTTGATAATTATTTGTGATTGTCAGTATCCAAAAGACTATATTATCATGTGGAAGTCATTAAAATTCACTATGATATTCAGTGAATTTCAGGGCACAAACAGTATTAGTACTATAATAAAGTGCTAATCAGGAACTTTATTATTAGAATGCTAATAAGATGAGTATTAGTAAGAATACTAATACAATTGATTATTATAACGTTGCTCAAAGGATGACATCTTGTCTTTCTTGAGATGGTGGGGCAATTTTCATAGATGACATTTGTGAACTTGTTAATTTCCCTCCCTCTTTCCATAAAATGGACTTTAATAGTAACTAAATAATTTCTAGTGGATATTAAATATAATCTAGTGGTTTAACAAGGTTACCAGGCATTCACTGTAGACTTCCCTCTAGATACCTGTTCAGAATTAACATAATACGCTTTTCTTCCTATTAAACAGAGAGGGAATATGTTAGAAAGCTATACTGTATAATACAATTTTTGATTATTTCAGTTTCAAGATCACGTAAAGACTGTTTTTTTTTTTTTTTTTTTTTTCAAATGAACATTATGGCCAGGCGTGGTGGCTCACGCCTGTAATCCCAGTACTTTGGGAGGCCGAGGTGGATGGATCATCTGAGGTCAGGAATTCAAGACTAGCCTGACCAACATGGTGAAACCCCCTCTCTACTAAAAATACAAAAAATTAGCCGGGCGTGGTGGTGCATGCCTGTAATCCCAGCTAGTCGGGAGGCTGAGGCAGAAGAATCGCTTGAACCCAGGAGGTGGAGGTTGTGGTGGGCAGTGATTGCGCCACTGCACTCCAGCCTGGGTGACAGAGGGAGACTCCGTCTCAAAAAAATGCATAAAAATAAAATAAAATGAAGATTTTAAAGGCATATTTTTTGTAGCTCTGGAGAAACAGGCAATCTTTTTTTTTTTTTAGACGGAGTTTCACTCTTGTTGCCCAGGCTGGAGTGCAATGGCACAATCTCGGCTCACCACAATCTCTGCCTCCCAGGTTCAAGCAATTCTCCTGCCTCAGCCTCCCAAGTAGCTGGGATTACAGGCATGCGCCACCATGCCTGGCTAATTTTGTATTTTTAGTAGAGACGGGGTTTCTGCATGTTGGTCAGGCTGGTCTCAAACTCCCAACCTCAGGTGATCCGCCTGCCTTGGCCTCCCGAAGTGCTGGGATTACAGGTGTGAGCCACCTCGCCCAGCCAGGCAATCTTATATAATGTTGATAGGAGTACAAATGGTATAATTCCTATGGAGGGAAATCTGGTAATAGTTAACACATTTCAAATGCATTTACTCTTTGACCCAGTAATCTCACTCCTAGAAAGGTATCCTATAAATACACCTGCATGTGTAGAAAATGACCTATGTATAGCTCTTCATTGTGGTAGTGCTATTTTAGCAAAAGATTAAAAACAACCCAAGGGTCTAGCAATAAGAGACAGACTGAATAAATTATATTAATAGTATATCTACCCCATGGAATATTATGCAGCTGTAAAAAGGAGAAACAATCTCCATGCACTCATATGAATTTCTCCTCAGAACAAACTATAAAGCAGGAAAAAAAACCTATTTGGTATAAAAAGGGGTGATTAAAAAAAGAGAAAAGCAATAATATAAAAATACATGTATTTACAAAAAAATACTGGAAGGATAAATAAGAAATGAAGAAATTCGGTTATTCGGGACAAGATGAGGAATGGGTAGAAGGGGACAGGAGTGGAAGCAACATTTTTCAATGTATAGCTCTTTATATTATTTTTGAACCATGTAAAAGTGTTATCTATTCAAAGCGTCAAAATTTAAAACTAGTTTAAAAATATTTTGGCTTTTAAAATAAAATAGCTGTTTATTGAAAAATTTAAATACTTCAGGAGTAAATGTATAAAGTTAAAAGTGAGTCTCCTGTCTGATGATTTCCTTAATTATTAAATTATCCTTTCCTTGGAAAGTCTATCAGTTCCAAAAATTTAATAAGCATCAATTTTGAAATACTGTCAGAGATGTTTTGATCTAGCTACTATATTTATTTTCCTTACCTGTAAAATGCGATCTTGTTACAGTCTCTGAAAATGTTTTTATCTACAGCTTCATCTTCAAGACTAAATAAAAAGACATTTTGAGAAATTTATTTCACACAGGGCTTGTGAATCCAACTTTTGTACCTTCTCTAACGACAGTATGAACATGCAAAATAAACCTTTGGAGTCTATTCTGCAATGCAAAATTGTGTCACGGCCACAGTATAACATAATAGCACATTATGTTGCAGAACAATAGCCTTTTGTAAACCCTCTGAGGTAAACAACAAAACATCAGGTTCTGGGATTACTCCAAAAGTAATGGGAAAAGATCACTGTCACTTATGAGGACATATTCTTTTGAAATAATGACTGAAGGCTATGACCACAAAAGTAAAATCTGAAGGAGGAAAACCAAAACAGCATCCCAAAACGAACAAACCAAAACCAACCAACCAGACAAACTAAGAACCATAACCCACCCACCGATTTATTCAAGAAAATATTTTCAGAATATTCTTCCTGAGAGCTGGGCTCTGAGGAAGATATGAACTGTGTTCAAGCTATCAGTTAGGGTTTTACCAGCAATCACAATACAAGCTGACAAATGCTTTAATAGAGGTGCAAGGTGCTAGAATAAGAACAGAACAGACGTAGAAGGGGAATTTCTTGCTTTTTAAGATGAGGTGACAAACTAGGGGCCATGTTTTTTAAAACCAAGTTTCCAGAAGAGCTGTTTCTGGGATAAAACATGAATGAGATATATGTATATTGAAGTTTGAGTATATGTATTTAAACTAGCCTCCATCTGATTAAAACAACTACAGATTATAAGGAGAAAAAAAAATTACACCGGCTTTCATGCACTAGTGTGGCCGAATGCATCTGTAGTCAGCATGTCCATGATTATGTAGAAAGCTATGACTGAACACAAACGTCGAAATATTATGAAAACAAGCCCAGGCAGATATACTTGGCCATACTAAAAAACTGTTTGTCCTTCACTGAACTCAGTCTTTGTCCGTTTATTTTAATTTATTAAAAAAATTTTTTTTGAGACAGGATCTCGCTCTGCCTCCTACGTTGGAGTGAAGTGGCACGATCTTGGCTTGCTGCAACTGCCGCCTCCTGGGCTCAGGCTATCTTCCTGCCTCAGCCTCCTGAGTAGCTGGGACTACAGGCCCACATCACCACGTCTGGCTAACTTTAAAATTTTTGTAGAGACAGGGATTCAGCATGTTGCCCAGGCTGGTCTGAACTCCTGGGTTCAAGCAATCTGCCCACCTATAGGCCTCCCAAAGTGCTGGGATTACAGGCATGAGCGAACCGGCCCAGTTTATTTTAATCAAGTGTACAAAGATTGGAGAATCTTTTGTTTCCTCTTTACAGCTTCGAAGAATTAACTCTGGGATGATATAGGAAGGGGTGATTATAGATGAATTTGGAAAGCAACATGCCTGAAATTCACGTGTTAAGAGTTCTGATTGCAACTTTTCCACTGTTAATGTTATTTAACCATCCTTTTTTTTTGGAGACAGGGTCTCACTTTGTTGCCCAAGCAGTGGCAAGATCACAGCTCCACTGCAGCCTCCAAATCCATCCTCCCAGTGGTCTCCCAAGTAGCTGGGACTCCGAGGGGGCGGGGAGGGGGTCTCGAACTCCTGAACTCAAGCGATCCTCCCACCTTAGCCTCCCAAAGTGCTGTGGGATTACCTGCGTGAGCCACTGCACCCGGCCTATTTAACCATCCTGAAAGTATTTTATGAGAGGCTATTAATATCAACTAACTTCCCGCGAATTGAGAGAAAAGATAAAGGTCAGCAAATACCAAATACGCAAATAAGAAATGCAATTAAAACACTATTCCCTGTTTCTAGGGACCCTGGGGTCACTCGCTACAGAAGCACTTGGCCTTTACCTTATTTCCTCTTTCACTGCTGCTTCCATGGCTTCTCTGTCACTCCGACCAGCTCCCAGCTCTCAGGACAAGGGCCCTGGGCGATCTTTTAAAAAAGCCGATTGGGTGTCTTTCTAAAATTACAACCAGTACTTCATCGTCAAGTTTCTGGGAAGGGAGTCCCCTCCAGATTCTCATGGAGTGACAAATCTTGACTCTTGCTCCTGGAATTTTTCAGGCCCAAACTAGCGTTTCTACAATGATTTATTTGGCAAATTTGTCTTGATTATGGGTGGCTGATGAGGAACGTGCTTTTGTTAGGAACCGAAACTGGGCGGCGGTGAGGGCGTGTACGCAATGAGTCCTAGAGGGTAAAAATCAAGAGCGTTAAGAACCTGGAAATGCCGAGACGGCCTCCCTGACTGGGACGAAGCATCTGCAGATCTATCTCAGTGGCGGGGTCACGCCACAGATTTTGAAAACTGACCCTCTCTGTCTCCGTTTTCGGTTAAGGGTGGGAAGTGCCGGCCGGGTCTTTGCTGGAGGCTAGGTCTCCAGCCAGATTGTACTGCAGCATCGTACTCTTCAGGGCTAGAAGGGGCCTTTGAAGGTTGTTACACTACCCAGTCTAGGAATCGCGTGTACTCCACCACCGCCGAATTCCAGCCTTTGCTTAAATACCACCCAAACCGGAGAACTCACTACTAGACGCCACTTGGGCAGCCAGGCTTAGGGCTTTTCCAGACTTTCTGGCCCCAAAGTCTGACATTGACTTAGAAGGGATGAAGGGCTGGGGCGAGCGGAAGTAGAGAGCCAAATCCTGCACGGGGTGCCTGCCTGGTCCTAAAACCTTTAACGGCTGGGAGACAGAAAAGACTCAGGCCAGGCTGGCATGTAGCGATCTCTCTAACCCAGCTGACCAGGTTCCAACAGGATGACGCCTGCGCAGTAGGTCCAAAGTCTCACGGCGCACAGACGACTGTCTGAGAGAGGGGCCGCTACGCCGCACAGCAAACAAGCTCCGCGACGTTTCCAGGACCCGGATAATCCCGCCCTTAGAGCAGAGCCGGAAGAAGGCGGGACGAACCGGAAGAGGGTGAAATGCTTTCGGTAGGCACTCCACGGCTGTGAAGATGGCGGCGGCTGCGTGGCTTCAGGTGTTGCCTGTCATTCTTCTGCTTCTGGGAGCTCACCCGTCACCACTGTCGTTTTTCAGTGCGGGACCGGCAACCGTAGCTGCTGCCGACCGGTCCAAATGGCACATTCCGATACCGTCGGTGAGTATTCACTTCACTAACGTCTGAACCTAGAGGAGCAAGGGGTGGGGCTACGGCGGCCCAAGGGGTCCATGAAGGTTCCGCAAAAGTCTCTTCAAAAGGGGTGGGGTTGCTGGGATGGTCTGTGTGGCTAGCCAACTGGGACCCACCTCCCTGGAGTGGAAAGCCGCGCACTTCTGTGATTAGGCTAGCGGGAATGTAAGGGCCACTTCAGCAACAGAAAGGAGTGGTGGAGCGGCTTCTCATCAGAAAAACAGAACTTTCAGTGCCTGACTTGAGATGTAAACTTGATGTACAAACGGAGAGTTGTTTATCTTTCAGATGTTTCACAGAATCCAGTGTCCCCGGGTTGGATAAGAAAGATATGTAAATAGGAGTCTTCATTTCTTTCTTTCTTTTTCTTCCTCTGCACTTCTTGGTCCCTGGGTAATTCTGCTTACGAGATGGTTCGACTTCGCTTCAACTTTGGAATGGCTATTCTAAGCTTTACTGTGTGACTAGAAAGCATAGAGATTTAAGAAATGTGTTTTAACATGGGAATGGTTAAAATTGAAGAAATAGTACTTAAAATTTAATGTGGTAAGGCTAGTCTTTCATTTGGATAATTAACTACATGGGTTGACCCTTTCTGCCCCTTACCCATTTTAAACCTTATTTCAGTAACAGGTATAGTCCTGTGAGCAGACAAAAACCAGATGCAGGGAGGAAATGCTGAAAAGCATTAGCCCCATTAAACCTACGTTGGCCTTTTTGTTTCATTCTGCTCTGCTCACTGACTGTAATGTCCAAATCTTATTTGGGCTTTTATTATGGTAAACGTTATACCTTTTGTTCAGTGGTGAAGATTTTCAGGTGTTCAGTTAGGTTTTTACTTGTTACTAAAATGGTTAATAGTTAAGTCTTTTTAGATTTGAAAATAAAACTCTGGTTATTTGCACACAGAATAGTTCATTAGAAAAAATGATTGGTTATTCTGAGCAGTGATTGGTGAGTAAAGGGAATGAACTGATTAAGGGGTACGTCCCATAAAGATTTAAGTTAAGTTGGAATTTCTAGCAGTCTTAGATAGTTATATGATGCTTTGGTAATTGAAGCCATCTGAGGCTAATTATCTTTCCTTTATGTTTGCAGGGGAAAAATTATTTTAGTTTTGGAAAGATCCTCTTCAGAAATACCACTATCTTCCTGAAGTGTGAGTTTTTGAATTTCATGAAGTTTTAATTTGAATTTTAAAAATTTATAGGTAATGTTTTAAATTACCTATTTTATAAGTTCTGAAATCTAATAGTCTGGCATTATCTAGGTATAAATATTTTTAGTATTACTAAGGTCCTTTTACTGAATCATCTTCAAAGTACTCGTGTGAACTTTATTTTCTTCTCTTGTTTTTCTGGTGTTTACATTGCATATATACACTATGTAGACATTATATATTAGTATATATAATGTATATATTAATATATATGCTGTATATACTACATTGAATATTCAGTCACATCTCAGTCGAATTACATTTACAGTTGATACTTTCTGAGAAAAGCATCCTTAGGTGATTTTGTCATTATGCAAACATCATAGAGTATACTTAAAACTGGATGGCACTACACGCCTAGTTTGTATGGTACAGCCTATTGCTCCTAGGCTATAAACCTGTATAACATGTTACTGTACTGAATGCTATAGGTGGTTGTAACACAATGGTAAGTTTTTGTATATCTAAACATAGGAAAGTAGAGTACAAATACGATATTACAATTTTATGGGACCCCCGTTGTATATGTAGTCTTTCATTTACTGAAATGTTATGTAGTGAATGACTGTGATTATGTTGGGGTTGATTCCCTGCATGGTGGTTTTAATCTGTTCTGTGTAGATTAAAGAGGTTTTACTCTTGTGTGCTTGTTAAATGTTTACTGCAAACATGACCTAGGTTTGTCAGGCCGTTGGCTGTGAAGGAATATATTTAGTAGATCCTTTATTTACAAAAGGAGTATTTTACTGCTTTGGAAGAGGAAGCTCAGATATTATCAAGAAATAGGGATTATGTAGAACAAAACTAGTTTGTCTAGTGGAAAAATGACTGTATCTGAATCTAAAGTATCCCATTGTGTGTTCAGTAAAAGCTTCCTTTTAGTTCTGAAACCGGCTTTAATTTAGAGAACGATTGATCGTGGGCAGCTTTATTTCTAGATGAGGGATAAAAATCCTGATGATAGATGTGTGATTCTATGCATACTGTCTTCACGGAAGTGCAAAATTTTAAGTCATAGTTGGATAATTTTATTCTTTTCAATTGTTTAGTGAGTAATTATTACTTATTGCATAGACTGTGGGGAAGTAATAGAAAAATGTTCTTCCCTCATCGAGCTTACATTCTAGTGGGAGTGAAAACAGCAGGTAGAATTTCTCTGAAGAATATATACTGTATCCATGAATATGTAATCAGTCTCCTGACCAGTGACTTATATTTGATTTAGATCAAATCTACTCTGACACTGGCCTTGTGAGATTGGTTTACTGGGTAACCTAGTAACCCTTGTCTTTTGGAATAGCTTGACAGCCTGTTTGCTGTTTTATTCTTTTATTAGGTCCAGTCTTTTTTTCTCGTGTAGTTTGATCTAGTGGTGTTTTGCCAAGTTAAACCAACTGCATTTTTTTTAAGATGGTGTCTCACTCTGTCACCCAGACTGGAGTGCAGTGGTACGATCTTGGCTTACTGCAACCTCCACCTCCCAGGTTCAAGCGATTCTCCTGCCTCAGCCTCCCGAGTAGCTGGGATTACAGGCATGAGTCTCTATGCCCAGCCCTAACTGCGTATTTTGAAGTGTTTATATTTCATTGTTTTTGGAGGATTTGAGGCACTTTATTTTTTGTTGTTGTTTTTTGAGACGGAGTTTTGCTGTGACGCCCAGGCTGGAATGCAGTGGCACGATCTCGGCTCACTGTAACCTCTGCTTCCTGGGTTCAAGCGATTCTTCTGCCTCAGCCTCCCGAGTAGCTGGGACTATAGGCGCGTGCCACCACGCCGGCTAATTTTTGTATTTTTAGCAGAGGTGGGGGTTTCACCATATTGGCCAGGCTGGTCTCGAACTCCCGACCTCAAGTTATCTGCCTGCCTTGGCCTCCCACAGTTCTGGGATTACAGGTGTGAGCCACCGTGCCCGGCCTGAGACACTTTAACATTATCTTTTTCTTTGTTATTTCTGTGCTTTCTCATATTTACCAGTTGTCTTTGATTTTGTACTTTTTGGGGGATGGTATATAGCTTTCCATGGAATAGCTGGGACCATTTTTTTTTTTTTTTTTTTTTTTGAGACGGAGTCTCGCTCTGTCGCCCAGGCCGGACTGCGGATTGCAGTGGCGCAATCTCGGCTCACTGCAAGCTCCGCTTCCCAGGTTCACGCCATTCTCCTGCCTCAGCCTCCCGAGTAGCTGGGACTACAGGCGCCCGCCACCGCGCCCGGCTAATTTTTTGTATTTTTAGTAGAGACGGGGTTTCACCTTGTTAGCCAGGATGGTCTCGATCTCCTGACCTCATGATCCACCCGCCTCGGCCTCCCAAAGTGCTGGGATTACAGGCGTGAGCCACCGCGCCCGACCTTATTGTCTCTTAAAGCCTTTCATTTAAAGTTCTAAATATTGTCTTGTAACATAAACAGCAGTATTTTTGCTGCCAAATTTCCTTACAAGTCTCCTGTTTGGGGGATGTGTTCTTACTGGCTTTTTATTAGTTAATCCTGTCCCTGTATGGATTATTTTGAATAGTTCATAGCCCAATTGCTTTTTATCATTTCCATAAATTCTATCCAACAGGTCAAATTTTTGAACATTCTAATAGAGTCCTTTGAAAATGTGTTGGTCATCTAAAAATTAGTTTGAGAAAACAGTTTAAAAGAAAAAAAAAGGAAGCTTATAATTAGGTTGCTTCTTTTGTTATGAATGAAAAGTAGATTCCTAAATGCAGTCATGTTTATTTTTGTCATGTTTATTATTACATTTATATAAAGTAGGGAGTCTTTAGTATATTTTTCCTTTCATAGCTAGAATCAAAGATAAAAGCGAATACTGACTTCCTCCAGCTAATCAGTCATATAGTCAGATTTACCCTCCCAAGTCTTCAGAATAATGTCTTGATCCATTAGAATACTGTGTTCCAAACTGTGTTTAATGAGCTTTATGAAGCTTCCATGATAACATGAGCTTCCTTGAGGCCTCTTTTAAGGTAGGCTTTGAAAAAAAAAATCTGATACTCTTATCTTTGCTTTTGCTATTTCTACCTTCCACAGCCATGTTTGCTTTTCGTTCATTGCTCTTTCTGTTCTATCTTGATATCTTTCAAGGTCTGAGATAGCAATTTTGCTCTCAGTGGAACTATTATGTATATCATCATTTAACACCATTTAACAGTTGTTAATATTGCCTTGTGACATGCATTCCTAATTTTATTATTGCTTGTCTCTTCAACTAGCCTTTTGAAGGGTCTTAATAATTTGTTTCCACTCGTTTCCCTCTTTAGCCTAACAGTGTGCCATTATACCTTTGTAATACTTGTGCTATTTATTTATTTATTTATTTATTTATGTTTTTTGAGACAGGGTCTCGCTCTGTCGCCCAGGCTGGAGTGCAGTGGTACCATCATGGCTCACTGCAGACTTGACCTCCTGGGCTCAAGTGATCCTCCTGCCTCCCTTGCCTGAGTAGCTGGGACTACAAGCATGTACCACCACGCCTAGCTTTTTAATCATTTTTTGTAGAGATGAGTTCTCACTATGTTGCCTAGGGTGGTCTTGAGCTCCTGGGCTCAAGCGATCCCCCTGCCTTGGCCTCCCAAACTTCTGGGGTTATAGGTGTGAGCTACCGCACCTAGCCTGCTCAATAAATACTTAAATAATAGAAGACTGGCTTGAATTTAGAGTGCTTTATCACTCCCAGGTTTTTCTCAATAGAGATCCAGAAGTTAGGACTTTATGGCATAAAAATAGATCCACAGTTTCCAGAGGTTAAAAACTGCTTACCTGCTATTTTTCTATGAACAACAATACTTTTATCTTAATATCCAGCTCTTTTTGCATGTATTATTTCAATACCTTATGTTTGGAGAAAGGATGGTCTTTGAGTATCTCAGTTTAGGGTACGAAATGAATAGGATATAGGTTAACAGCTTAGGAAAAATGCTTTGTTGGGGAATTATCTTTTGTTAACAAAGATTTCTTCTTTTGTAGTTGATGGAGAACCTTGTGACCTGTCTTTGAATATAACCTGGTATCTGAAAAGCGCTGATTGTTACAATGAAATCTATAACTTCAAGGTAAGGAACATAAAATTACAGAGTTTTTTTGGACCTTAGTGATTATCTGGTTCCAGTCTCTTAATTTCATAGAGGAAAGAGTATCATGTAGCTATGGAGGAGGAGAGCTGAAACTAGAATGCATGCTTCCCAATTTGCAGACCACCAATTCTCAAACTTTTTGGTTTCAGAACTCTTATATTTGTAAAAATTATTGTGGACTCCAGAAAGCCTTTGAGCATGTGGGTTATGCTATTAGAAATTACAACTGAGAAAATATAAAAATATTTATTAGTTTATTTTAAAGTAGCAATAATAAACTTATTGCATGTTAATATAAATAACTGTTTTTCCCAGAAAACCACACAGAAGAGTAGGATTGTTTTGTATTTTTGTAAATTTGTTTACTATCTGGCATAACAGAAGATCACTGTATTCTTATATTCCCTCCTTCACTCAGTCTGTTGCAATAATTTGGCTTAAGTACATGTAGAAAATAATGACCTCATACAGATATATAGTTGGGAAAAGGAATGGTATTTTAATGGCCTTTTCAGATAACTGAGGATATTCTTTTTTGATTCTATACCAAAACTCAACAAGTGGAAGTTTTTAAAGGTTAGTTGCAATGTGGAATCTGAAATATTAATGAACTTTTTTTGTACTCTGATAAGAAATCCACTGATATGAATGTATCTTTTACCTGTGTGTGATCTTGTAGCATCATTTATTGGTCATTTAGAAAATAGCAGTTGACTGAATTATATACATTTTTATAAATATTAACTCATTTCACACTTAGCTAAAAATTACATTGTTTATAACTATACCCTGCCCTCTTCATCTCATCAGTAGGTTCTTAAGTTTTGGAAGCCGTTAAATTCAGTGTAGCAGATACAAGTTCTTCAAAATTCCAGTTTTTGCTTGAAATCTCAAATTTTATTTTGGCAGTGAATACTGTCAGTTGTCTTCCTTGAGGGGACAGCCTCTGTTGCCCATTTCCAGAGAAATAACTCTCAAATAACCAAGTCTGAGTAATGGTAGTTTTTCAGTCATTCTTTCAAGTAAATATGGTGTTTCGTGGAAAAAATGATTAGTTTAACTCACAAGTCAAAGCAATTGCAGAGTGCTTTATCTCAAGACAATAATTTATTGTATTTTGCATGCTTTCCATTTTGTCACCTAGATTATTTAAAAAGTCAGGTACTCAAAAGGTCCAGATTTAATAACATTAATAATTTTTACTGCTTTATCTAGGATATTCTTACATAAAAGTGGCATTTTTAAAAACTGCCAGTTTGTGACTATGAAGAATATGACTGCTAGTAGAATTAAATGCCACTGCCTTAGTTCCTGATAAGGGGCAACAGTTTTACCCACTATTGCTTTTGTAATATCGTTACAAGTCAAATAGCATACTATTATTATTATGAAAATAGTTTTTTTTTTTTTGAGATGGAGTCTCACTCTGTCACCCAGGCTGGAGTGCAGTGGCGCGATCTCAGCTCACCACAACCTCTGCCTCCTGGGTTCAAGTGATTGTCCAGCCTCAGCCTCCCAAGTAGCTGGGATTACAGGTGTCTGCCACCACACCCGGCTAATTTTTGTATTTTTAGTAAAGATGGGGTTTTGCCATGTTGGCCAGGCTGGTCTCAAACTCCTGACCTCAGGTGATCCACCTGCCTCAGTCTCCCAAAGTGCTGGGATTACAGGCGTGAGCCATTGTGCCCAGCCATGAAAATAGTTTTGTCTATGGTTCAACGGCCACACTTTTGAGAATTGCCATAATCTAGAATACTTGAGCGTTGAAAATATATTGCTCAAAGAATAAAGCTGGAAGCATCACATTACCTGACTTCAAACTGTACTACAGGGCTACAGTAACCAAAACAGACACAAAGACCAATGAAACAGAGAAGACAGCCCAGAAATAAGGCCGCACACCTACAACCATCTGATATTTAACAAAGCTGACAAAAAACAAGCAATGGGGAAAGGACTCCCTATTTAGTAGATAGTGTTGCGGTAGCGTGCTGGCCATATGCAGATTGAAACTGGACCCCTTCCTCACACCATATTCAAAAATCAACTCAAGATAGATTAAAGACTTAAATGTAAAACCCAAAACTATAAAAACCCTGGAAGACAACCTAGGCAATACCATTCTGGACATGGGAAGTGGCAAAGATTTCATGATGAAGATGCCAAAAGCAATTGCGCCAAAAGCAATTGCAACAAAAGCAAAAATTGACAAATGGGATCTAATTAAGTTTAAGAGCTTCTGCACAGCAAAAGAAACTATCAATAGAGTAGACAGCCTACAGAATGGGAGAAAATATTTGCAAACTATGCATCCAACAAAGGTCTAATATCCAGCCTCTATAAGGAACTTAAACAAATTTATATGCAAAAAACAACCCCATAGAAAAGTGGGTAAAGGACATGAACAGACACTTTTCAAAAGAAGATATACAGCCAACAAGCATATGAAAAAAAAAAAGCTCAGTATCGTTGATTATTAGAGAAATGCAAATCAAAACCACAATGAGATACCATCTCACATCAGAATGGCTATTATGAGAAAGTCAAAGGATAATAGATGCTGGCAAGGTTGTGGAGAAAAGGGAATGCTTATACATTGTTAGTGGGAGTGTAAATTAGTTCAACCACTGTGGAAAGCACTGTGGCAATTCCTCAAAGAGCTAAAAACAGAATTACCATTTGACCCAGCAATCCCATTACTGGGTATATATCCAAAGTAATATAAATCATTCTACCGTAAAGACATATGCACATATATGTTCACTGCAGCACTGTTTACAATAGCAAAGACATGGAATCAACCTAAATGCCCATCAATGGTAAACTGGATAAATGTGGTACATATGCGGCCATAAAAAAGAATGTGATACATATGCAACCATAAAAAAGAATGAGATCATTTCCTTTGCAAGAACACAGAAGGAGCTGGAGGCCATTAACCTTAGCAAACTAACACAGGAACAGAAAGCGAAATACCACGTTTTCACTTATAAGTGGGAGCTGAATGATGAGAACACATGATCACAAAGAGGGGAACGGCAGACACTGGGCCTACTTGAGGGTGGAGGGTGGGAGGAGGGAGAGGATCAGAAAAAATAACTCTTGAGTACTAGGCAGTACCTGGGTGATGAAATAATCTGTAAAACAGTTCCCTGTGAGTTCAGTTTACCTATATAACAAAGTTGCGTATGTATACCGGAACCTAAAATAAAAGTTAAAAAAAAAATATATATATATATATACACACACATATATATAGTTCTGAGTTGAATTTTTCAGACCTTTTCCATTCTGTTTCTATCTCTCAATTTGCATTTTTAAGAAGATTATCCTAGTTCTGTGCTTGCAACAATTTTCTGCTCTATCTTAGCTTATGAGCATGAATATTTTTTTGTTGATGTTGTTAATTTGGTCAAGTAAATCTTTTAAGTATATTTTAATGTGACAAAACCCTCTACACTCTGGCAGTTTCCCAGTCTACTCAGAATTGTTAGTAGAACTATGCCTTGTGAGCCAAAGACTAGAGTCTAATAGTCCTTGAGTCTGATAGTGTTTGATTCTTAGATATTTTTATATAGAGCCTTTATCTGATGCTGTTCATTTTTAAAATAGCAAACTCAAAATTGTATCTGTACTGCAGGTGAACTGTTTGTTGTGCTGTGCTCTTAGTATCTTATTTTTTGGAAGGTGAGTTAACTACTCTGTATTATCTCTTTTTCCAGGCAGAAGAAGTAGAGTTGTATTTGGAAAAACTTAAGGAAAAAAGAGGCTTGTCTGGGAAATATCAAACATCATCAAAATTGTTCCAGAACTGCAGTGAACTCTTTAAAACACAGGTAATCTTTGAAAGTGATTGGAGATAAATAGAATAGGCAAAAATTGGAATGTATATATTTTTGGCTGTATCCACTTCCGACTTCTCAAGTATTTCTTTTGGCAGAAGTAAGTGGAAGCATGTTCTGATAGGTACATAGTCAGCCACTTATACATACTCATCAAAGAGAGGTTGTACTTTGCTTTGTGTGTAAAAAGCAAACCCCCATTTTTTTATTGTGGTAAAATATACACTACATAAAATTTACCATTTTAACCATTTCTAAGTGTATAATACAGTGGCATTAAATATATTCACATTGCTGTGCAGCCATCGACCCATCTCCAGTACTTTTTTTTTCCCCAAGGCAGATTCTTGCTCTGTCCGCCAGGCTGGAGTGCAGTGGCACAATCTCGGCTCACTGCAGTCTCCATCACCCGGATCTAAGCAATTCTTTCACCTCAGCCTCCCAAGTGGCTAGGGCTACAGATTCACACCATTACGCCTGGCTAATTTTTTTTGTATTTTCTGTAGAGACAGGATTTCACCATGTTAGCCAGGCTGGTCTTGAACTCTTGACCTGAAGTGATCCACCCACCTTGGCCTCCCAAAATGCTGGGATTACAGGTGTGAGCCACCGGGCTGAGCCCCATCTCTAGTACTTTTATCATCCCAAACTGAAACATCATACCTATTAAACAAAAATTCCCCACCTTCCAACCCCAAGACCATGGTAACCACTCTTCTACTTTCCATGAATTTGACTATTCTAGATACCTCATATAAATAGAATCATACAACTTTTGTTCTTTTTTGTCTGACTTCTTCCACTTAGCATAATGTTTTTAAGGTTCATCCATGTTATAGCGTTATCAGAATTTCATTCCTTTTTAAGGCTAAGTGATGTTCTATTGTATGTATGTACCACATTTTGTTTTTCCATTCATCTGTTGATGGACATTTAAAACGTCACATTTTTAATTCTTTGGTCTCCTCATCTAATTAATATGTTCCCAGAAAAATCAGGGTTTTTAAAATTTACTTCTATAGATCTGAAATCAGAAGGGTATCATCATTGTCTTAGAGTTCAATTTCACACCTTAATTTTGTAGAAAGAGGGAGATGTGAATAATCATACATTTTTCGTGCTTACACATATGCAATCATGTAAGTGGAGATTCTGATATCAAATTTTGTTGTCTTAGAAATAGTAATCTCAGTTTTTTGATAGAAAAATTTTATATGTGTTGAAAATAGTTATAGTAATTATCATCTATACTTGTCCTTACTATATTTAAAAATTATTTTGGAATATTTAGCAACTTGCCTTGAACTGTCAAATTACTAGAAGTAAAGTTTATTATTAAGAAGACAAATTTAGTCATTGGTAATTGAGGCCAGATGCGGTGGCTCAGGCCTGTAATCCCAGCACTTTGGGAGGCCGAGGTGGGCGGATCACCTGAGGTCAGGAGTTCAAGACCAGCCTGGCCAACATGGTGAAACCCTGTCTCTACAAAAAAATTAGCCGGGCATGGTGGCGGGTACCTGTAATCCCAGCTACTCGGGAGGCTGAAGTGGGAGAATCACTTGAACCCAGGAGGCTGAGATAGTGTCAGTGCACTCCAGCCTGGGCGACAAGAGTGAAACTTGGTCTCAAAAAAAAAAAAAAAAAAGGGATAATTGATGAGCAGATGAATTAATTGGTAATTGAAGGAAGAGTTCCGCTTTTATTATAACTTAGATTTTATGGTCTTGGAGGGAAAAGAAAATAGCTTTAAGATGGTGAAAGAATGGTAGAGAAAGCTAGAAGCAATGTGATGTTGTGTAGTTTGTATGTTTTCTGTTGGTTTTCCAAATTTATCCCTTAGACTAGGAGGATTGGTTGGTCTTTTCTTGGATTTGATTATGGAAAGCTACCTGATGCATCTGGTTGCTGGAGGCTGACTACTTTTAGATGTGCTGTAATCTTTCCAGGGTCTTGGCTTATTGGTAAGGTTTCCTCTCCTCCTCCAGTCTAATGTAACAGGGTTGAATTACACAGTCTCATTACTCAGGAAGGACAATGCCTCATCTACTGATAACTGGTAAGAAAGATAATTAGTGTAGTTTTTTACAGGCATAAAAAATGTAGTATGGTGGAAGGGACAGCAGACCTAAGCATCAAGAATATTAGGTTTAGGCCGGGCGCGGTGGCTCACGCCTGTAGTCCCAGCACTTCGGGAGGCCGATGTGGGCGGATCATGAGGTCAGGAGATTGAGACCATCCTGGCTAACACGGTGAAACCCTGTCTCTACTAAAAATACAAAAAAATTAGCCAGGCATGGTGGCGG
The DNA here is from genome assembly GCF_000001405.40 of Homo sapiens. Lineage (NCBI taxonomy): Eukaryota > Metazoa > Chordata > Mammalia > Primates > Hominidae > Homo > Homo sapiens. Next base: position 42,261,780 of record NC_000015.10, on the reverse strand, counting down.
GCACCTGTAGTCCCAGCTATTCGGGAGGCTGAGGCAGGAGAATGGCATGAACCTGGGAGGCGGAGCTTGCAGTGAGCCGAGATAACACCACTGCACTCCAGTCTGTGCAACAGAGCAAGACTCCGTCTCAAAAAAAAAAAAAAGAATATTAGGTTTAAATCCTATTTCTTTGTCTAAAGCTTTGTAGTTTTGAGCCACATTTTACTCATCTGTAGAATGAGGGGAAATGATCTAAGCTTCTTCTATCCTAAGCATACATCCTATATCTAAAGCTTTGTCATTCTTAAATGTTTATTATTCTGATAGAAAAATTGAATGGCCATTTTGGTTTGATACTATTTTCTAGTTCCCAGCAGGGTTTTATTCACTTGTTTGTGGTTAATTGGAAATGTTTTGTCTACTGATGCTGTGTTATTATATTTACTAGTTAGGGTGTGGTGTTTTGTTCTAACCATTTCTTTGTATTTTGAGCTACACTTTTCTTCTAGTATTTACACACCTTTAATGTTTTGTTTTGTGTTTCTTTTATAGACCTTTTCTGGAGATTTTATGCATCGACTGCCTCTTTTAGGAGAAAAACAGGAGGTAATTGTTTTCATTATATATTTCTGAGAGTGCAGTAAAAACTTTGGTGGTGCAGGAGATACCCGTGCTCACTGCATCTCTAAGGAGGGAGTGCTGCACCTGGGGAGCAGGCTTCCCCAGTGGCTACAGGAACTTGGGCAGCTAAAAACAAGAAGTTCTGAATTAATTATTATTATTTTTTTAATGTTTAAAGGCTAAGGAGAATGGAACAAACCTTACCTTTATTGGAGACAAAACCGTAAGTATATTTGGGGATTTGGGGCATTGAACACATATTTTAGTTTTCTTAAATTTGTGTATTTCTGAATTGTTCTCCCATACTATGCTAATATTTGAAAAGAAAGTTAAATCTGGAAGCTATAGACCAAAATGTTAAAAATGGTTGGATCTCTGGATGATAGTATGAGTGATTTTTAGTTTCTTTGTGTTTTCTGAATTTTCTACTGTACACATGTATTGCTTTTATAATTATCCCCCCATAAATATCTGTAAACAGGAAGAAACTTATTAAAAATAAGAACTCTTAAACTTCATCTAAAATTATCTGTGATAAAATATAATTGAAAGAGAGTTTGGAAAAATTGAAATAAGGTCTAAAGCTATAAATATGCCTTAAGTTTTCATAAATATGCATTGTATGGATACTATTTTCAAATTCATAATTAATTCCTCAAAACATCACCAGTTAAAAATTTAGAGGAAGGATGACAGCTATCAATGTTGGGTTATGGTTTTTACAAAGCTGATTAAAGTTTTTAATTTTATAACAACTTTATGAAGGTATAATATACATATTACAGAAGTTATGTTTTGTTTCGTTTTTTGAGACAAGGTCTCACTCTTGCCCATGCTGGAGAACAGTGGTATGAAGATGGCTCCCTGCAGCCTTGACGTCTTGGGCTCAAGTGATCCTCCTGCCTCAGACTCCAAGTAACTGGGGCCACAGGCACATACCACCATGCCTGGTTAATTTTAAAAAATTTTTTGTGGGGGTTGGGTCTCACCATGTTGCCCAGGCTGGTATAGAACTCCTAGGCTCAAGTAATAGTCTCACTTCAGCCTCCCAAAGTGCTAGGATTATAGGCGTGAGCCACTGCACCTAGCCTAAAAGTTGTTATTAAAGTTATTAAAGCATATAATTGAGTGGTTTTTAGTATTCTCAAGTTGTGCAAGCACCAATCGCTAATTCCAGAATTGTTCATCCCCAAAAGTAGCCCCATACTCATCAGTCACTCCGCATTTCTCCTGCCCCCAGCCTCTGACAATCAGTAATCTATTTTCTTTCTCTGTACTTGCCTTTTCTGGACATTTTGTGTAACTGGAATCATATAATACATGGACTTGTGTCTGGCTTCTTTCACAGTTTACACTCTGTCTCAACTTTTACTTCCTGCTTGCACAGAACCTTAAGATCAGCCAGTGAATGATTAGGGCCTCCTCAGGTCTCTCCTGGACCTGTGCACAGCCCTGGGCATGTGTGCACAGCCCTGCACATATGGCCTTCTAGATTTCCAGGAATATTTTGGAGCTTTCCAAAATTCCTATGGACATCTCATTCTCCAATTTTTCCTTTTAAGTTTCCAATCAGCCTCTTAATAGCCTCAGTTGGTAAGGTCACCTCAGGCAGCTGTGATCTTGAAGGATTGCTGTTCAATGTTTTTGACAAATGCTTTGAGTACAGGGTTGTTGACACTGGGTGATCTCTGAGTCAGGTCAGATAAAGACAAGCCCTGAGAATGGAGCTTTTCAGCAATTTGCCAGACAGCTCAGGTGATCAGTCTTTTAGGGACCTCCAAATGTATTTTTTCCTTTGGGAGGCCTAGGTGGGCAGATCACTTGAGAGCCAGGAGTTTGACACCAGCCTGGCCAACGTGGTGAAACCCCGTCTCTACCAAAAATACAAAAATTAGGCAGGTGTGGTGGTGCACGCCTGTAATCCCAGCTACTTGGGAGGCTGAAGCAGGAGAATCACTTGAACCCAGAAGGTGGAGGCTGCAATGAGCCGAGATCACACCACTGCACTCCAGCCTAGGCAACAGAGTGAAACTCTGTGTTTGCTTCCCCTACCCCCTTTGCCTAGTGGCTGCTAAGCTGTTGTTTTTATCAGCTGTTAACAGTTTCAGGGACTTTGGTTTTAAGGAGCTTGGGAGAGAGGAATGGGAATAGGGTGAACACAGACATCTCAAGCTTGCTTTTCTTTCCTAGATTCAGATGCCTTTCTTGAAGAAACATTTCTTGGATTGTTGAAAGACTTTAATAATTTCCAAAGTTCCAAAAGTTGATTTTGATAGTTTTTGCCAGTGTTTTCGTTGCTTTTATGGATGAGTAGATTTTCAGAGTTTCTTATTCTGCCATTCTGAAAGTGTTCTCACTACCTAAACCCCAGTTTTATTTGTACAGAATTTTAACTGAATGTAAGTTAGGCATGACAGTCTTTGTTAATTTTTTTAAACAAAAGATAGCCATTAGGACTGGGTACAGTGGCTCACGCCTGTAATGCCAACACTTTGGGAGGCCAAGGTGGGCAGATGACTTGAGGTTGGGAGTTCGAGACCAGCTTGGCCAATGTGGTGAAACTTTGTCTTTACTAAAAATACAAAAATTAGTTGCTCATGGTGGCAGGCACCTGTAATCCAAGCTACTCAGGAGGCTGAGGCAGGAGAATCGCGTGAACTTGGGAGGTGGAGGCTGCAGTGAGCTGAGATCACGCTACTGCACTCCAGCCTGGGCAGCCAGTGAGATTCCATCTCAAAAAAAAAAGAAAAAAGATATTCATTGGATTTTCTCTTACTAATAGGTATATATTCACTGTGAAAATGGAGACGATATACATAAATGAAAAGAAGAAAATAGTAATCTATAATACCATGCAGTGATATATTTATCTTCCTATTCTTTTGTATATGGGCATGTTTATATTATTTTAAAAAGGGAATCTTAGAGTATGTATTATATGACTTTTTTTTGTAGCTTAGCAATATAACATGGACATGTCGTCAGTTTGGTAAATATTGTATTGCATCGTTACTTAAATGCTTGTATAGTGTCTTATTGTATGAGTACATTGCAATTTGTTCAATTCTCTGTTCTTGAACTTTTATGAGTTTCATTATCTTGGAATTTTATGCAGTGTTGTGATTAATATTTTAACTACATTTGCTTTTAAGTCTTTATTTTCTGATCTCAGAAGAATTGTATATTGGGATAAGTTTTTAATTCTATAACTTAAAAGTAAAAATCCTTTGTAATTTTATGTTCTAATAGTTTTAGCAGTTTGGTGTGATTACACAGAGCACATGCATATTAACCAAAATAAGATCATATTATATACCATTGTATAATTTTTTCTTTTTATTACCAAATTGGTACATTGAATACTACTTCACCTTTTTATGGCTGCTTAGTGTTCCATTTTATTATGATTTTAATAACTCCCAATTGATGAACATTGGGGTTGTTCCCAAATTTCCCCTATTATGGATAAAGTTATGTTCATAATGTCTAGCTATATTTCTGTGTACATTTATAATCTTTAGGCTAAATTCCTGGAGGTAGAATTGCTAGATCCACATGTATGCACAGTTTAAAGGTGCTTTTTCATAGCAATTTATGGCCCCAAGAAAGTGAGAGTGAGTGTCTTTGTTTATGTTGCTATGAAAGGACACCTGGAGCTGGGTAATTTATAAAGAAAAGAGGTTTATTTGGCTCACTGTTCTGTGGGCTATGAAAGAAGCATGGTGCCGGCATCTGTTTCTAGTGAGGGCTTCAGGCTGTTTCTACTCATGGTGGAAGGTGAAGGGGGGAGCCTGTGTGTGCAGATCACCTGGCAAGAGAGGAAGAAGGAAAGAGGGAGGAGGAGGAGAGGAGGTAGTGGGCTTTTTTTTTAATAATCAAGGAACCAATAGAGGGATAACTCATTACTGAAAGGACAGTGGCACCAAGCCATTCATTAGGGATTGGCTCCCATGACCCAAACACCTCTCTCTAGAATTCACCTCAAACATTGGGGATCAAATTTCAATATGAAATTTGGGAGGACAGATATCTAAACCATAGCAGTGAGTTTCCATCTTTCCTCACAAAAACAATGGCTGTCATCATTTAAAATAGATTTTATGCAGTTTGTCTAGTTAAGCAACAATTTGTTCTTGTAAATTGTATTTAAAAAGTTATCGTTAAGCCAGGCGCTGTGGCTCACACCTGTAACCCCAGCACCTTGGGAGGCCACAGCAGGCAGATCGCTAGAGCTTACGAGTTTGAGACCACCCTGGGCAATATGGTGAAACCTCGTCTCTACAAAAAATGGAAAAATTAGCCAGAAGGTGGCACGTGCACCTGTAGTCCCCGCTACTTGGGAGACTGAAGTGGGAGGATGGCTTGAGTCTGGGAGGCAGAGGTTGCAGTGAGCCAAAGTCACACCACTTCACTCTAGGCGATAGAGCCATACCTCGTCTCTAAAACAAAAACAACAGCAAAAAAATTATTGTTGAGGGTGAACCTTCATTTATATGGATATTGGCACTTGTGCTTTCTTCAGTTGTCTTCTGTGCACAGCATACTTTGAGTTCTACTCAAGGCTTGAGTCTTGTTACAGTGATTAAAACTGGCTGAAAGGTGAGCCTGTTGAATACCACAAGTAATATTTAGGAATACTTAGTCAAAATATAGTCAAAAGAAATGAAAGAGTTATCTATCTTTTGATCTTTCTTCCTGAAAATTTGGTCCAAGGCAAATACCTTATAATCCTATTTAAAGAATATTCACAGGCTGGGTTCAGTGGTAATCTCAGCACTTTTTAAGGCCCAAGGTGGGTGAATCACTTGAAGCCAGGGTTTGAGACTAGTCTGGTCAACATGACAAAACCCTATCTCTACTAAAAATGCAAAAATTAGCTTGGTGTGGTGGGGTACACCTGTAATCCCAGCTACTTGGGTGCATGAGGCCTGAGAATCACTTGAGCCCAAGAAGCAGAGGTTGTAGTGAGCCATGATTGCACCACTGCACTCCAGCCTGGGTGACAAAATGAGACTCTGTCTCAAAAAGCAAAAAGGATACTCACAAATTCAGTACCTCCATCCTATTTCATTAAAGCTCTGATTAAACATATATGTTTATGGGCCGGGTGTGGTGGCTCACACCTGTGATCCCAGCACTTTGTGAGGCCAAGGTGGGTGGATCACCTGATGTCAGGAGTTCGAGATCAGCCTGGCAAACATGGTGAAACCTCATCTCTACTAAAAATACAAAAAAAAAAAAAAATTAGCTGGGTGTGGTGGCGCACGCCTATAATCCCAGCTACTTGGGAGGCTGAGGTGGGAGGATCCCTTGAACCCAGGAGGTGGAGATTACATTGAGCCAAGATCGTTCCGTTGTACTCCAGCCTGGGCAACAGAGCAAGACTCCATCTAAAAAAAAAAAAACAAAAATCTATATGTTTATGGAAGAAAGGTCCTCTGCATGTCCCTTCTTCTAAGGAAATATTGATAAAAGAGAACACTTTAATATTTTGATTAACTCAGTTTTTTGGATTTAAGCAATAATGTGATACATTTAACATAATTTAAAAAAATTAATAGAGTTTATTGTTTAGAGCAGTTTTAGGTTCACAACAGAATTGAGTAAAAGGTACAGAGAGGGCAGTGCAGTGGCTTATGCCTGTAATTGCAGCACTTCAGAAGCCAGGGTGGGAGGATCACTTGAACCCAGGAGTTCAAGAGCAGCCTGGAAAACATTAGAGACACTATCTCTACAAAAAGCAAAAGTTGGCCGGGTGCGGTGGCTCACATCTGTAATCCCAGCACTTTAGGAGGCCCAGGCAGACAGATCACCTGAGGTCACGAGTTCAAGACCAACCTGACCAACGTGGAGAAAACCATTTCTACTAAAAATATAAAATTAGCTGCGCATGGTGGCACATGCCTGTAATCCTAGCTACTTGGGAGGCTGAGGCAGGAGAATGGCTTGAACCTGGGAGGTGGAGGTAGCGGCGAGCCAAGATCGTGCCATTGCATTCCAGCCTGGGCGACAAGAGCAAAACTCCGTCTTAAAAAAAAACAAAACCCCCAATTTACCCAGCATGGTTGTGCATGCCTATAGTCACCGCTACAGGGGAGGCTGAAGTGAGGATCACTTGAGCCCAGGAGGTCAAGGCTGCAGTGAGCCATGATCATGCCACTGTACTCCAGTCTAAGCAATAAAGCAAGACTCTGTCTCAAAAAAAAAAAAAAAAAAGGAGACCTCCCACATGCTGTGTCTATACCTATACACTTAGCCTCCCCCATCGTCAACATACTGCACCACTGTGGCACACTGTTAAAGTTGATGAACCACGTTGACATGTTATTATCAAAGTCTATAGTTTAAGGTTCACTCTGCAGTGTACATTGTATGAATTTTGATAAATGTGTAAAGACATCTTCACCTTTGTAGTATCATACAGAATAGTTTCAGTGCCTAAAAATCCTCTGTGCTCTGCCTGTTCATCTCTCCCTTCCCCTTCAACTCCTGGCAATCATTGATCTTTTTACTATCTTCATAGTTTTGCCTTTTCCAGAATGTCATCTAGTTGGAATTGTACAAATATGTGACCTCTTTAGATTGGCTTCTTTCAGTTAGTAATATGCATTTAAGTTTCCTCCATGTCTTCTGGTGGCTTGATAGTTCATTTCTTTTTAGTGCTGAATCATATTCCATTGTTTGGATATATCACAGTTTATCCATTCATCTATTGAAGGACATCTTGATTGCTTTCAAGTTATAACAATTATAGATAAAACTGTTGTAAACATTTGTGTCCAGGCTTTTATGTGGACATAAGTTTTCAACTCATTTGGGTAATTATCAAGGAGCATGACTGCTAGATTGTATGGTAAGAGTATGTTTAGTTTTGTAACAATTGCATTTTTGACAATGCAGTGCTTAATCAAAAACAATGTTTTGGGAACAAAACTACTCTTGTAGGCTGTCTGTCTGACAGCATCAATAACTGGATTGTCACTTGTAGCTTTAATTACCTTACTCATGGGGTTAAAAGGTTCTTTTGAAGGGCACTTACAATTTTGAGATCATACCATGAAGACAGTGCTTTAAAAACAGTTCTGTTCACAAGCTAGTGGTAGACTGTGAAAAAGAGAAAAAAAAAAAGAAAAAAATAGTTTTGTTATGGAGAACAAAATAATTAATAGTTGAGATGGTAGTTAAGAGCCCAGGCTCTCGGGTCAGATGTCCTAGACTTTGAAATCCCAACTTCACAACTTAATATTTCCCTTGGAAATGTTATTGTGCTTCAGTTTCTTACATAATAAAATGGAGCTAATAGGAATGATATTACCAAGAATTGTGGAGTAGTGAGGTCCAGGTCTCCATGCCTCCACAAAAGCAACTAGTAAGCTGATGAAAGCTATCACATTCAGCTTTCACAGAACTTTGAAATCTAACCAAAACTTAATAAGGAAAAAGTTCAACAAAGAAAGAAGCTGCTACATTACATTAAGAAAGTGCAGTGATATTGTAATTTGTTTACCATACCCTCCTTCCCAGTTCAGAGGCAGGAAGATGGCAACTCGCAGTCGTGGTGCAGGTTGCTGGTGCCAGGGGAACTAATACAGACCTTTTTCTTAAAGACTTGCCATTGTGTGTTTTCACCTGCCTGGAGGCTCCCTGAAGGAACCTTGCCAGGACTTAACTTTGTTTTCCCCAACTTAGAGTGTTCCCAGGGCTGGAGTGGCTTCCTGGGTTGTGTTTGCCAAAAGCATTTGAATGCAGAAGTATTATGTGCATAGGGAAGGGGATAACAGTGGGGATAAGCAATAGAGAGACTGTCAAGCATGAGAAGGAAAGGGTCCAGAAAGGAGATTTGTGGGAGAACAAGGCTTTTTAAGGCTTCTGTGTATATTGAGCTATGAAGAAAGCCATATATATTCTCAAGACTGGACATACGATCAGAAAAGACCTTAGATGACCCTAAGCTTTCATTCTGGCTCTGTACAAGCAAAAAGTGAAGAATAAGGAATGGCTTTAATTGGCCCAGCTAAGCATTGAAGGATTGCGCCAGGGTGCAAAGACTGGGAGGATATTCTGTTCTTTTTTGTCTTTGGCTCCTGGTGTTTAAGAAATCTTTGTCAAAACACTAGCTGACCACTAAGCTAAAGGAATATAGATTCCAGTAGCCACACAGGTCTAAGAATGCAGACTTTACAAAAATGGTTTAGAAAACTTACTAAGCAAAAGAGACATAACCCATATTATTATTACCAGCTAACAAACCCCAAGGAGGGGGCAGATTGTGGTTTCCAGAGTTGCCACTTTATAACATTCAGTTTTCAGTGGAAAATTATGAGGCATGCACAGAAACAACGTATGGCATATTTACAGGATTAAAAAAAATACATGCTTTGAAGAGGAAGCCTCAGCATTAGACTTACCAGACCAAAGATTTTAAGTGAACTGTCTTAAATATACTCAAAGAGCTAAAAATAAAAAAACCATGGATGAAGAAACTAAAGGAAACCAGGAGAACATAGAGATAAAAATGATAAAAAGAATGAAGATGAGCCTGAGAGACCTATGGGACACCCTCAGGTGTATCAACATCCACATAATAGGAATTCATCAGAGGGAGAAGAGAGGGAGAAAGGTATGGGAAGAATATTTGAAGGAATAATGCCCAGAAACTTACCAAATTTGATGAAAGTATGAATTTCAGAAAGATTGAGAGGCTCACAAATCTCAAACTACAAGCAGGAATGAAAAAGTAAAATGTTGTATGTTCATAAAATGGAATATCATTCATCTGTAAAAATGAATGGGAGCTGGATTCCAAGATGGCCAAATAGGAACAGCTCCGTCTACAGCTCCCAGCGTGATCGACACAGAAGACGGGTGATTTCTGCATTTCCAACTGAGGTACCTGGCTCATCTCACTGGGAATGGTTGGACAGTGGGTGCAGCCCACGGAGGGCAAGCCGAAGCAGGGCAGGACATCACCTCACCCAGGAAGCGCAAGGGGTCGGGGGATTTCCCTTTCCTAGCCAAGGGAAGCCGTGACAGACTGTACTGGGAAAACTGGGACACTCCCGCCTTAATACTGCATTTTTCCAACAGTCTTAGCAAACGGCACACCAGGAGATTATATCCCGCACCTGGCTCAGCGGGTCCCACGCCCACGGAGCCTTGCTCACTGCAAGTGCAGCAGTCCCAAATCGAACTGCGAGGTGGCAGCCAGGCTGGGGAAGGGGCATCGCCATTGCTGAGGCTTGAGTAGGTAAAAAAGCGGCCAGGAAGTTCGAATTGGGTGGAGCCCACCACAGCTCAGTGAGGCCTGCCTGCCTCTGTAGACTCCACCTCTGGGGGCAGGGCATAGCTGAACAAAAGGCAGCAGAAACTTCTGAAGACTAAAACGTCCCTGTCTGACAGCTCTGAAGAGAGCAATCGTTCTCCCAGCACAGTGTTTGAGCTCTGAGAATGGACAGACTGCCTCCTCAAGTGGGTCCCTGACCCCCATGTAGCCTAACTGGGAGACACCTCCCAGTAGGGGCCAACTGACACTTCATACAGCTGGGTGTCCCTCTGAGATGAAGCTTCCAGAGGAAGGATCAGGCAACAATATTTGCTGTTCTGCAGCCTCCTCTGGTGATAACCAGGCGAACAGGGTGTGGAGTGGACCTCCAGCAAACTCCAACAGACCTGCAGCTGAGGGACCTGACTCTTAGAAGGAAAACTAACAAACAGAAAAGAATAACATCAACATCAATAAAAAGGACATCCACACCAAAACCCCATCTGTAGGTCACCAACATCAAAGACCAAAGGTAGATAAAACCACAAAGATGGGGAGAAACCAGAGCAGAAAAGCTGAAAATTCTAAAAACCACAGCATCTCTTCTCCTCCAAAGGATTGCAGCTCCCCGCGAGCAACGGAACAAAGCTGGACAGATAATGAATTTGACGAGTTGACAGAAGTAGGCTTCAGAAGGTTGGTAATAACAAACCTCTCTGAGCTAAAGGAGGATGTTCAAACCCATCACAAGGAAGCTAAAAACCTTGAAAAAAGAGTAGATGAATGGCTATCTAGAATAAACAGTGTAGAGAAGACCTTAAATGACCTGATGGAGCTGAAAACCATGGCACGAGAACTATGTGATGCATGCACAAGCTTCAGTAGCTGATTCGATCAAGTGGAAGAAAGGGTATCAGTGATTGAAAATCAAATGAATGAAATGAAGCGAGAAGAGAAGTTTAGAGAAAAAAAGAGTAAAAAGAAATGAAAAAAGCCTGCAAGAAATATGGGACTGTGTGAAAAGGCCAAATCTACATCTGATTGGTATACCTGAAAGTGATGGGGAGAATGGAACCAAGCTGGACAACACTCTTCAGGATATTATCTAGGAGAACTTCCCCCACCTAGCAAGGTAGGCCAACATTCAAATTCAGGAAATACAGAGAACATCACAAAGATACTCCTCAAGAAGAGCAACCCCAAGACACATAATTGTCAGATTCACCAAGGTTGAAATGAAGGAAAAAAATGTTAAGGGCAGCCAGAGAGAAAGGTCGGGTTACCCACAAAGGGAAGGCCATCAGACTAACAGACAATCTGTTAGTGGGGGCCAATATTCAACATTCTTAAATAATTTTCAATCCAGAATTTCATATCCAGCCAAACTAAGCTTCATAAGTGAAGGAGAAATAAAATCCTTTACAGACAAGCAAATGCTGAGAGATTTTTGTCACCACCAGGCCTGCCCTACAAGAGTTCCGGAAGGAAGCACTAAACGTGGAAAGGAACAACCAGTACCAGCCACTGCAAAAACATGCCAAATTGTAAAGACCATCGATGCTAGGAAGAAACTGCATCAACCAACGGGCAAAATAACCCACTAGTATCATAATGACAGGATCAAATTCACACATAACAATATTAACCTTAAATGTAGACGGGCTAAATGCCCCAATTAAAAGACACAGACTGGCAAATTGGATAAAGAGTCAAGACCCATTGGTGTGCTGTATTCAGGATACCCATCTCATGTGCAGAGACAAACATAGGTTCAAAATAAAGGGATGGAGGAAGATTTACCAAGCAAATGGAAAGCAAAAGAAAAAGCAGGGTTGCAATTCTAGTCTCTGATAAAACAGACTTTAAACCAACAAAGATCAAAAGAGACAAGGCCATTACATAATGGTAAAGGGGTCAATTCAACAAGAAGAGCTAACTATCCTAAATATATATGCACCCAATACAGGAGCACCCAGATTCATAAAGCAAGTCCTTAGAGACCTACAAAGAGACTTAGACTCGCACACAATAATAATGAGAGACTTTAACACCCCACTGTCAATATTAGATCAATGAGACAGAAGGTTAACAAGGATATCCAGGACTTGAACTCAGTTCTGCACCGAGCAGACCTAACAGACATCTACAGAACTTTCCACCCCAAATCAGCAGATTGTACATTCTTCTCAGCACCACATCACACTTATTCCAAAATTGACCACATAGTTGGAAGTAAAGTACTCATCAACAAATGTAAAAGAAGTCACAACCGTCTCTCAGACGACATTGCAATCAAATTAGAACTCAAGATTAAGAAACTCACTCAAAACCACACAAATACATGGAAACTGAACAAACTGCTTCTGAATGACTGCTGGATAAATAACGAAATGAAAGCAGAAATAAAGATGTTCTTTGAAACCAATGAGAACAAAGACACAACATACCAGAATCTCTGGGACACATTTAAAGCAGTGTGTAGAGGGAAATTTATAGCACTGAATGCCCACAAGAGAAAGCAGGAAAGATCTAAAATCGACACCCTAACATCACAATTAAAAGAGCTAGAGAAGCAAGAGCAAACAAATTCAAAAGCTACTAGAAGACAAGAAATAACTAAGATGAGAGCAGAACTGATGGACATAGAGACACAAAAAACCCTTCAAGAGAATCAATGAATCCAGGAACTGGTTTTTTGAAAAGATCAACCAAATAGACCTCTAGCAAGACTAATAAAGAAGAAAAGAGAGAAGAATCAAATAGATGCAATAAAAAATGATAAAGGGGATATCACTACTGATCCCACAGAAATACAAACTACCATCAGAGAATACTATAAACATCTCCACACAAATAAACTAGAAAATCTAGAAGAAATGGATAAATTCCTGTACACATAGACCCTCCCAAGACTAAACTAGGAAGAAGTTGAATCTCTGAATAGATCAATAACAGGTTCTGAAATTGAGGCAATAATTAATAGCCTACCAACTAAAATAAGTCCAGGACCAGTTGGATTCACAGCTGAATTCTACCAGAGGTACAAAGAGGAGCTGGTACCATTCCTTCTGAAACTATTCCAACCAATAGAAAAAGAGGGAATCCTCCCTAACTCATTTTATGAGGCCAGCATCATCCTGATACCAAAGCCTGGCGGAGACACAACAAAAAAAAGAGAATTTTAGACCACTATCCCCGATGAACATCGATGCGAAAATCCTCAATAAAATACTTGCAAACCGAATCCAGCAGCACATCAAAAAGCATGTCCACCAAGATCAAGTTGGCTTCATCCCTGGGATGCAAGGGTGGTTCAACATATGCAAATCAATAAACGTAATCCATCACATAAACAGAACCAAAGACAAAAACCACATGATTATCTCAATAGATGCCAAAAAGGCCTTTGACAGAATTCAACAGCCCTTCATGCTAAAAACTCTCAATAAACTAAGTATTGATGGAACGTATGTCAAAATAATAAGAGCTATTTATGACAAACCCACAGCCAATATCATACTGAATGGGCAAAAACTGGAAGCATTCCCTTTGAAAACTGGCAGAAGACAGGGATGTCCTCTCTCACTACTCCTATTCAACATAGTGTTGGAAGTAATGGCCAGGGCAGTCAGGCAAGAGAAAGAAAGAAAGTGTATTCAATTAGGAAAAGAGGAAGTCAAATTGTCCCTGTTTGCAGATGACATGATTGTATATTTAGAAAACCCCATCATCTCAGCCCAAAATCTCCTTAAGCTGATAAGCAACTTCAGCAAAGTCTCAGGATACAAAATCAATATGCAAAAATCACAAGCATTCCTGTACGCCAATAACAAACAAACAGCCAAATCATGAGTGAACTCCCATTCACAATTGCTACAAAGAGAATAAAATACCTAGGAATCCAATTTAAAAGGGATGTGAAGAACCTCTTCAAGGAGAACTACAAACCACTGCTCAAAGAAATAAAAGAGGACACAAACAAATGGAAGAACATTCCATGCTCATGGATAGGAAGAATCAATATTGTGAAAATGGCCATACTGCCCAAGGTAATTTATAGATTCAATGCCATCCCCATCAAGCTACCAATGACTTTCTTCACAGAATTGGAAAAAATACTTCGAAGTTCATATGGAACCAAAAAAGAGCCCACATTGCCAAGACAATCCTAAGCAAAGAGAACAAAGTTGGAGGCATCACGCTACCTGACTTCAAACTATACTACAAGGCTACAGTAACCAAAACAGCATGGTACTGGTACCAAAACAGACATATAGACCAATGGAACAGAACAGAGGCCTCAGAAATAACACCACACATTTACAACCATCTGATCTTTGACAAACCTGACAAAAACAAGAAATGGGAAAAGGATTCCCTATTTAATAAATGGTGCTGGGAAAACTGGCTAGGCATATGTAGAAAGCTGAAACTGGATCCCTTCCTTACACCTCATATAAAAATTAATTCAAGATGGATTAAAGACTTAAATGTTAGACCTAAAACCATAAAATCCCTAGAAGGAAACCTAGGCAATACCATTCAGGACATAGGCATAGGGAAGGACTTCATGACTGAAACACCAAAAGCAATGGCAACAAAAGCCAGAATAGATAAATCAGAACTAATTAAAGAGCTTCTGCACAGCAAAAGAAACTACCGTCAGAGTGAACAGGCAACCTGCAGAATAGGAGAAAATTTTTACAATTCACCCATCCGACAAAGGGCTAATATCCAGAATCTACGAAGAACTTAAACAAATTTACAAGAAAAAATCAACCCCATCAAAAAGTGGACAAAGGATATGAACAGACACTTTTCAGAAGAAGACGTTTATGCAGCCAACAGACACATGAAAAAAATGCTCATCATCACTGGTCATCAGAGAAATGCAAATCAAAACCACAATGAGATACCATCTCATGCCAGTTAGAATGGTGATCAGTAAAAAGTCAGGAAACAACAGGTGCTGGAGAGGATGTGGAGAAATAGGAACACTTTTACACTGTTGGTGGGGGTGTAAACTAGTTCAGCCATTGTGGAAGACAGTATGGCAATTCCTCAAGGATCTAGAACTAGAAATACCAGTTGACCCAGCCATCCCATTACTGGGTATACACCCAAATGATTATAAATCATGCTAGTATAAGGACACATGCACACGTATGTTTATTGCAGCACTGTTCGCAATAGCAAAGACTTGGAACCAACCCAAATGTCCGTCAATGATAGACTGGATTAAGAAAATGTGGCACATATACACCATGGAATACTATGCAGCCATAAAAAAGGATGAGTTCATGTCCTTTGTAGGGACATGGATGAAGCTGGAAAGCATCATTCTGAGCAAACTCTCGAGGACAGAAAACCAAACACTGCATGTTCTCACTCATAGGTGGGAGTTGAACAATGAGAACACTTGGACACAGGGCGGGGAACATCACACAGTGGGGCCTGTCGTCGGGTCGGGGGCTGGGTGAGGGATAGCATTAGGAGAAATACCTAATGTAAATGACGAGTTAATGGGTGCAACAAACCAACATGGCACATGTATACCTATGTAACAAACCTGCACGTTGTGCACATGTACCCTAGAACTTAAGGTATAAAAAAAAACAACAAAACTTGGGTCTCAGTACTTAGAAAATAGTTAACCATGATCAATAAAATATTTGCCAATTCCTTCAACTCAAAAAGAAAAAAATAAATGAAGCTCTGATACATACAGCAATATAGATGAACCCTGAAAACATTATGTTAAGTGAGAGAAGCTAGACCCATTTATATGAAATGTCCGTAATAGATGACTCCATGGAGACAAGAAGTAAATAAGTAGTTGCAAGTGGTGACAGAGGAAGAAATGGGGAGCTACTGCTTAATGAGTACAGGGTCTCCATTTCGGTTGATGAAAATGTTTTGGAACTAGATAGAGGTGATATTTGCACATCATTGTGCTTGTACCACATACCATTGATTTATACGCATTAAAATTGTGAATTTTATGTTGTGTAAAATTTACCTTAGTTTACAAAGGAGTTAATACCTATCTGATAGGGCTGCTGTGAGGATGTAAAAATGTAGTAAATGGGCCGGGGCGTGGTAGCTCACACCTTAATCCTAGCACTTAGGGAGGCCAAGGTGGGTGGATCACCTGAGGTCAGGAGTTCGAGACCAGGCTGGCCAACATGGCGAAACCCCGTCTCTACCAAAAATACAAAAAAAAAAAATTAGCTGGGTGTGGTGTCATGCACCTGTTATCCCAGCTACTTGGGAGGCTGAGGCAGGAGAATTGCTTGAACCCGGGAGGCGGACGTCACAGTGAGCCAAGATTGCACTGCTGTACTCCTGCCTGGGCGATGGAGCGAGACTCTGCCTCAAAAAAAAAAAAAAAAAAAAAAGTAATAAATGTCATATGCTTAACAGAGTTATCTGGCATATAAATGTTATTTTTACAGGGTCAGAATCTCTGCATTCCAGAGTTAAGTATAAACTTTCTCAAATCCTGGAATATGAGAATTGATCAATTTATTTTAGAATTTGTAAGAGGTGGTTTTAAGACATATATGATTAATAGAGCAGGTTATTACACCAGCATTTTATAGGTTGATGAGTAAGTAAGTTCAGGAAAGGTTCTGTAATTATGGCTAAGCAGACATGTATTACCCATAACTTTGAAGCTGCAAAGTTTTCTCACAAATTGGTTGTGAGTCTCGTCAGAGACTATTAGGTGGAGATAAATCAATGTATGATTAGGAAGACATTTATATTCTTAAATTTTACTAAGATAACCTAGTAAATGGATATCTGGAGAATTGTTTAGTCTGCTTTGTTTGACATGGATTTTTATCATGGAATATAATTTTTGAACTAAGCCTTTTCTTGGTTGTAGGATATTTTAACCATTTGAGGAGAACTATGGCTCCACAGGAAAATGCATAAACATAAAAAATCAGCTATTCATTTTGGGGGGTTCACAGAACCTAGAAGCTTACCCAGAGATCTCTGGATAAACGTTTCTCCTTTTAAGAACAGATGGTAGTAAATTGCAATTCCAAGGAAGAAGAAACCAGTTATTTTCTGTGTTCCTCTTTATCATTGTGTCTTAGTCTTCTGTTTGTGAAGACTCTAGTCTATGTGAAAAGCAAGAGTCACTACCCCTCAAAGTCAAGGACTTGGAGACTGTTAATTTGTCTTCCTTGACTTTGAGGGGTAGTGACTCTTGCTTACCACATAGACTAGCTCAAGGTTAAATTTTTGATATAAATGTGAGACCATGTCAGCAGAAATTCTGATATTCTTGGGAAGCATGTTGAACAAAGGGATTAGATTTAGGAATTGGTGATTAGAATTCATTTTACTGATACCATCATTAAGTTTTGTTTAAGGTGATTTAAATAATCATTTAAATTCCTTTGTAATGTCTGCATAAAACACAAACTAGTATCCTAGTATGGCTTAGTTAAACAGAGATTAAATTAGTGATTTTAGTTGGGGGTTTCCTCATTAAAAAAATATGTTAAATGTGATTTTTGTGTACAAGACATGGTATCTTGCCTTTCAGTAATTCATAATCTAGCCTACTTTATGCACTAGGCTTGTTTGGTTTGTTGTGCCTAATGTTTCAATGAATGAAAGAGAAGGACTTTACCATATTTCTGGGCACATTCTGGAGCAAAATTTGCATATTGTATTATTAATTTGTGCTCTTAATTCTTAAGATTTATAGATGTGATGCCCTTTTCCCTTTCTAGGCAATGCATGAACCATTGCAAACTTGGCAAGATGCACCATACATTTTTATTGTACATATTGGCATTTCATCCTCAAAGGAATCATCAAAAGAAAATTCACTGAGTAATCTTTTTACCAGTAAGTTCAGTTTTTTTTTTAATGGTTATGTTATTATCTGGTTATGTCATTCATGTACTTTACATATGCTTTTTTATTAGGTATTACAGGTATCAGATTTCTATTTCCTTCATTTGACACTCCTGCTGTTAAAATTTTTAGTTAGTAACATGTTTTCAGTATTCTGAACTAGAATTGTCAAAACTTGGTCACCAAGCCAGAGATAAGGAAATTTTAAATTAATTAACATTGGCCGGGCGCGGTGGCTCATGCCTGTAATCCTAGCACTTTGGGAGGCCGTGGCAGGCAGATCACATGAGGTCGGGAGTTTTAAGACCAGCCTGACCAACATGGAGAAACCCCGTCTCTACTAAAAATACAAAATTAGCTCGGTGTGGTGGCACATGCCTGTAATCCCAGCTACTTGGGAGGCTGAGGCGGGAGAATCGCTTGAACCCGGGAGATGGAGGTTGTGGTGAGCCGAGATCACGCCATTCCACTCCAGCCTGGGCAACAAGAACTTTCGTTCTTGTTCTCAAAAAAAAAAAAAAAAAAAAATTAATTAACATTGGTAGTTTTTAATGTCTCAAGAATTTAAGTGTTCTCCTTTCCAAGGTTGCTGCCTAGTTCATAGAGTCATCATCTTTTACGTGGAATTTCCAAGAACTTCCTAACTGGTCTTATTTCCTGTGGTTTCCCCCTTGTTTCTTCTTTGTGTTTTTGCAATTTCCTTTCCTCCCCTGCTTTCTTTTTTTTTATTTATTTATTTATTTATTTATTTATTTATTTATTTATTTATTTTTGAGATGGAATCTCACTCTGTCGCCCAGGCTAGAGTGCAGTGGCGTAATCTCGGCTCACTGCAAGCTCCGCCTCCTGGGTTCACGCCATTCTCCTGCCTCAGTCTCCGAAGTAGCTGGGACTACAGGCGCCCGCCACCACACCCAGCTAATTTTTTTGTATTTTTTAGTGGAGACGGAGTTTCACCGTGTTAGCCAGGATGGTTTCGATCTCCTGACCTTGTGATCCGCCTGCCTTGGCCTCCCAAAGTGCTGGGATTACAGGGGTGAGCCGCCGTGCCTGGCCCTTTCCTACCCTGCTTTCTTAAGCAGAATATGGAATAGAAACAATGATGGCAGCCACCGTTACTTCGCTCCTGACTTTACTGGCTGTATTGGTATATTTCACCATTAAGTACTGTGTTTACTGTAGAACTTTTGAAATATTCTTCATTTGGTTAAAGATGTTCCTTTCTATTCCTAGTTTAATGAGAATAGTTTCCTTTTTTAAAAAAAATGTTAAGAATGAATACTTAGCTTTATCAAATAGTTTAATTGTACTGATTTAAATGATCATATGGGCTTTCTCATTTAATAAGTTAATGTCATACATTAAATTAACTGATCTTCTAACATTAAATCATTGTTGAACTTCTGGGATACCACTACTTGGTTTTGACACACACACGCATATTCTCTCTGTCTGTCTGTCTCTCTCTCTCTTTCTCTTCCTCTCCTCCCTCCCTCCCTCTCCCTCTCTCCCTGTCCCTCTCCCCCTCACTCATACATGTGTATCCTCCTGTCTTTTTAGGCCCATGACTTTCTAATGGATTATAGTCTCAAGGCACAGTTACCAGTGTTCATTTTCAACCTTCTTTCTTTGAAAAGGCTGGAAGAGAAGCTTTATTCCACCCTACTTCAGCTTCTTCATGCATCCAGCCTGGCTCTGGTCCCTCTTCTTTTTCTTTGAAACCTACTAGCTTCAATGATCCCATGTACTACCGTAGTACATTGGTAGTGTACTTCCAACTACCATAGATCCCATAGGGACAGCACTTCCAACTACCATAGCCTGCTTCTGGCCCAAGAGCCCAACATGATCATGGAGTCGGCCTCGTGCACTGTTTTGAGTTTCTGTTTTGATTCTTGGAAATGTCTGTCTTGTTTTTGAGCTTATATCCTTTTTTGTTTTTTTCTTTTTCTTTTTTTTTTTCTTTTTTTTTTTGAGATAGAGTCTCACTCTGTCACCCAGGCTGGAGTGCAGTGGTGTGATCTTGACTCATTGCAACCTCTGACTCCTGGGTTCAAGTGATTCTGCTGCCTCAGCCTCCCAAGTAGCTGGGATTGCTGGCCTGCACCATCACACCTAGCTAATTTTTGTATTTTTAGTACATTGTGTTTTTACAACCTACTAAATTATTATTTATCTGCTAAATTATTAAATCTACTAGATTTTTATTTAGTAGATTGTATTTTTAGTTTCACCATGTTGGCCAGGCTGGTCTTGAACTCCTGACTTCAAGTAATCTGCCCGCCTTGGCCTCGCAATGTGCTGGGATTACAGGTGTGAGCCGCCGCACCTGGCCTTGTTTTTTCATTTTAAAAATACCCGTCTTTTTTTGGAATGGAGAAGATACATCATCACTAATACAGTTTTATCATTTTTCTTCCCTTCATCGAAACCTTTAATGGATGGCTCCCCATTGCCTATAAAATGACTACATTTTGCAGCAAGGTTTATAAAACTCTTTACAACTGGTCCCAGTTTACCTTTTGCTGCCTTATGTCAAAACACCACTACTATATGGTATTATATGCAGTCTCAGACTATATTTGTTCTTTAAATATACCACACATTTTCACAGCTGTTTTGTTCATGTTATTTCCTCTACCTAGAAGGCTTTTTACTTTGTTCTGGAAAATACATACTTATCCTTCTAGTCTGGCTGAGAGGGATAGTTCTCTACTTATCCTTCTAGTCTGGCTGAGAGGGATAGTTCTCTATGTAGCTTGTCAACTCCCTCTCCCCTGCAAGGTGGTTACCCATTTGATGGCAGAAAACATCTTACTCATGTTTCTGTCTGCTGTGTTTTCCATAGGCCTGTCAAATAATAAGTGCTTAGTAAATGTATATTTTAGCATAGAGCAGGGGCTAGCAAATTTTTTTCTTAAAGAGTCAGGTAGTAAATTTTTTCTCTATTATAACTACCCAACTCTGCGAGGTGGTGCAGAGGCAGCTGTAGACAATATGTAAATGAGTGGATGTGGCTGTGTTCCAATAAAACTTTATTAACAGAAAAAGCTGGTGGCCAGATTTGGCCCATGTGCTATATTTTGCTGACCAAGGCATAGAGTAAGCAAAGAATATGATCCAAGTATTTACTAATTATTTTGTTTACTCTTTTATTGAATTAGGAAGGTATAGATTTAATAATAGTTCTGCTCTGAAATTTTTATAATTGCTCTTATGGAATGCTCTTTTTTTCATGTAAGTATTGGATGTAGTTTACTTTAAATAATGGTATATCAGAAGCTAGTAGGGAATTGTTGAATGAACAGTTATTAGTCTGTCTCTAGGGATGATCACCACTCAAGTCAGATTTTTATTTATTAATTATGCCTAGAATTTATCCAAATTATTTTATCAATACAATAATAAAATAGTCCATCTTGAAATAGTTTTTAAAATTACAGATAATCTTAAAATTAGTCAATGTTTGCTTTACTAAGGCAAATATGTCTTTCAGATATATGTTATTACTGTTACTTTATCTGTCTCATTAAACACTTTGTTATTAACAAATTCTTTGAAAAATGTTAACTAGCAGGTTTTGGGGAAGTTCAATTCTATGTTTATTGGATGGAGCTTTGCCTTGAAGCATCTGAACTTTTGAGTTATTTTTATTTTGGAGTGAGCATCTAGGGTACCTGATTGTGAAGCTAGATTTCAATCTTGTATGAGGGATGGTATATTTTTTTGTGTGAGTTAATTTAAATTTTTAAGTTTTTTTCCAATGCCTTCATTCCGAAAATGATACATGAATGTAGCAATAAAAGAAAATTGGAGTCCATGAAAAAATAGTAAAGCAATAGGAAAATACAGGTGAGGAAAGATAGAAAACAAAGAAGATGGCAATATGTAAAAAGGAAGTCCTGTAAGGCATATTTTACTGATGTGTTGTAAGGAAAAGTATATATGAAGTATGTTTAGAATTTAGAGTATGTGTAGAGTTGTTCCAGATGGGCAGCCAGAGAAGGCTGTGTGGAGGAAATATTCAATCTAGTCTTTTTTAAGATGTGAGTATGGAAACAAAAGAGCCTTCCCACTTCAGACTATGGTGGAGGCATGGAAACCTGTGCAGGACACAGCATGAACTATGAGGACACTTAATGACTTTCCAAGTGCTGTACAAATATAATGTAATATTGACCAGGATTGAAGTGCCTAAAAGTAAATGACCCAATGAAATTCTTACTAAGTTCATTAAACAAATATTAGGCAATATTTTTGTTTAATTTCTGCATCCTGTAAATTAATTCTGAGGACTCTGTTTTGGCAGTGACTGTTGAAGTGAAGGGTCCCTATGAATACCTCACACTTGAAGACTATCCCTTGATGATTGTAAGTGACTTTATATTATTTAACCTCAGTATTGGATGGTTTTGGGTTCAAAGATTGTCCCATGTTTTGTGGCAGTATTCTTTTTAATGAATTGTTCCTGTGCAATTCAGAAAATGTTGCTTGTAGTCCTGGATTTATTTCTTATTAGACTGGGACTTTGAGAGAGTCAGTATACCCTTGTGTGCCTCATTTTCTTATCCATATAATGAAGGGGTCAGTGACCTGTGGAAATACCTCAAAGATCATCTCACATTCTCTCTAGGATGCATAGTGGGGCACTTTTTACTACAACTCTATTGTTTCTGATCCCACTTACATTAACTAAATGAGGCTGGGTGCCCTGGCTCATGCCTGTAATCCCAACATTTTGGGAAGCTGAGGCGGGCAGATCACTTGAGGTCAGGAGTTTGAGACCAGCCTGGCCAACATGGTGAAACCCCATCTCTACTAAAAATACAAAAATTAGCTGGGCGTGGTGGTAGGCGCCTGTAGTCCCAGCTACTCGGGAGGCTAAAGCAGAATTGCTTGAACCCAGGAGACAGAGGCTTCTGTGAGCTGAGATCTTGCCACTGCACTCCAGCCTGGGCGACAGAGTGAAACTGTCTCAACAACAAAAAATTAACAAAATGATGAAGCTCCCTTCTCTTCATTTTGTGTGTGTATGTGTGTATGTGTGCACATACATGTATGTGTGCATACGTCTGTGTCTCAGAATATCCTTAATATATTTTCAATTTTCTTTGTTCATGATTATTCTCTTCTTCCTTTCCCTTTAATAGTTTTCCCGTTTTGTTGTGTTTCCTTGCCTCTAGATGTATCCTAATCATCATGCCATTTTTCTTCTTCAGTGTTGTCTTCATCTATATAATTTTAGATCGTGAGCTGAAATAGCTCCTTCTTTAAAAAAAAAAAAAAAAAAAGAGAGTCTCACTCTGTCTCCCAGGCTGGAGTGCAGTGGCATGATAATGGATAATGGCTCACTGCAGCCTTAAACTCCAGGCTGAAGCTACCCTCCACCTCAGCCTCCCAAGCAGCTAGGACAACAGGCGTGTGCCACTATGCCTGGCTAATTTTTATTTTATTTTATTATTTTTTATCTTGAAACGTAGTCTCACTCTGTCACCCAGACTGGAGTGGAATGGCACGATCTTGGCTCAATGCAACCTCCAGCTCCTGGGTTCAAGCGATTCTCCTGCCTCAGCCTCCTGAGTAGCTGGGACTACAGGTGCGCACCACCATGCCTGGCTAATTTTTGTATTTTTAGTAGAGACGGGGTTTCACCATGTTTTGGCCAGGCTGGTCTTGAACTCCTGACCTCAAGTAATCTGCCCATCTCTGCCTCCCAAATTGCTGGTATTACAGGCATGAGCCACCATGCCTGGCCTAATTTTTATTTTTTGTAGGGACAGAGTCTTGCTATGTTGCCTAGACTGGCCTTGAACTCATGACCTCAAGCAGTCCTCCTGCCTCGGCTTCCCAAAGCACTATTGCAGGTGTGAATTACCACGCCTGACCAGAAAAAGCTCTTTTACTATAGGAGAGCAGGCTGAGTGCTCTCTATATATACCATATATGTGTCTGTGTGTATAATAGAGAGCACCTTTTATATGGTATACATATGTGATACATACATACACACACACACACACACACACACACACACATATATATATATACATATGAGAGCATTCGCTCTTGAGGACAAGTTCATATGTAGTCTTCTCTGCTCAAGACAAGATAATGCTTTCATATTAGTTAATGTTAAGCTCCAAAGGAAGAATTATTTCTTAACTAGAAGGTAGAATATATTTTTGTAACTTGTTAAGACTGTATATTGATTCAGGACAGGCGCTGTGGCTTATGCCTGTAATCCCAACACTTTGGGAGGCAGAGATGGGAGGATTGCTTGAGTCCAGAAGTTCAAGACCATCCTAGGCAACATAGCAAATCCCCATCTCTTAAAAAAAAAAAAAAAGTATATATTGATTCTAAATCTACAGACTTGGCTCTTGGCCCTAATTCTCCTTTTTATCTTTTACCCAATTTGATAACAGTTTTTCATGGTGATGTGTATTGTATATGTCCTGTTTGGTGTTCTGTGGCTGGCATGGTCTGCCTGCTACTGGAGAGATCTCCTGAGAATTCAGTTTTGGATTGGTGCTGTCATCTTCCTGGGAATGCTTGAGAAAGCTGTCTTCTATGCGGAATTTCAGAATATCCGATACAAAGGAGAATCTGGTAAGTAACCAGAAAATCTTTGCCAGTTCGAGTGGTTGGAAGGTGAGATGTATGAAAATATTCCTAAGGTCAGCAGTCACTACATAGGCTTAACTTTTCAATTACTTAATTATTACAATATCTTAAGCAGAATCACTATGACTCTGACTTTTGTTTTTAATCTTATGAGTTCAGTGATGTAAGACTAATTTTACTGAAATATGCTCACAAAAGTCACAACAGTAGTGACCATTTTGGGAATGATTATTAACATCAAATCTCAATTTCTGTTGATTTCTAAGGCACCATTATACATCTAAGAAAAAAAGTAAAGCTGTCAATTTAATTGTAAAATGTCACTGATTGTAAGACACACCTTGATTTAAAAAACCTCAAAATGTGGTGGGAAAGTGCATCTAACTGATAAAATATAGTCATATCAAGAAAATAGGAGAGTGCTTATGGTTTAGTAAGGTGAACTGGTAATGACAGAAGTTGTTTTATACTGTAGTTTTTTGTGATTGCTTCAGTTTTTTCTTGTCAGACCATTTAATTTAGTCATAATTATTATTGTGAGATAAACTGATAAGATTTTCCCTGGTCTTTGAAAGGTCTTGAAAATAGTAGATCTGAAAAAAGTTAAGCTGTACATGCCAACAAGCGTGTACACGAGTGTGTTTTGTGCTTTTCTATGTGTAGCTGTATTTCACAGTTTTTAAAAATGGGGGAAATTGTCTCGATGCTACAAACTGTCCATATAGGGTGAGGTATTCTGTTAAAGTTTTAGTGAATTTGGGGCCAGGTCGGGGAGGGAGCTGAGTTGAGCGCACCCAGATTGCCATACATAGACATGAGTAAGATTGTGAGTGGCATCAGCTTGTATCCTGTAAAAACTGTGGAAGAGGTATTCTATTTTAGCAGGACTAATATCAATGCTTATTCTGAAGAGTGTAGAAAGCAGCAGTCTAGTATTGGCATCTGGCCTGTTGCCAAACCTAGATTATGGTGCCATTTCTTCCCTTCTTTTTCATAGTCCAGGGTGCTTTGATCCTTGCAGAGCTGCTTTCAGCAGTGAAACGCTCACTGGCTCGAACCCTGGTCATCATAGTCAGTCTGGGATATGGCATCGTCAAGTAAGTATTAACTTCCTGTATGGAAGAGCAAATTAAAATGCTGATTAAATTAAAACAGTATTGCATGTTCCCAATGTAGTAGTTCTGAAATAGTTGATAAAAGAAATAATTCTGAAACAAGAAAGGTATTTGAAATTTTGTAGCATTGTAAATGTTGGGAAAATGTGTTTCATTTTCCATACTTCCAAATATATTCCATACTTCCAAATATATTCCATACTTCCAAGTCCAAATGTATTCCATACTTCCAAATCCAAATGTATTCCATACTTCCGAATATATTTCCATACTTCCAAAATATTTTTTGCAAATTAGATTTTTTATGGGAAACGCATTCTTGCTGTAACTGTCTGAAAATATTTTTCTATCCAAAAAATTTTATTTTTATTGAGGAGTGTCTTCTATAGGCATTCTTTGAGGCATTGTTCTAGGCCCTGGGGATATGGCAAGTAAACAGAAGATTTTGAGCTTACATTTGTGGAGGGAGGGGACAAAGACAAAATTTAAGTGGGTAAAATATTTTAATATGTCAGTGGAAAGTGCAGTGGAGCAGGTAATGCAGGAGCTAGAGCTTGCAGTTGTACATAGGGTGATCAAGGAGGGCTTCACTTAATGACATTTAAGCAGAGACTTCAAGGAGGTGAGGGAGCTATATGTATACCCAAGGGAAGAGATGCTGAATTGAGATCAGATTCTATATATATTTTGAAGGTGGAACCAGTGGAATTTGCTGATGGATCAGATGTATGATAGGAAAGAGAAGAGGAATTAAGGATGATGCCAATTGTTTTGATCTGATAAAATGGCAGGATGGAATTGAAGATTTACTGAGTTCAGGAAGACCTTAGGTGAAATAAGTGTGGAGCAGGGGCAAGATTGGAGTTGAATTAGATAACTAAGTAGGGGAAACAAAGGGGAGAGGTTGGGGCAGAGATAAAAGTTTGGGAGTCATGAAGATAAAGATATTATTTAAAGTCATGAAGGCCAGGCGTGGTGGCTTACGCCATAATCCTCACACTTTGGGAGGCCAAGGCGGGCAGATTGCCTGAGGTCAGGAGTTCAAGACCAGCCTGGACAACACAGTGAAACCCTGTGTCTGCTAAAATACAAAAAATTAGCCGGCTGTGGTGGCATGCACCTGTAGTCCCAGCTACTTGGAAGGCTGAGGCAAGAGAATCGCTTGAACCCTGGAGGCGGAGATTGCAGTGAGCCAAGATCATGCCACTGCACTCTAGCCTGGGTAACAGAACGAGACTCCATCTCCAAAGTTAAATAAATAAATAAATAAAGTCATGAGACTGGATTTGGTCACCAAGGAAGTGAGTATATATAGAGAAGAGGTCCAAGGGCTGGGCCCTTGAATATTTAATATTATTTAGAAGTCTGTAAGATGAAGTAGTTAGCAGAAGAAATTGAGGAGAGACCAGTGAGGTGGGTAGAAAACTGAAGAATGTGTTTCAAGGAGGAAGTGATTGTGTCAAGAGATCCTGATAGGTCAAGTGAGAATTGGCCATTGAGTTTACCTATATGGAGGGTCATAGTGATAGTTTTGGTGAAGAGATAGGGACAAAAGCCTAATTGGGGAGAGTTCCAGAGAGTATAGGAGGAGAGGAATTAGAATAATTGTATAGACAATTATTTAAAGGAATTTTGCTTTAAGTGGGATTAAGTAATGCTATAGCATCACTTTATAGTGCTTTAAGTAGGATTAAGGTTAGTTGTTTTAAGTTTGTTTATTCAATTAAAGGAGTTTTGCTTTAAATGGGATTAGAGATATGGGGAATTTTAATTCTTAAAACTTATTTATTTAACAATTATTTGAGTGCCTCCTATATGCCAGGAAGTATTCTAGGTTTCCAAGATGAATGGGGAGAAAATTCCCTGCTCATATGGAGTTTTCCCCAATGTATAACAAAAAATATAAGAACAAATATTGGTAAGGCCTATGCAGACATGATTTAAGGCAGCACATCTTAAACTACACTACACTAAGGAATCACCTAAGGATTTTGTTAACATGTGGATTCTGGTTGTGTAGGATTTTGAATCTCAAGGAGTTAAGACTTTTTCTCCTTCAAACAGAAGTTGCTCAGAAGACTTTTCATATATTAGGTTTCGAGCTTGCAAATATACTATTTAATGAACCGTAATAGGATATTTGATTATATTAAGGAATCGTTAGAATTTTTAGATTTGATGGTGGTATCTTGGTGATGTTTTTTAAAAGTTTCTTTTGTGGGCCAGGCACAGTGGCTCATGCCTGTAATCCCAGCCCTTGGGGAGGCCAATGCAGGAGAATCGCTTAAGCCTAGGAGTTCTAGACCAGCCTGGGCAACACGGTGAGACCTTGTCTCTACAAAACATCAAAAAAAAAAAAAAAAATTAGCCTGGTGTAGTGGGACGTGCCTGTAGTCCTCAGCTACTCGGGAGGCTGAGGTGGGAGGGTTGCTTGAGCCCAGGAGTTCACGGCTCCAGTGACTGGGCCACTGCACTTCAGCGTGGGCGATAGAGTGAGACCCTGTTTCTTTAGGGGAAAAAAAGAAAGGCCCTTTTGTAGCCATTGAAATACCAAAGAAAAATAAGGTCCTCATTTATTAAAAACACATACTGAAATATATCAAAGATATACTGTCTAGGATTTGCATCAAGAGAATATGAAAGGGTGGAAAGGGGATGGGGTATGCATGGGACAAAACTGACCATAGGTTAGTGGTTGTTGGGCCTTGGTGAAGGGTTTATAAGGGTGCATTATACTACTTGTGAATATGTTTCAAAACTCTCTGAGGAAACATTTTTTAAAATGTGGTAACCAGACACAAGATCTCAAGTTGTAGTGTTCCCTATCTTGTTTTAAGACCATAAGGTCTTAGTTTTTTTCTCTTAGGTGAATCAAGTGTATATTATTTATTGCTTTAAATTGTTGGCCTATATTAATTAACACAAGTTCCTGTTACTTAGCTTGTTTCGGCATTTGTCCCATATGTACTCAAATATCTCCTTGCTTCCTCTTTAGGCCACGCCTTGGAGTCACTCTTCATAAGGTTGTAGTAGCAGGAGCCCTCTATCTTTTGTTCTCTGGCATGGAAGGGGTCCTCAGAGTTACTGGGGTTAGTACTGCTTAATCTCATTTTCTGTGGTCAGTTCAATTATATTGTTTACATCTTGACAGTGTGGATTGGAAATGTCTGTGGGCTTCTTTCTGTTTGCTTTAAGTCACTTTTGGGCTCTGATTTTCAAAATATATGTATAGTTCATGTTCTCTTTTAAATCTATTAGAGCTTTGTAAATTTAGTGTGTGCCCGAATGAATGCTTTTCCACCTGTCTCCAAATTGCTAATTGTTTTAGTTCCTCCTCCCAAGCAGTAGACTTGCATTTTTTTTTCTTTTTCTAATCAATGGAATCCAGACTGAAATCCAGACTGAAATTCTTGTGTAAATGGCAGACTTTGGAGTCATACACTTACTAGTTAATCTAATCTAAAGTAACTGTTGTTTCTTAACATTTCAGTTTCAAAAACTTCCTTAAAATGCAGCTAATGAGGCTGGGTGTGTAATCATGCCTGTAATCCCAGCATTTTGGGAGGCCGAGGCAGGCGGATCACTAGGTCAGAAGATCAAGACCATCCTGGCTAACATGGTGAAACCCTGTCTCTACTAAAAAAAAAAAAAATACGAGAAATTAGCTGGGCGTGGTGGCAGGCGCCTGTAGTCCCAGCTACTTGGGAGACTGAGGCAGGAGAATGGTGTGAACTCGGGAGGCGGAGCTTGCAGTGAGCCGAGATCGTGCCACTGCACTCCAGCCTGGGCGACAGAGCAAGACTCCGTCTCAAAAAAA
Organism: Homo sapiens; assembly: GCF_000001405.40. Taxonomy (NCBI): domain Eukaryota; kingdom Metazoa; phylum Chordata; class Mammalia; order Primates; family Hominidae; genus Homo; species Homo sapiens. The sequence goes on along the minus strand of NC_000015.10, from coordinate 42,232,484 downwards.
GAAAAAAAAATGCAGCTAATGAAGTTTCACACCATTTTTGAGAATTGTATAATTATTCCCTTTGCCAGGGAAGGAAACCAAAGAATCTAAGTGATAAAGAAATTTATGGCTGGGAGCAGTGGTGGGTGCCTGTAGTCCTGGCTACTTGGGAGGCTGAGGTGGAAGGACTGATTGAGTTCAGGCTGCGGTGAGCCATGATCATGCCATTACACTCCAGCAACAGAGTGATACCTCTTCCTTAAAAAAGAGGAGAAAAGAAATTTATGTTACCACTGGATTAATACGAAGAAGTATAAGGTTCTCTAGGCCATTTCAATTAATTTTCTTATTTTTTAAAAAAAGACTCCACAGCAACCTATTAGATTCAATATTGTAAAAACTATAAACTTGGCTTTGCCCACAAGAAAACGGCTCAATATGTTTTGCAATAAATTGCCTCTTAAATCAAACACTTTGTGGATGCACATTTGCTTTTCAAATCACACTGTCCTCTGTATGTAATTCTCTTAGACTTCTAGCAACTTTAACCCTCTGTCAATTTCATTTTCTTTCTTCTGCTGTTGCTATAGTATTTTTCTTATCCCTTGACTCTGATAGTAAACCTGGCCCTCTCAGCAATTGACGCCTGTGTTATTTTATGGATATCCTTTCAGTAATGCCTGTTGATTGGGTAATTAGGGTTATATAAAAAACATACTCTATATAAACTCCTGGAAACATGCAGCATAGTTTTTCAGACAGATAATTGCCTTACATTTTATTTTGGGGTGAGCTCTTATTTGTAAAATATTATAATTTTAGAAATTAATAATTCTTTGTATATGATGCAGTAATTTTTTTTAAATACGAGAAAAGTCTTTTCAGACTTGTAGCCAAAATTGCAATAATAGGAAATGATAGATTAAGGATGGGGCTTATAAACATTAGAACTTTTTTGGAATATGGTCACTTGTTAACATGGATCTTTATATATGAAAAACTCGTACTTAGCAGTATGTTTCGAGATTGTAAATGACAATTTATGTGAAATGCTTATAGCTGTATATTCTATGTGATGGTTTATAAGAAGGGAAGAATGATTAGGTGTCAAATGTTCTTTTTATTTTCTTTCAGTTCAATGCAAAAACTTTCCAGTGATTATGTAAATGCAGAATCATGTGGTGGTTTCTTCTCTGTGCCTCTCTAGACATCTGTTTTTCACCACTTCTTTTTCTTTGTCTGCAGGCCCAGACTGATCTTGCTTCCTTGGCCTTTATCCCCTTGGCTTTCCTAGACACTGCCTTGTGCTGGTGGATATCCTTCTCATTGGCTTGTTTGATGATGGTCCATTTTCTCCCCTTGAGATGGGTTTCCATTGATCTTTCTGCAAAGAGTTTTTATCAGTTTTGTTAATTACTCCTTAGTGTGGGGAACAGTGCATGCTAAGTCTTAACAACCTGAGGGTTCAGGTAAGCAGTTTTTTTTGTTTCTATTTTTTTAATTTTAAAAATCAAATTGGAAATTGGTGACTGTGGACCGAGCTCGAGATAAAATCTTTTGGCTTTTTTCTTTTAAGTGAGCATTTCATCTTGATTTTGCACTTCTTGTTTGTGTACCTAATCATTTAGTGTTAGAGTCACTGGCTGTGCTGGTCCTGCTCTGCCTTTTAGCCTCTAGCAATTCTTAAATGCTTTGAAACTTATGAAAAGATTTTGATCCTTAAAATTTGATTTCAGGAACTATGTAAGGTGCTTTGACTTTTCTGAAACTCTGTATGTTCAGCAGGTTTTAACCCTTATGGAGTGAGTGTTTTCTTGCCTCATTCAAAAGCTGGCTTGGAATTGTTTGAAGATTTCCACCCTTCAGAATAAATAATTGATTCATTTACAGGCAGAGTCAACCAGCAGATAACAAACAAGCTTCTATTTGAGCAATCTTTTTCTCCTGCTCTTTAAAATTAAATTTATATATTAGGGGCTTGGCCTGATGGCTAAAGGATTCAAGTTTTTGGACTTTATCTTATTGAATTTGTTTTGGTTTTTATATATTTGGTCCTATTAGCAGTTTTCATTATTACTGACCTGATAGATTGTGACTGTTGAAAAACTGTGAATGTAAACAAAATTGTTTTGTGAATTTGAGTGGGTTGCTGTATAAGAGTTTTCAGTTAAAGTGTCCTTGGACTAAATAGCCAAAGCTTTTCTAGATTAGTATCTTTCTAAGTGTTTTGTGAACCTCTGCAAGCGTTGAGAGAAGAGGGAGGTGGGAATGGATTGTACAGTAAGATAACCCAATGACTAGGTAACAGCTACGGCTCTGTAAGGGCAGAGCAAGTGCCAAATCCCTTATTTTTGTATCTGCTTCTCATTCTGAAAATTGAGCCGGGTGCAGTGGCTCATGCCTGTAACCCCAGCACTTTGGGAGGCTGAGATGGGCAGATTGCTTTAAGCTCAGGAGTTTGAGACCAGCCTGGGCAACATGGCGAAGCCCTATCTCTACAAAAAATACAAAAATTCATCAGGCATTGTGGCTTGCACCTGTAGTCCCAGCTGCTCGGGAGCCTGAGGCAGGAGAATTGCTTGAGCCCTGGAAGCGGAGGTTGCAGTGAGCCGAGATCGCACCGCTGCACTCCAGCCTGAGTGACAGAGTGAGACCCTGTCTCAAAAAGAAAAGAACATTGAACGTGAGAGCAGATACCATTTTTAGTAGTCACCAATTCCCCTCCTGTTTTTCTCTGGCAACTTCTACTTGAGAATAATGTTCTGAAAATGGAGAGTCATTGCTTTTGGAAGCAAACCATATGAGCTTCTCAACCAATTGTAAGGTCCTCTTAATTCAGGATAGTGCAGGCAACTGATGGCAGGTTCCTTAAGATGGCATGAGGGGACTGAGTGTAGATCTCTGGGAGATTATAGGCACGAGTATAATTATGACCCTCAACTAGATTTGCTGGACAGATGAGAACAGAGCTACCCACCTTAAAGGGAGAGAGAAGATGATGTTAACTCTTTGTCCCTTGCCTGTTACTCATGTTCACTTTATCTTCTGCCATTTCTCTATTTATTTTCTGTCTTTTTTTTTTGTTTCTCTAGAAAGCCTCTTCCTTTCTCTTTTTTATATTTTTTCTCTTGTGATTTTGTACATTCTTACTTTATTCTGGTTCTGTCTTCTCTTTAATGTCTCATTGAAAATGATGACTTCCGGCCAGGTATGGTGGCTCGTGCCTGTAATGCCAGCACTTTGGGAGGCCAAGGCAGGAGGATCAGTTGAGGTCAGGAGTTTAAGACCAGCCTGAGCAACATAGCGAGACCTTATCTCTACAAAAAAATTTAAAAATTAGCCAGGCATGGTGGCACATGCCTGTAGTCCCAGCTGCTTGGGAGGCTGAGGTGGGAGGATCGCTTGAGCTTCAGTGGTCAAGGCTGCAGTGAGCCGTGATTGTGCCACTGCACTCTAGCCTGGGCTAGACCTTGCCTCACAAAAAAAAAAGGAAAAGAAAATAAAATGATGACTTTCTTATTCATCTTGAGGTGTTTGTGAGATTAAGTGAGAATAAGAGAGCTATAAGGCCTCTGAGAGATCTATAAGTTTATTGGCATGACCCCAGATCCTTAAAGAAACCTGAAAACTAATTGGCTAGCTTACTGTTTTTTCCTGAATGTTGAATTCCTTGACCTGCAAACACATATTTATTAGCCTGACTCAAACAATGAAGCTATTAAAACTTCGGAGGAACATTGTAAAACTCTCTTTGTATCGGCATTTCACCAACACGCTTATTTTGGCAGTGGCAGGTAAGTCTGGGACTTTCTTCTTGGAGTTCAAATGTGATCTGTTTAGAATGGACATTCTTAACCTGAAAGGCCATGGGTGGACATAGAAAGTTTTGTATATTTCACTTGGAAAAGGGTTCTTAGCTCTTGTCAAATTCTCAGAAGGATCTGTGGTTTTTAAAAAGTTGAGAACCATTTATTTTATGTACAGTAGCTGGAAATCAACCTCATATTTCAGCTCTTCATTTATCCCTCTTCTATTTGCATTCTTTCTTGAGGCATTCTTTTTCTTGAGGTTAGTTAGCTTAAGTGCCAGAGAGTACTCCTTTTAGAAGACATTACCACATGTTTGTTTAGTTTTATTAAATAGTTGTAGAATTTTAGGGTGCATTGCTATTATAGTGGTTTTACATATGTCAGCAAGCATATGTAAAAAATTGACATTAGGTGGACTGTAACCAAACTAGGCTAATTTGCCTACCTCCTGACCCTTGTACCAGGAATAGTGAGGTCTGATTTATGATTGGAACTAGCTCTTCTGTTTGTGTTACAGTCGTTTTATCAGCCATTTTTTTTCATCTGACCAGCCAAAGAAAAATTAGCATTACTATACTAAGGATAAAAGGAGAAAAAAATTATATTGATAATGCTGGAAAGAGCTATATTTCCAATACCTTATTTTCCAACCACACTGGTTACTGATGTAGCCAGATGGCAAATAACATTATTACCAAATTATTCTTTAAATAGAGAAAGGATTGGCCAGAGTATGTATCATGAGCCTTGCTGATAGCAGGTATACAGTCCTTTTGTATTGAATACATTTGTTAAAATAACTGATAGAGTTGTGATGTATTTGGGGGTTCGGGGTGTGTGGGATTCCACTTAACCGGAAATGGGGGAATGTAATTGGGGATGTAAACCAGCATTCATACTCTGACCTGGTTTTTCATTTACTGTTAGCATCCATTGTGTTTATCATCTGGACAACCATGAAGTTCAGAATAGTGACATGTCAGTCGGTGAGTTATAAGCACATTTATGAATAATGTACTGTCTTATAAACAACTGATGGTGTTGATGACAGTGGTAAGGTTCTTCTAAGTTATATACCTTATAAAAAATTAGAGCTAGGTCTCTACTCTGAGGGTTGTGATACTTCCCTCCTCCTAAGTATTCTGTACTATCATGGTGCTTGGTATAGTAGTTTTTTGTTTGTTTTTTCTGACTGTATTCTCCCAGTTTTGGGAGAGAATTTTGTAAGTTATAACTACAGTGTGCTATAACCCAGTCTTATTTTAACTAAAAATCTTAAGAAGTCCAGAGTACTAAATATTAAGTACCATATGTGTAAATAATACTAATCTGAATAGAAGCCACATCCTTAAGATCTGAGCTCAACGACTGTGACAGTAGGATTTCTTCAGAAGCAGCTAAGGCTCTTATTTTGTTCAATAAATAATGAAAATGAAAATTATAAAGTATACCAACCTAATGTAACTTTCTCTTACACTGTATAAGGTAACTTTCTCTTAACCCTGTATAAAACCCTTTCTTAAAGCTTCTCAGAGGGATGATGAAGCTTTGACAAATACTCTGTTCCGTTGATGCATTTTCTTTAACAACAGTAAGCACTACAAGGGCAAAAACTACATTCATTCACTTTGTTTCCCCACACTTACCACAGTACTGAGCACGTAGCAGGCTCTTAGTAAACATAACTTGAATGAACAAATAAGTGATTTTTGTTCTATGCCAAAGGCTTTATGAACAAGGGGTTAAGATAATGTGTATAAATGTTGTACTTCTCCCCTGTATTGTAGGACTGGCGGGAGCTGTGGGTAGACGATGCCATCTGGCGCTTGCTGTTCTCCATGATCCTCTTTGTCATCATGGTTCTCTGGCGACCATCTGCAAACAACCAGAGGTTCTTGGACTCTTCTGTTTACTCTGCTAACATGAGATGACCATGTCATCAATTAGGGGTGGTGCATTGGGGGACAGTATCAGGGCTGTGTCATATAGTGGAAGGAACACTGGGCCTGGAATCAGAAGAACTGGGTTCCTATCTCAGCTCTCCTCTTAACTTCATGATTTTTGGCATGCAGCCTCTCCACCTCTCTGGCCTTAGTTTCCTTTCTATATACTGAGGGGGAATTAAACCCAGCAACATGAAGTTCCTTTCAGCTCTGACATTTTGTGATAAATACACAGGCATACTATGGAAATAAATTGCAAGTTTGGTTTCAGACCATCACGATAAAGCAGATATTGAGTTACATACATATTTTGTTTTTTCCAGTGCATATCAAAGTTATGTTTACACTATTCTGTAGTCTACTATGTGTGCAATAGCATTATGTCTAAAAAATATATGCACGTTAATTTAAAAACACTTTATTGCCAAAAAAAAAAAAAAAATACCGACACAGGGGCTGGGCGTGGTGGCTCACGCCTGTAATTCCAGCACTTTGGGAGGCCAAGGCAGTTGGATCACCTGAGGTCAGGAGTTCGAGACCAGCCTGACCACCGTGGCGGAACCCCGTCTCTACTAAAAATACAAAAATTAACTGAGTGTGGAGGTGGATGCCTGTAATCCCAGCTACTTGGGCAACTGAGGCAGGAGAATCGCTTGAACCTGGGAGGCAGAGGTTGCACTGAGCCGAGATCATGCCACTGCACAGCATAGGTGACAGAGCGAGACTCCCTCTCAAAAAAAAAATGCTGACACACAAAGTGAGCACATTACTGTTGGAAAATGGCACCAATAGACTTCCTTGACATAGGGTTGCTGCAAAATCTGGGAAGCACAGTAAAATGAAGCACCATAAAACCAAGTATAACTGTAAGTATTTGTATAGTAAACAAGGGAGATAGATATATAATCTATTGTGTCAACCAGGCACGGTGGCTCATGCCTGTAATCCCAGCACTTTGGGAGGCCAAGGTGGGCAGATCACATGAATCCAGGAGTTTGAGCCAACATGGTTTCGGCCAACATGGCAAAACCCCACCTCTACTAAAAATACAAAAATTAACCGAGCATGGCAGTGCACACCTCTAATCCCAGCTACTCGGGAGGCTGAGGCACAAGAATCGCTTGAACCCGGAGACAGAGGTTGCAGTGAGGCGAGATGGCGCCACTGCACTCCATCCTGGGTGACAGAGTGAGACTGTCTCAAAGAAAACAGAAGATATAATTGTATCACTTACACTGAGTCTCTCCTGTCTAGTGTCTAGAAGGAAAGAAAATTTCTGTAACCAGCAGCCCAGCTCACTTTGTAATGATAGAAAGGGTAAAATTAAAACTTACATAACCAACTTTGAAATTAAAAATGTATGTGTAAATCTGATTTGTCCAACTATAGGCAAATTTCAGTCATTTAGGAACTGCCTAGCTTTATTTTGTGATTATGCCTTCCCCCCCCCCCCATTTGCATTTAGACGGTTAAGAGCTTATATTAAACACCCATACCACCAAAGAAGGAAAAGGGTAGCATGATATAAATGACTAATTTTATAACCAGACCCAATGAAAGATTGAAATAGAAAATAGGTGAAATCCTTTTACTCCATGAAAATGGCCTTGCTGTCATTTCAAACTATGCACTTTATATGTGTTTATCAAAAAAAGTCAGAATAGAGAAAAGTAATGAAAGAAAATAAAGGAGATCTGAAATCACACTATTGAGAAAGAACTTTTACATTCTGGAGACCCTTCTTTTATATCCGTCTGTTGATCTACTGGTTACTCACTAGCTATATTTGTATTTAAATATTTTCCCTTCCTCAGTCATTAAAAAATTTTTGCGTTACCTTCCCTCTTCTTTTTTTCCCCCTTTTCTTTTAAAACATTGCCCCCTTTCTCTGTGACTTCAGTGTTAACTGCATATTATAATGTGTCTTTTCCCTGTTCATGTATGGAATCTTACATTACTCTTGTGACAGTACATTGTGGAGATTCCTTCCAGTGTAACAGGTTTAACTGAACTCATTCATTTTCATGGATAGCATAAATATGGGACATGTGTAGTACAGTTAAATTAACATATTCTCTTATTAATGGGCATTTGGGATATTTCCAGTTTGAGGTGTGTCAGGGTCCTCAAGACCATCCTGATGTTCAGTGATTTACTAGAAGGCCTCATGGGATGCAGCGTACAGTTATACTCACAGTTAAGGTGTATTACAACAAAATGGTGATAGCAGGTAGAGTCTGGGGAAATCTGTATTTTCTTTCCTGGTGTTCGGTCTCTCTTCTGAGGAAGTACATCAAGTCAGTTCTTTTCCCCAGCAACAAAAATGTAGTAACACATTGTTTCTGTCTGGGAAAGCCCATTAATGTTCAGCACTCAAGATTTTTATTGGGCAGTGTTACCTCCTCCCAGCCAAATATGTGACAGTATGCACAGACTATTGCCAATGTGGGAAACCCATTTGAGCTTTCAATGTCCAGAGTTTTTACTGGGGCTCAATCACATACTGTCTCTGTTGCTGACTTTTAGTTTCCAACCCCTCCTGGCAGTCATGCTAATACCATTTCCTCTGGAGGTCAGAGCTGATATGGCATGGCCCAAAGCCCCTATCATAAACCATACTGTTACACTGTCAGCCAAAGTCCCCAGGCAAATAAAGACAGGACATGTTATGGGTGTCGGGATCACCTCACATTAGTCAATGAAGGTTAGGTTCTCACTACACACTGGCACATGCTCAAGAAATATTTAATGAGTGGGCTTGGATTTGCTAGGTTGAAGGATATGTGTAGATTGTAATTTTTAAAGTATTTCCAGATTACGTTCCCAAAAAAAACCTGAAAGAAATTGCATATTTAACAACAATGGTATGAGAGAGGTTTTTTCTTCTTCCCTTGTTTTATGTCCCATCATTTTATTTAATTTCTGCAGATTTGGTGGATGAGAATTAATATTGTTACTTTTTGCATTTAAGGTTGGATCTTTAGCTTATTTTTTATTGGCTTATTGATCATTGTCTCTGTCCATTTTCAGCTGCTATAACAAACTACCACAGACTGTTTGTTTATAATGAACAGAAATTTGTTGGCTCGCAGTGTCAGCATCTGGTGAGGGCCTTCTTACTGGGTCGTCACATGACAGAAGGTGGAAGGGCAAAAGGGAGAGCCCACTCCAGAAAACCCTTTATGTAACAGCATTAATTCATTCATGAGGGTGGAGCCCTCATGACCTAAATGCCTTCCATTAGGCCCAACTCCCAACACTGTCACCCTGGGAATTAGGTTTCAACATGAGTTTTGGAGGGGACAGACATTCAGACTGTAACAATCACTTATGTATTGATTCGTAGGAATTTATTTATTTTGAGATGGGGTCTCGCTCTGAAGCCAAGGCTGGAGTGTAGTGGAGCAACCTTGGCCCACTACAACCTCCACCTCCTGGGCTCAAATGATCCTCCCACCTCAGCCTCCTGAGTAGCTGGGACCACCGGTGTGCACCACCACACTGGGCTAATCTTTGTATTTTTTGTAGAGATGGGGTTTTGCCATGTTGCCCAGGCTTGTTATAAACTCCTGAGCTCAAGCGATCTGCCTGCCTTGGCCTCCCAAAACGCTGGGATTACAGGCGTGAGCCACCATACCAGGCCCAATTTGTAGGAATTTCTGATATATTTTGTATGCCAATATTTTGTTTGTTCTAAGTATTGCATATATTTTCTGCCAGTTAATAATCTTATGATTTTTATGCTGTTTTTAATCATACAAAATCTCAGAAATATGGAGTAGTTTTTCCCTTCAAGGATTGTACATTTTGCATCTTATTTTGACAAATTCTTATCTAGCCTAAGGTGATTTCAAAAAATTATTCTCTAATGACTTTTTAAAAATTTCACAATCAGGCCGGGCGCTATGGCTCATGCCTGTAATCCCAGCACTTTGGGAGGCTGAGGCGGGTGGACAACCTGAGGTCAGGAGTTCGAGACCAGCCGGACCAACATGATGAAACCTCATCTCTACTAAAAATAACAACAATTAGCCAGGCGTGGTGGCAGGCGCCTGTCATCCCAGCTACTTGGGAGGCTGAGACAGCAGAATTGCTTGAACCCGGGAGGCGGAGGTTGCAGCGAGCTGAGATCATGCCGTTGCACTCCAGCCTGGGCAACAAGAGAGAAACTCTGTCTCAAAAAAAAAAAAAATCACAATCAAGATGTTCATCCACCAAGAATTACTTGATTCTAGGCTCTCTACTCTCTTCTGTTCTGCTCCTGCATCAGTAGCACACTGTCTGAATTACCCTAGGCTTCTGATAAACTGTGGTATCTGGAGGGCCTGAACCCCTAATCATATTTATAAGTGCAGGCTCAGCTGCATACTACCTGGCTCTTTTAAAAATAGCCTTTGGGCCAGGCACCGTGGTTCATGCCTATAATCCCAGCACTTTGGGAGGCTGAAGCGGACAGATCACCTGAGGTCAGGAGTTCGAGACCAGTTTGACCAACTAGAAAAACCCCGTCTCTACTAAAAATACCAAATTAGTTGGGCATGATGGCACATGCCTGTAATCCCAGCTATTTGGGAGACTGAGGCAGGAGTGCTTGAACCCCAGGAGGGGGAGGTTGCTGTGAGCTGAGATCGCGCCATTGCACTCCAGTCTGGACAACGAGTGAAACTCTTTCTCAAAAAAAACAACCAAAAAAACATTTGGCCAGGCGTGATGGCTCACACCTGTCATTCCAGCACTTTGGGAGGTCTGGCCGGGAGGATTGCTTGAGCCCAGGAGTTTGAGACCAGCCCTGGCAATATAGCAAGATCCCATTTCTACAAAAAAAATTGTTTTAGGTTAGCTGGGCATGGTAGTGCATGCCTGTAATCCCAGCTACTTGGGAGGCTGAGGTGGGAGGATCACTTGAACCTGGGATGTCGAGGCTGCAGTGAGCCGTGGTCATACCACTGCACTGCAGCCTGGACAACAGAGCAAGACCCTGTCTCAAAAAAATTTTTTAAAAGCCTTTGGTGTTGAATTTTTGCCCTTTATTTTTAAAATTTTTTTATTTTAGATGGGGTCTTGCTATGTTGCCTAGGCTAGACTCAAACTTCTGGGCTCAAGGGATCCTCCTACCTCAGCCTCCTCAGTAGCTGAGACTACTGGTACATGTCACTACACCCAGCTTTTGTTTTTTAATAAAAATTTTAGATTGCTTAATTCTAGGAAAACCTATTAAGATTTTGATTGGAACTTAATTGAATTAATAAATTAGGGAGATTATATATATATTTTTGATAATTCCTTGAGTATGGCATCTCTCCATTTTTTAGTCTTTGAATTACGTTTTGTAACTTCTGATTTAAATTTGTGACTCTTACGAATGCAACTTTTAAAAATATATACAGCTTTTCCAAATATGTAGGAATGCTGTTGCCTTTTCCTCTGTCTCTCTCTCTCTCTGTCTCTCTCTCTCTGTCTCTCTCTCTCTCTCTCTCTCTCTGTCTCTGTCTCTCCTTTCTTTTCTTGACGGAGTCTCGCTGTGTCGCCCAGGCTGGAGTGCAGTGGTGCAATCTTGGCTCACTGCAACTTCTGTTCCCCGGGGTCAAGGGATTCTCATCAGTTGATGGACAAAGTTGTTTTCGGCCAGGCGCGGTGGCTCACACCTTTAATCCCAGCACTTTGGGAGGCCGTGGCGGGCGGCTGAGGCAGGCGGATCACCTGAGGCTGTCTCAGCCTCCCAAGTAGCTGGAATTACAGGCGTGCACCTCCACGCCCAGCTAATTTTTGTATTTTTAATAAAAAAATGCAAAAAATTGGCCAGGCATCGTGGCGGGCGCCTGTACTCCCAGCTATTCGGGAAGCTGAGGCAGGAGAATGGTGTGAACCCGGGAGGCGGAGCTTGCAGTGAGGTGAGATCATGCCACTGCACTCCAGCCTGGGCGACAGAGCGAGACTCCGTCTCAAAAAATAAATAAATAAATAAATAATAAAACAAATAAATAAAAGCTAAAGCATTCTAGGAATTACATGTCTGGGAGCTGCTTTGCTGAATCTCTTGGAAGTTGTTAAGGAAAGGCATCTGAGATATACCAGATCAGACCTTCATCTTCTGAGCTTCCCACTTGTAAACTGAAATTAAATTACCTGGAATAGGCCTCCCTTCTCTTAACTCCCAATTTGAAGGCTGCGATTTTAAATTAGATGAGAATTTACTTAACTCTATTTGATACATATCCTTATGAATGAACATTTGTTGACTGTCTACTGAATGTGACAGGTATTGTTCTAAGCACTTTATTTGTAACGACTTACTTTTACAAAACACCCCTATGAGTAATGTTCTATTGTCCCCTTATTTACAGTTGAGGAAACTGGGTACAGAGAGATTAAGTAACTAGTCTGATGTCACAGGTAGTATTCAGCTGAGCCTGCACTCATAAATATGATACTGTCCTGCTTCTCCCTTGCTAATATAGGCAATAAAGAGCTTTCTGAAGGGGAAGAAATATTATTATTAAACTGATTTAATGAATTACTATAATTGCAGTTTCAATAATTAGTTTTGTAAAATGCAACTGGTATAGCAGTTTTTGAAGTTTTCTAATTTTTTCCTTCTGTTCACTTTGGTTCTGTTAGGTTTGCCTTTTCACCATTGTCTGAGGAAGAGGAGGAGGATGAACAAAAGGAGCCTATGCTGAAAGAAAGCTTTGGTAATAATAAAATTCACCTCTTATTAGTACTTTAAATATTATTTTTCTGTAAGTACATTGTTTATTATTTTATAACTGTGTTGTTCCTATATTTGGTGTGGGATGAAGTCAGGGTTAAGAAAATAAGGGTGTGAATCTTAAGATGAAGGCATGGTAAATTCAGTAAGTAATTGCACATTAAGTATCCATTTTACTTGCTAGAAGTGAGCTAAAAATTTTGCTTTGAACTTCCCAGCTTACATATAAAGATGGAGAAGCATCTGTTGTATACTTCACAAGTATTAGGAAGCTTAAAATAAAACTATGATAAGTAACTTTGGGGCTTTTAATTTAAAAAAAGAAAAAGTTCTGAATCCGTTTTGCCAACATTGTTGGTCTGTTCACAAAGTTAAACAGTGTATATTTATTTTCTTCTACAGAAGGAATGAAAATGAGAAGTACCAAACAAGAACCCAATGGAAATAGTAAAGTTAACAAAGCAGTAAGTATGACTTTTCCATTTGTCTTTGTTCTTTGTCCCATCTTCCAACCCTTAGTAGAACTACTAGAAGAAAACAGGAGGAAAATTCTGTGACATTGGTCTTGGCAATGATTTTTTTTTGTATATGACCCCAAAAGCACAGGGAACAAAGCAAAAATAGAGAAGTGAGAGTACATCAAACTATAAAGCTTCTGCCCAGCAAAGGAAACAATTAACGAAGTGAAAAGACAACCTACAGAGTGGGAGAAAACATTTGCAAACATTGCATCTGTTAAGGGGTTAATACCCAATTTATATAAGGAACTCAGTAGCAAGAAAACGAATAGCCCAGTTTAAAAATGGGCAATGGACCTGAATATACATTTCTTAACATAACACCTACAAATGGCCAACAAGTATATGAAAAAATTTTTATCATTACTAATCCTCAGGGAAATGCAAATGAAAACCACAGTGAGATAACACCTCACACCTGTTTGAATGGCATTTATCAAAATGAAGAAATAACAAGTGTTGGCAAGGACATGGAAAAAAGGGAACCCTTGTACTCTGTTGATAGGAATGTGAGTTAGTATAGCCATTATGGAAAATAGTATGGAGCTTCCTCAAAATTAAAAATAGAACTACCTTATGATCCAGGATTCATGTCACTGGGTATATACCTAAAGGAAATGAAATCAGTATGTTAAAGAGATACTTGCACTGTCATGTTCATTGCAGCATTAATCACAGTAGCCAAGATACAGAATCAACCTGCATGTCCATCAGTAGATGAATGGATAAGGAAAATGTGTATTTTGATATACAATGGAATACTATTTAGATTCAGAAGAGAAGGAAATCTTGTCATTCGCAACAGCGTGAAGAAGCCTGGAAGATACTATGTTAAGCAAAATAAGCCAGGCACAGAAAGACAAATACCACATGATCTCACTTACGTCGAATCTAAAAAAGTTGAATTCCTAGAAGCAGAGGGTTGAGTGCTGGTTACCAGGGGCTATGGGAGAACTGGGGAGATGTTGGTCAAAGGGATTTTTAAAAATGTTTTTAAAAATTAAAATATTTGACTTTTCTGTCAGCAGTCCCATTTGTGAATGTATGACTACAGAATTATGAAAGACAAGTTTTAAGACCTTCATGTCCTTACTTGAGATGTATTATGTGGTGCATTTTAGTAATGAGTGGTATTTGTATGTTCCCAGCAGGAAGATGATTTGAAGTGGGTAGAAGAGAATGTTCCTTCTTCTGTGACAGATGTGTAAGTTTTTGAATGATTACCACAAGAATCCTATTTCAAAGTTAGTACTACTTTGTTATTATTTTAAATGAGCAAGTTATACTCATGAAAATACAAGATACTGAAAAATAATTAAAAGAATAGGAATAATCCGCAAACAAAATTAATTGGGTTTATTCATTCAGATGACATTTCTGCTTAGAAAGATTTAGCTATGTAGTATATCTTAAAATGAATGGGATACTCCTTTTGAAATTTTTAGTTCCTTTCCAGGGCTATAATTTTAATGAAACATTGGTCCTGTTGCATTGCAAAATACGTTTTTTTTCTATACAATTTCTGTAACTGTTGCTTATTGTATTTGCTGTTTATTTTTCCTAAAAGGGCCATTAATAAAATGCAAATCTTAGATAATTATAAAGCTTTTAATTGCATTATTCCATTGTCTTTTATGAACCATTTATGGCTTTATTTTACATTGTTCAATTTAGTATTTCTCTCTCTTTGCAGAGCACTTCCAGCCCTTCTGGATTCAGATGAGGTTGGTACTCAATTCACGTGCATAAATTATGTATATGGTGACTAAATAGAAAGTCATGAATCGTCTGTTCATGGAGATTCTCTTTATTTGACTCAGTAGTGGCCTGAAAACTATAGTTTATATAGTTGAAAAGGATAAGAATAGAAATACTAATAGAGTTCAAACATTCAAGAATCTTCCTTTCTTTGCATCTGTCTATACATGTTTCACCTTTCAAAGTTATATGGTCAGACTTCAGAATGTTTTTGTTTAAATTGGGTAGTAAATACAGTACTCTCCACCATCTAGTTCTTTTGTCTGTAAGAAATGCAAATTTAACTCTAATCTAATATTGGCAAAAATAATAAGGAAAAATATTGAGAAAGGAATATAGTAGACCAAAACAAAATCTAAATTGTTACCTACTATTTAATAATATTTTTGTCACTACCTTCTTCAGATAGTAAGGATTATAATTAGTACCTCTAATATTTATGTTTTTAATCTTTTAGTTTGCCTCCATACAGTTAATCTAGAAGGCTTCACATGAAGTCTTATGTTAGGATTGTGGGCCAGGTATAGTGGCTCATGCCTGTAATCCCAGCACTTTGGGAGGCCTAGGCAGGAGGATCAGTTGAGGTCAGGAGCTTGAGACCAGCCTGGGCAACGTGGTGAAACCCCATCTCTACAAAACATACAAAAATTAGCCGGAGATGGTGGCATACACCTGTAGTCTCAGCTACTTGGGAGGTGAAGTGGGAGGATCACTTGAGCCCTGGAGGCAGAGGTTGCAGTGAGCTGAGATTACGCCACTCCAGCCTGGGCAAAAGAGTGAGACCCCATCTCAAAAAAAAAAAAAAAAGAAAAGAAAAAGAATTGTGGCCTGAGTTCATGGAAACTAGTTCTGGATATGTTCTGAATATTAGGTCATTTTAGAGTTTTTGTTTGTTTGTTTTTGTTTTGTTTTTTTTCAGGAAGCCTTTTGGAAGCATTTTGTCTGATTCTGATTCATTGTGTTGAATTGGCTGCTAAAAATGTTTTGTTCATTTCCCACTGACATGATCTTTGACACAGCATGTACAGTATCAAATTCCTTAGCTGTTCTATGTGTTGAAATAATTGAGAACTCTACCATTCAGATTTGAACCTATCTACATAACACTTTGCTTTCTGTGGTATATTCTGCTGTTCCCACATCTCCCTCTTGAGGTCTTCCTCTGCTAATTATTTGCCTTTAAGGCTTCCCTTGTACTTCAGCTCTCCATGAGCTGCTATAAGCAGAGAAGGCTGATTAATTGAAACCTGATTGTGCCCTTCATGGGAATGCAAGTTTGCTATAGTAATTTGGTGGCACTGAGTTCAGCCATCTGTTCATATTTTCCTCTGTGAAAACACTGTGCAAGATTTTCCAGGTATACATAAGGCTTTTTTGTGGTAAGAAAACATAACAATGAGATCTACTCTCTTAACTCCTTTAGTGTACGTTACAGTATTATTACGTATAAGCACAATGTTGTACAGCAGATCTCTAGAACATTTTCATCTCATTTAAATGAAATTTTATACCTGTTGAATAGCAACTCTTGCTTTCCCCCTCCCTCAGCGCCTGGCATCCATCATTCTATTTCTGCCTTTGAGTTCTATTTTAGATAACTCATATAAGTGGAATCATGCAGCATTTGTCCCCCTGTGGCTTGCTTATTTCACTTAGCATAATGTCTTCAAGATTTATCTAAGTTGTAGCACATGTCAGAATTTCCTTCCTTTTTAAGGTTGACAAGTGTTCCATTGTATATATGTAACATGTTATCTTCATCCATTTATCTGTCAGTGGACACGGGTTATTTCCATACCTTGGCTGTTGTGAATAATGTTGCAGTGAACATGGGAGTGCACATTTCTCTTTGAGATCCTGCTTCATTTCTTTTAGGTATATATGCAGAAGTGGGATTACTGGATTATATGGTAGTTATTTTTTAATTTTTTTGAGGAGCTTTCATACTGTTTTCCATAGTGATTGCACCATTTTACATTTCCACCAGCAATGCACAGGGGTTCCAATTTCTTTCTTTGCCCACATTTGTTATTTTTTGTTTTTTGATAATGACCATCCTAACAGGTGTGACGTGACACCTTGTGGTTTTGGTTTGTATTTCTCTGATGATTAGTGATGATGAGCATTTTTTTTATATACCTGTCAGCCATTTGGAAGCCCTCTTTTGAGAAATGTCTCTTCCAGTCCCTGGCCCAGTTTTTAATCAAGTTAGTTGATTTTTTGCTGTTGAATTGTAGGGGTTTCTTATATATTTTGGATATTAACCCTGATCAGATACAGTCCTATGCCACATTTCAGTCAGCAACGGACCACATATATGACAGTGGTCCCATAAGAACCTCCGGGTTCACGCCATTCTCCTGCCTCAGCCTCCCAAGTAGCTGGGACTACAGGCGCCCGCCACCACGCCCGGCAAATTTTTTGCATTTTTTTAGTAGAGACGGGGTTTCACCGTGTTAGCCAGGATGGTCTCGGTCTCCTGACCTTGTGATCCACCCACCTCAGCCTCCCAAAATGCTGGGATTACAGGCGTGAGCCACCGCACCTGGCCAATACTGAATTTTTACTGTACCTTTTCAATGTTTAGATAACTTTAGATACCCAAATACTTACCATTGTATTCCAGTTGCCTTTGGTATTCAGTACAGTAACATGCTGTACAGGTTTTTAGCCTAGAGCAATAGGCTTATACATATAGCCGAGGTATGTAGTAGGCTATATAACATCTAGATTTGTGTAAGTATATTCTGTGAAGTTCACACAGCTATGAAATTGCCTAATGATGCAGTTCTCAGAATGTATCCCTATCATTAAGTATACGTGACTGTATGTAGTATGCAAATATTTTCTCCAATTCTGTAGGTTGCTTTTCATTCTGTTGTGTGCTTCCCTTGCTGTGCAGAAGCTTTTTAGTTTGATGTAGTCCCATTGGTCTGTTTTGCTCTTGTTTTGTGCTTTTGGTGTCTTAGACAAGAAATCACTGCTAAGACCAATTTCAAGAAACTTAGGTTGTCTTCTAGGAGTTTTGTGGTTTCAAATCTTATGTCTAATTCTTTAATCTATTTTGACTTGTCTAAGTCTTTAATCTATTTTGAGTTGATTTTTGTGTATAGTGAAGATGAGTTACTTTCATTCTTTCTCATGTGAATATCTAGTTTTTCCAGCACCATTTGTTGAGGAAACTGTCAGTTTCCCCACTGTGTAGTGTTGTCTCTCTTTTCGAAGATCAGTTGACCATGTATGTGTAGTTTTATTTCTGGGCTTTCTATTTTGTTCCACTTGGTCATAGTATGTGATTCTTTCAACGTGCCGTTAAATTCTGTTTTCCATTGTTTCATTGAAGATTTTTGCGTCTGCTCATCAGGGATATTGGCCTGTCGTTTCTCTTCTTGTCATGTCTTTGGCTTTGGCATTAGGGTAATGCTGGCCTCATAGAATAAGTTTGGAAGTTCCTTCCAAATAAATGTTTTCGTCTTTAATTTTTTTGAAAGCGTTTAAGAAGGATTAGTGTTACTTTGTCTTTAAGTACCTGGTAGGACTCAACTAAAGAAGCCATCTGGTCCTGGGCTGTTTTTTTGTTGGGATGTTTTTGATTACTGATGGAATCTTGTTGTAGGTCTTACCAGGTTGTGTGTTCCCCCCCCGGATTTTCTATTCCTTGATGATTCAGTCTTGGTAGATTGTATACTTCTAGGAATTATATATTTTGTTCTAGGTTATCCAGTTTCTTGGCATATTTTTAAAAATGTTTTGTATATTTTTATTGAAATTCTTACTTTGTTCATGCATTGTTCTCCTGAGTTCGTTGAACATCTTCATGATAGTTGTTTTGCATTCTCTTTCAAATAATTCCTATACCTCTGTTTCACTGGGGTTGGTTTCCAGAGATTTATCTTCTTCCTTTGTTTGGGCCATGTTTCACTGATTCTCTATTTTCCTTAATTCTTTGTGTTGGTTTCATTGCATTAGAAAAAAAAACAGTTACCTTTCCAGTGTTCATGGACTGGCATTGTACAGGAGAACACCCTCATCAATCATTCTGATAGCCTCTCTAACCCACTCTGTATTATGTCTTTTCTGGACTTCTGCATATGTATTCCCAATCAGAGGGATTTGCTGGGTTTTTCCCTCCCCAGGAATTTATAATCTCTTGCTCCCTTTTGTGTTTATCTGCTGTATCATGGGTCTCCTGGAGCCAGTGGCATAGCCCAGCTCTTTTTTTGTTCATACTGGCCCCAGGCACCTAAAATATACTGGTCCCATCTGTGCTTCAAACCATTCCCTACAGAAACCATTCCCTCAGGTAACCTCTTACAAAGTTGGAACATTTTCACAGTCCATCTCTCCTCCCTAGGGAAAAGCTAGGATTTGGGGATGTTGGGGATTCTACCTGCTTACTCTGCACTGAGCTGGGGGAGCGGCTGTAGTGAGCTCATGCTTGCTAGTCCAAACTTCCACTTTGATTTCAGCAACTTCCAACCTGGGCCCTTTGTTTTTAGCTCTCGGACTCAGGCAAGACAGAAAACAGTCTCTCGTGCAGGTTCCAGAAAAGTCAGAATGTTGGATGTACATTCCAGTCATTTCCTTCCCTCTGCAAAAAGAAGCTGGGAGCTGAGGGTTTCCTCTCTATCATGTGGTACTGTGCTGGGTCCATGGGAAGGGAAGAATTATGGCAAGAGGGTGCCTCAGGTTTTTCTGCCGACTTTGATTCAGCTGGTTTCATGCTTTCCTATAGTGCAGAAGACCCTCAACTGGTTTCTGGATTTCCCACAAAGGGAATTTTTCCATGTGTTATTGAATCAGTGTGTCTGTAGAGGGAAGGAGTGTCCAGGGCTTCCTATTCTGTCATCTTGCTGACATCACTTTCTCCAAGGCCTTTTTTTCCCTTAAAACTGAAAAAGACCTTAAATGAATTACAGGAGAAACAATTTACATGATGGACCAGGAATCAAAATGGCATAAGGCTCTTCAACAACATCTTTGGGAGCCAGAACAAAGCCTTTGAATTCTGAGGAAAATCATTTTCAACCTAGAATTCTGTACTCAACTAAACTATCATTATGAGGGTAAAATAAAGATGTTTCTAGTCACACAAGAAGTAAAATAATTGATGTTCTATATGCAGTTTCTGAAGAAAGTAGGGGAAAATGTTCTCCACAAAAATGAGGAAGCTAGGAAAAAGACTTGGGATCTAGGAAATAAAGGGTCCAACACAGAGACAAGAAAAATTCCCAGTATGATGTAAGAAATTCTCAGGTTGGCAGCTGGGCACCAGGCTTGGATGGAGTGGAGAACAGAGAGCATCGGAAAGGATATTTTTAAGAAAAAGGGAAACATCTATAGATTATCTGATGTGATTGATTATATTCAAAAAGGATTTGTAGTTCTGTCAGTTTGTGATACAATAGTGAGAGGTACTTCGCAAATGAAGCAAAAGAAAAATGAAAATTAACTCTAAGGTATAAAATTGCCTAAGAAGGGAAATTTAAGGGTAGTACATTAATTATTTTAATTGAAATGGGATACTGTAAATACTATATTAAATTAAATGTAATTTTATTTTTTACATGATTTTTAAAAAGTGTAGTAAAAAACACATAACAAATCAACCCTCCTAACCATTCTAAAGTGCAAAGTGCTAACTAGGTGCACGTCTTTGCCCTCATCCTTCACTGGGTCTTCAAGTGAAATTCCTGAATTAGAGGAGTTACACATTTTTATTAAAGCCTAATCTTATGTAAATATTTGTTTACATAAGATCTTAGCTGACTCTATACATTTCCTTCTGAGTGCTGATTTTCTGTCCAGAAGCCTAGAGCTTTTGATTTAGTTGTTCTTGGGTGAGGTCTGGACATCTGTATGTTCAAAATCTTCACAAATGTTTAGGAACCATTTCTCTAAACATTTAATTAACATAAAGTACTCGTGGAAGATGTTTGCTTGGATAGTCTGTATAGAAGATATTTGGAATATAGATCATTTTAACCTAATATACTTCAACCTTTTTTTTTTTCCCTAGGAACGAATGATCACACACTTTGAAAGGTCCAAAATGGAGTAAGGAATGGGAAGATTTGCAGTTAAAGATGGCTACCATCAGGGAAGAGATCAGCATCTGTGTCAGTCTTCTGTACGGCTCCATGGGATTAAAGGAAGCAATGACATCCTGATCTGTTCCTTGATCTTTGGGCATTGGAGTTGGCGAGAGGTGTCAGAACAAAGAGAACATCTTACTGAAAACAAGTTCATAAGATGAGAAAAATCTACGAGCTTCTTATTTACAACACTGCTGCCCCCTTTCCTCCCAGACTCTGACATGGATGTTCATGCAACTTAAGTGTGTTGTTCCTGAACTTTCTGTAATGTTTCATTTTTTAAATCTGACAAACTAAAAAGTTTAACGTCTTCTAAAAGATTGTCATCAACACCATAATATGTAATCTCCAGGAGCAACTGCCTGTAATTTTTATTTATTTAGGGAGTTACATAGGTGATGGGGGAAATTGTTAACTACCTTTCATTTTCCTGGGAAGTCAAGGTTACATCTTGCAGAGGTTGTTTTGAGAAAAAAGGGCCCTTCTGAGTTAAGGAGCCATAGTTCTATCAATGATCAAAAGAAAAAAAAAAAAAGAGAAACTGTTACAGTATGATTCAGATCATTTAAAAAAGCAAAATCAAGTGCAATTTTGTTTACAAATGGTGTATATTAAAGATTTTTCTATTTCAGATGTACTTTAAAGAGAAATATTAGCTTAACTCTTTTGACATCTGCTATTGTGACACATCCCATTGCTGGCAATGTGGTGCACACTCCGAAACTTTTAACTACTGTTTTGTAAGCCTCCAAGGGTGGCATTGCAGGGTCCTTAGGCAATGTTTTGTTTGCCTTTATGCAGAGAGGTGCTCCAAGTGCTGTGATTGAGCACCGTGCTAGAGGAACTGTAATGCTTCAGAAGTTGTAGCTTATACAAAGGAAACAGGTCCTGCTGGCTTAATTTAAACAGTTATTGCATGAAGTAGCGTGGAGGCCCTGGACTGCTGCTCGTTCTTTAGGATGGACTGTTCTGGTATCTGGTATTGGTTTAGAGACTGTTAATAAGGGACATCACAAGGTGATGGGATTCATTTGAAGCACTCTATTTCTGTTTTAATGGTTTTATCCAATTTTGCCTTCCCAAGATTTTTGTTCTACATAAAAAGTTCATGCCACTTTTTAATATAAAAAAATTTAACAAAATTAATGTATTTTTCTCATTTTTTTCAAACTTTTTCTAAAGACTCTTTCTGTCAAACTCATGAAAAATTTCTTTCTATGGCTTTTATTCTAGATTGTCTTATTTTCTGTTAAAACCAATGACCACATGACCACAATCTTCACTAACTCATACTGCAGTGAAAGTGTTAACCCTTAGGTAGTTTCTCTACAACTCTTTGCTATGGTGATTTTTAAAAAAGTTTCCTAGGAAGTATCTCTGAGGAACAGCAATCTGAAGAACTGACTATATTCTCATGCTAAGTCATTAGCCAAAAGCTGGTGGTATTGTTGCATGCTGCTATTGCATATTAAAACGTAGCAGATGAATAATAGTTGTAATGCAGCAGGATAGTTGGTCAAATTATTTTTTTAGGCTGCTTTGATGTTGACTTGAGACTAGGAAAAAAAAAAGCCCATTGTGTTAAGCGGGAGTGTATAGTTCAAGTTCTATAGCCTGGGCCCTGATAATTCTACTTACAGCTTTCTGTATTACTGGGAATAGATATAGTGTGTCATTTCTTAGGTTCAGAAGAAATTGATAGCTTTGCAGTAATCTGTAAAACAATATAAACCTTAGGGTTTTGGGCCTGAACGAAAAGGTACTAGACCTTCCAGCACAACAGCTGGTAATTCTAAATTTTTAAGAAGGTGATCAGCTTCTATGGTGAAAATCAGCTATAACACAGGATTTGTGTAGCAATTTTCATGTTTTTGACTACTTGAAAGTACTTTTCACTTGATTATCAGAACAGCATTTGGTAAAGATGGGACAAGTATTCCTAATTTACATATGAAGAAACTGATATTGTGTAAAAATAAAATGACCAGGACCAGTTTTTTTGACTTCATATCACAGACTTACCCTTTTTCTTTTACATTTTTGCTTTAAACCCAAATGCTTAATTTTTTGACCTACGATGTTTTCCTAGGGGGAAATGACCAGATATAGATCATTCTTGCAGCCCAAACTTTGTTGTTTTTTAAGTCTTCAAGGGGAATACTAAGGTAACCGCAGACAGTACAGGTCCCAGGTCCTATAGGAGGAAAAGCCATGACACCTTCCTAAAGGAATATTAGGATGTAAGACACAGCTTTGGAAAGTTGAATTGGTAGGAATGTGGTCATCAAATTAAAAGGAGGCTTATTTCACTGACTTCCAAGAGTTAGTGAATCATCTCTTGCCTAAACTCTTGCTACTCAAAATGTGATCCAGGGACCAGCAACATCTGGGAGATTTTTGGTGCTCAACTGAGGGTCTTACTCTGGTCCTACTGAATCAAAAGAGGCATTTTAACAATGTCTCTAGGTGATTTGTATGCACGTTAAATTTGAAAAGCATTGGCCTCAAATGGTGGTTCTCAGGGTAATTTTGCCTCCCAGAGGACATACGGAAAAGAGACATTTTTATACCTCTGTGGGGAAGATAACTGGCATTTGGTGGGTGGAAGTTAGGGATGCTGTTAAACATCTTACATTGTACAGAACATGCCCCCTCCCCCAACAAGAAATTATCCTGTCCTAAATGCCGGTAGTGCTATCGCTGAACAACCCTAACCTAAAATGGTGGTTCTCAAGCTTTTAAGTGCATGGACTCACCTTGGGGTTTATTAAAACATAGGTTGCTGTTCCCTTCGAGTTTCAGATTCAGTAGAACTGGAATGGGCCTGAAACTTTGCATTTCTAACAAGTTCACAGGTGCTGCTGCTACTGCTGTTGTTGCTGGTCTAGAACCACTTTCAGAACCACTGGCCTAGAACAACCATGAAAGCATTAAGGTAAGGTGCTTGTACTAATTGGGATATAATGGTAATACTAAAGCTACCACTTACTGAGAGCTTAGTGGGTGTCAGGTGTTGCTAAGCGCTCACGACACTAGGTCACAGGTATTTACAAAAATTTTGCAGATTAGGAAAGTATGGCATCGAAATATTAAATTTTCTAAATCACAGCTAATTTCCTAATTGGTAGATCTCCGTCTGAGGTCGACGCCAAAGGCCGAGTTTTTAACCATCACGCCCACTGCCTAAAGCAGTTCTAAGATTAAGAGTTTGTTCCTTCTATGGTAAGCCCATGGCTACTCGGGATGGAGTAGCTATGGGTCCAGAGTGACGATGGCAACTCAGCAACAAAACAATTCATTTAGAGTGCACCGGGAGGAAGGGGCGGGACTTCGGCTGCGGAAGAGGCGGGCCTAACTAGCAGGAAGTCCGGGGTTGACGATGGCTGTGTTGTTGAAGGGCCTGTAGCCGGGGGGTTCCTGGCCGGATCCCGGTCTACCCTTAGCCCAGACTCGTTCCGGACCCCAGCCCGGCCCGGAACACTCTGGGCGAGACGGCGGTGGCAACTCTCCCCTTGCCGCCATGCACGACGCTTTCGAGCCAGTGCCGATCCTAGAAAAGCTGCCTCTGCAAATCGACTGTCTGGCTGCCTGGGGTGAGCCGAGGGGCCGCGGGGCCGAGGCGGAGTCAGCACAGGAGCGGTCCGGATCTTTTCTGAGGCCGGGGAAGTGGACAGGCGTCCATCCGTGTGGGCTTCGGTTGGATGCTACACGAGAGGGGCTTAGGATGAGAGAAGGCAGAGAGATGACCACCGGCTATAGACATCGATGTCTGTGGGGCTACTTGGGTGATCCCAGTGATCCAGTCATTTAGGGGAGTTCCCCTTGCTTTTGCTCTCTGTGCAGAGTGGGAGGATGAGCTTTCCTTTTTAGTTGTGCTCAGCTTTGGCCCATTTTGATTCCCACGAAGACTTCATTTTAGAGGGTCAAAGCAGTAAGAAGTTCTCAGCCTGCCAGGGGCTTGAAGTTGTCCAGATGTTTGTGTTGTTTTCTAGATGAAAGTCAACCCTGGTTTTGGGGGCATTGAACAAGTTAACACCATATGCTTTTTTTTCCCCTTAGTGATCATTCGTTCATTTCTCATTCCTGTAGGGAACTCATGTAGTTAGCTAACCTTTGAATCTAGCCAAGCGGTTGATTACCTTATATCCAAAGTGTCCAAGTTACCTAACTGTAGGCGGAAGAGTTTCCAGACTGTCTTGAAACCTAACCCATAAAAACTAGCATAGTCCTTTTGGGATTGACTAGTGCAGAAGGCCGGGACAGACATCTCTTGTGTGCTCTGAAATACAAATGAAGGTTTCAGGGATAACGGTGAACATTGTGCTCTTATCCGTGAGTGACTGGTTTGATACCAGCCGCCAAAGACCAAGGAAATCATTTCTAACTTTCCTCTTAATGTTTAGGTCCTAGAAATCAAGGACCATAAAAAGATGATTCAGATCCCTTAATCAGATCTTATACTGAGCTAGATAGGTAACCATGATGGGCCTTATGGAATCTTGGTGGTGTCTGATACCATGTGCGTCAGCTGTTCACAGTGTCACCGAGTCATCCTTGCAGAGTTCTTGATGACTTCTTCTGTAGGGTTCTTTCACGAAGAATTTTCATGTTAATGTGCACCCTTCCTCCTTTAGCAGCTCTGGGTCTCTTTAAAATCATACCTCCACAGTAAGCAGTTCTAGTCCTTTGGGTTAAGAGGAGAATCCTACTTCCTCCAGACATCTCAAGAAAACCAATTTCTGTCATTAAATGCTCTCATTAAACATTTAAATAGAGGAGGAGAAAAAGTTTTTAAATGAAAGACCTGACACTGCATGAAAGGATTAATTCCCCCATTGCTTCATCAGATATACTTATTAGGTGGCTACACGGGCCATTCTCTTTGCTTGGGACAGTAATACAATGATGAATAAGAAACAGTGCCTGTGCTCCTAGGACACACACTGGGGGACAAATACACGTGAACAGATTATAATACTAGAGACATATGCTGCCTATTATTGCAACATGGATGAGGGGGTACCCAACTCAGCTAAGGACATATGTTTCTGAAAGGGATTAATGCAGCTGTGGCTACACTTGACTTAGCTCGTCAGAATCCTTGACTCTGATCTCCTGTTGGACCATTAGCACATAGTGCTCCTAGACTCTCACCAACTCCACTTTGTCACAGTAAAGATTCCTTGCACCTGTGGTTTTCAGGAACACAGTTTTGAAACAATAGGTAGCTTTTGGCCTTCCTTGATCACCCACCGAACAGGAGAAATGCTCTTTGGTTCCTAAGGTGCTTAGGTACATATTAGGTTACAAGAGGCCATTAACTGCCTCCTGCTTCAAAAGTGCTTTATTTCCAGATTTGAGCAGCAGTAATTATTGCTCTTTCTAGTCATTACCCCTTTTTAACTACATTGTGCCTTTGGATGGAAAGTTCGTCCAGGAACTTCCAGAGGCAGGTCACACAGGGCCAAATAGTATTTGAGGTGTAAATGTCTTAGAGACAACATACTCTGTCTCCTGGGAAATAGAAATCAGGAGAGAACATGATGAGGATGATTTCTTTCTAAACTCCAAAGTTGTATAATCCTGCTGCCTTTTCAGCATCTTCATTTGGATGTCCAGTAGCATAGCCAAAACCGTTCTTGATTCCTCTCCCCTCAAACATGCCTGTCCTCCTGTATCTTACGTCTCAGCAAGTGGCATTTCTATTTACCTCTTTGACTAAAGCCAAAAGCTTTGGAATCGTTCTTGACTTCTTTCATTCTGTTTTACACTGTATCCCATCTATCAGCAAATCTTGTGTGTTCTACCCCTAGAATAAATCTGAAATCCAGTCATTTCTCTCTATCTTGATGATTACTACTCTTGAAGGCACCATCATCTGTCACCTGAATTACTGTAGTAGTCTTCTCATTGATCACCCTATATTTGCCAGTGTGCCATTTTCAGTTTTTTGTCTACCAGGTAGAGTGAAACTTTGAAAACCTAAATCTGATTCCATCCTCTACTCAAAACCCTCTCATGGTATCACATCACAACTAGAATAAGTTCCAAAGTTTTCACCCTGTCTGGCAACATCTGACATGATCAGGCCCTGATTTCTTCCCTGTCTTCTGTGTACTTACCTCTCACTCCTTTCTGGTACCAGTCCCACACAGCCTTCTTTGTTCCATCAATGCACAAAGCACATACCCACCTCAGGGCCTTTACATTTGCTGTTTCCTTGGCCTGGCACTCACTTGCCTTTGTATATATGGTTCATTCCTCATTTCACTCAGTTCTCTGCTGAAATGTCACCCAAATCAGCAAAACCTTCCCTGTGTATCCTATATAAAAGAGATTGCCACATCCACCAATGTGCTGTTTTCTTAGCCTTATCTTCTAATCATGGGTCACCATCTACTGTTATTTTATATATTTAATTATTATTGCCTCTCTCACTCCACATTAGAATATAAGTTCCCTCAGGGCAGTATCTTTGTTTTCTGCATTGCTATATCTGCAGTACCTAAAACATTTCCTGACTCAATGGGTATTCATTAAATATATATTTAATGAATAATGTTAATATGAATAGTAATAGCTTGCAGTTGTTAAATGCTAATCTGTATTAGGCTTTTATAAAATAAGACTCCATTTTACAGAAGAAAGACCTAAGGCTTAGAAAATTTAAGAAATTTTTCCAAGGTCACATGTCCTGTAAATCATGTCTGCTTCTAGAGCCTGGTTCTCAAACTTGAATGTATATTCAAAGCCTGTAAAAAATGCAGACTTCACATGTATATATGAGTATCTGTATGTCTATATATACATACATACCTATATTTTCCAGAGAAACAATGGAAAGATAAGTCAAAAATTACTAAAATGATGCCCATAGCAGAAGGGAGAAGAGAGGATAAAATGGACAATGATAGAAACTAGACTTTTCGTCGTTTTAGCTTTGGAACTACATGAATGTTTCATAAAAACAAATAAAATTTAATTTAATTTTATTTTATTTTATTTTATTTCATTATTATTTTTTGAGACTGAGTCTCGCTCTGTCGCCCAGGCTGAAGTGCAGTGGTGCAATCTCAGCTCACTGCAACCTCTGCCTCCCAGGTACAAGCCACTGTCGTGCCTCAGCCTCCCGAGTAGTTAGGATTACTGCCACCCACCACCATACCTGGCTTATTTTTGTAGTTTTAGTAGAGACGGGGTTTCGTCATGTTGGCCAGGCTGGTCTCAAACGCCTGACCTGAGGTGATCCGCCCACCTCGGCCTCCCAAAGTGCTGGGATTACAGGCGTGAGCCACTTTGCCCAGCCAACAAGATTAAATTTTAAAATGTAAATTTCAGGGTACCACTTCAAAGCCATTGAATCTGAATCTCCATGTGCAGGGCCCAGGAATGTGCATTTTTAATAAGTCCAGGTGATTCTAATGCAGCTAATTGGGGGCTTATGCCCAGATGAGAAGTACTGTTATTTGCCATGTTACCCAACGAAGGGAAGTGACTACTATCTTACTTATCTTTGTGGTCCCTGCAGTGGCCAGCATTGGGCCAGAAATGGAATTTATTACATGAAGTTGGACTGCATTGCACTGTTGGAAGGAGCTCCATTAGGGTAATTATGAGCAATAGGGCCTAGCCCTCCTTCTCAGGAGGAATTAAGTCCAACCTTGTGGCTCAGGGTTAGGCCGTCAGGAGTTTTTTAGGGCTGATACTGCTTTGCTTATGTGTGCGTTTTGTGTTTGCTTAGTATGTCTCACTTTCTGTTGTGTGTTACTGTATTGAGTCTCAGAAGGCACTGTCCATCCCATGCTGCGCGTGCTCTGCAGGCTTGTCATCCTCTGTGTTGTGCATGCACAGCTTTGTTAAATAACGTGTCCTAGAGAGTGGAGGACCCAACATGGGACAGGTCCTCTGGCTAATGGCACATGTAATCAATCAGGTTGATTTAAAAGTTTACAGAGAATTTAATCCATCGGATTGATTCCCTTTTATGACCAGTAGAATAGACATTTTATTTTTTTAATTAATTTTTTTTTTGGAGGCAGAATTTCACACTTGTCACCCAGGCTGGAGTGCAATGGCGCACAATCTCCACTCACTGCAACCTCCGCCGCCAGTGTTCAAGTGGTTCTCCTGTCTCAGCCTCCCTAGTACCTGGGATTACAGGTGCTCACCAGCACACCTGGCTAATTTTTTTTTTTTTTTTGAGACAGAGTCCTGCCCCGTCACCCAGGCTGGAGTGCAGTGGTACGATCTCAGCTCACTGCAGCCTCTCCCTCCGGGGTTCATGCAGTTCTCTTGCCTCAGTCTCCTGAGTAGCTGGGATTACAGGCACACACACCACCATGCCTGGCTAATTTTTTTTGTATTTTTAGTAGAGATGGGTTTCCACTGTGTTGGCCAGACTGGTCTTGAACTCCTGACCTCAGGTGATCTGCCCGCCTTGGCCTTCCAAAGTGCTGGGATTACAGGCATGAGCCAACCACACTCGGCCTAATTTTTATATTTTTTAGTAGAGACGGGGTTTCACCATGTTGGCCAGGCTAGTCTCAAACTCCTGACCTCCAGTGATTCGCCCACTTCGGCCTCCGTGCCCGGCCCCTAGACATTTGACTTTTTAAAATGTTTTGTCATGTCTTAGTTTGGGTTCACAAGAAAAAAAAAAAGTAAATTAAAAAATCTATTGGCAAGAAACATTTCAATAAAAATGGAAAATAGACTCTTGAATGTCATGTTTAGGAATTTGACTTCATATTTTGGTAGTGTAGCTTCACAGGATTTTTTAAGCCCCAGTGTGACAGCATCAGAGATCTGCTCTAAGATAACTGACAGCAAATGCGAGAGAATGCATGGAGTGAATGAGACCAGTTGAAGGTGTCACAGGGGTCCCCAGAGAGACTCTATAGGAGGAGGCTGTCATGAGGTACCATTACAGGTAGAATTGATAGACCCTGGCCGACTTGGGAGGAAGCTGAGGCTATTAAAAAAGATAAAGAAAAGCAGGAACTGGCAGGGATTTGGGGGACAGAGTGGAGAGAGAAGGATGGGGAAGATGATGAACATTATGTTGGCCTTTTGTTTTGGTTGTAGATTTTTATGTATGTTATGAGTGGATTTTTAAAAAATTTCCACTTCATTTTATTTATATCTGAAATATCAGTGGGTGGCCTAAAAATCAACTTTAATATTGCTAAATTGCTTGATATCATGATATCTATAAAGTTCTAAATATAGTATCTTTTACAAAACAAATATTGCAAAATGAATTCTTTTATTTTTTCATGTTCTGCTGCAGCATAAATCTCCAGCCTTCATTAGAGCTGCTGTTATTTCTGATTTCAACATTTTTTTTGTGTGTGACCTGCCTTTCCTTTAAGACCCCAAATCAAAGAAAATAGAATCACTCTGTTTTTCTGGATGACTAAGAACATCATCCTGGAGAAATACTATTGATCCTTTGGATAAGGAATGTAGGTGCTGACCTGTTTTTATAAATATAACTACTGCCATTCAGACAACCTTTGGCTGACACCCATTTTTTTTGACATGGGTGCCTTAGTAAGTACATCACAGCATGTGGTTGGGAATCAAGACAAATTGGGGTTGGGATCCCAACTCTGCTGCTTGCCACATGTGTGACTCTGGAAAAGTTATATATTCCCTAGGCCTCAACTTCCTCATCTATAAAATGGGGATTTGAAAAAAGGACTTACTTCAAGGGATAGTTGTGAGGATTAGTGAAATAACAGATGCGTTTAGCATTTCCTGGAACACAATACATGCTCAATAAAAGTTATCTATTTGTACCATTATCCAAGATTTTATTTTACAGAGGTCAAGAATCAAGAGAGTTTATGAAAGGAATGAGTGACCTTTATGTTATCAAAAAGCTAAGGAAGTATCTGTACATGCTTACCTTCCTTGAATGATGTAATATGGGTCTGTCAGGGTAATTATTTAAACTCTTTCTGAGCCTCTTTTTACCTAGACCAGTGCCTCCCAAAATGTGGTCCTTGAACCACCAGCATCAGCATCATCTGGGAAGTTGTTAGAAATGAAAATTCCTGGGCCTACTTTTAAACCTACTAAATCAGATGCTCCGGGGTAGAGCCTAGCATTCTGTATTTTAACAAACTCTCAAATAATTGTGATACACTAAAGTTTAAGAACCACTAGCCTAGACCATCTTTTAAAATGTACAATTTGGCTGGGCACAGTCGCTCACCCCTGTAATCCCAACACTTTGGGAAGCTGAAGGGGCATTGCTTGCGGTCAAGAGTTGGAGACCAGATTGGGCAATATTGTGAGCCCTCATCTCTATAAACATTTTTTAAAAAATAGCTGAACGTGGTGGTGCATGCCTGTATTTCTCGCCACTCAGGAGGCTGAGGTGGGAGGATCACTTGAGCTAGGGAGGTGGAGGCTGCAATGAGCCATGATCACACCACTGCTCTCTAGCCTGGGCAACAGAGTAGAACCCTATCTTAAAAAAATAAAAGTTAAAAAAAAGTGTACAATTAAATGGTTTTTAGTACATTCACAGAGTTATGCAACTATCAGCACAATAAATTTTAGAACATATTCATCACTTTCAGAAGAAACTCAGTACCCATTAGTATTTACTTTCTATTTTCCCCCAAGCCCACCAGCCCTGGGCAACCGCTAATCTTTCTACCTCTGTGGATTTGCCTACTCTGGACATTTCATATAAATGGAATCACGTGGCCTTTTGTCTGGCTTCCTTCAGTTAGCATCATGTTTTTAGGTTCATCTGTGTTGTAGCATATATCCATACTTCCTTTCTTTTCATTGTTAGCTAATATTCCGTTATATAGACATGCCACATTTTGTTTATCCGTTCATCAGTTGGTGGACATTTGGTTTGTTTCCATCTTTTAGCTATTACAGATAATACTGCTGTGAACATTTGTGTACAAGTTTTTGTGTAGAATATGTTTTCATTTCTGTTGGGTGTGTAACCAGGAGTGGAATTGCTGGGTCCCAGGGTAACTCTGTTTAGCCTTTTGAGGAGCTGCTAGACTTTTCCAAAGTGGCTCTCCCATTTTACATTCCTGCCAGCAGTGTATGAGGATTCTAATTTCTTTATATTCTCATCAACACTTGTTATTAAATATTTTCTACTAGACTATCTTTTGAGATAATGAATTCTGTAAGCTTATTATGTTACGTCATTTATTTTCCTGAAAGTAAAAGCATTTAAAGGATGCCTCTTAGCTATTATTGCTGAGGTTGGATACCTGGTTTCACATTTGTACTTCCATTTTGTGATTTTATAAACTTTCATCATATTCTTTTTAGCAGAATTTAAAAATATATATCTGAAGATATATATCTTAATAAAAGTATATATAACAAAAAATAAAAATCATAATAATTTAATCTTAAAAATACAAAGCCCTTCTATCTTTTTTATTAGTTTAACATTAAAACAATTGAGCCAGGACATTTTTATCCTCTGATATGTCTAGCCTAGTAATTATTCAATAAATGTGTTTTTAAATGGTTGATTTTCAAACATGAGTATAAACATTTCTTAGCTTTGCAAAACACCTCCTATCAAAAGCAACTCATTTTCTTGACACATTGATTTCTGATTACAAGCCCCAGCTAAAAAAATAGGGTTATACTCAAGCTGATTGACCTTTCTCAAAGCTGGTTTTTTTTTGTTTTTGTTTTTGTTTTGTTTTGTTTTTCCAGAGGAATGGCTTCTTGTGGGAACCAAACAAGGACATCTTCTTCTCTATAGGATTCGGAAGGACGTTGGTAAGTGCACATTGCTCATGCAAAAAAATAAGTTTTAATAGTCAGCTAGTATACAACTGTGAAATCAGTTATTCCTGGACCATTAAAAGAGAGATTGAAGGTTAGAGGGAGCACGGTGGGAAAATGGGGAGAAGACTTGAGAATGCCTAGGGTTTTTCTCCTCCAAATTGTATTGCCCTACCTGCATTTGGGAGGTGAGGATGAATTGCTGGTTTACTTATTACTGAATTACTTATTACTGGTAGTGAGTCTCTAAGAAAAGAGGAGGTGGTTGTTTTCCTCCTCTTTTCTTTGAGACTCACTACCAATAATAAGAAATACTACTAATGGGCATAAGCTTCCTGTATATATGGTGTGGTGGTAGGAAAAAAAATTAGGCAACATCGATTTAAAATATCTTGTTGGCTTATGAGGGGTAGAACAAGAAGAGAGGACCAGGGTTTGCCTTCATGTGCACTTCCCCCTGGCTGCGTGACCGTGAGCAAGTTCTTTCCAACATCAGTTTTCTATAAACTCTCTGCCCCACAAAGTTGTTGGGGTGGATGCAATAATAGGCTCGAAGAAACTGTGAAAACTAAAGTTCTAATCAAATGTGACTGTCAGTAATGTAGAGTAATAACTAAAGTATTTGAAATGTATTCTGTTAAAGAGTGTTTTTTATTGGGGCAGAAAGTACCTCACTGCCCTTCCTTGTTTTCGTTTCTGTGCTCTCTTTATGGAGAATAGATGTGTTTAGGTATTATGCCCTGGAGCCACTCTACAGAAATCTGCAGTTAATTTCATACCCTTCAATATAATATATATTTCTCTGGTAAATAGCTTAAGAGATAGCTTAAGATAAATAGAGCTCTCTTGTGGAACCTGGAGCAAGGGTAACACTGGGGGAAAAAGCACCTTACTAGTGCACTCGGGAAAGAGAAGATATCCTGGTCAGTTTCTGCAGCAGGGTAAGAAAAGAAACCAGAGAACAAAATAGATAATTTATTTCATTTCTAAGTTTTTCAACTGTCCTCTAAATCAGGGTCAGCAAACTTGTTCTGAAAAGGTCCAAAGAATAAATATTTTAGGCTTTGCAGTGTTGTTACTACTTAACTCTGCCTTTGTAACATGAAAGCAGCTGTAGGCAATATGTAATGAATAGGTATGGCTATGTTCCAATAAAACTTTATTTACAAAAACATGCAAAGGCCTCAGTTAGGCCCTGGAGCAGTACATTGTTGATCTTTGTTTTAATGTTTTAAATTTTTAATTCTCATGGCCTGTGAAGTGGCTCATGCCTATAATCCCAGCACTTTGGGAGACTGAAGTAGGAGGAATGATTGAGGCCAGGAGTTCGAGGCCAGCCTGGGCAACATGGCAACACCCTGTCTACAAAAAATTAGCTGGATGTGGTGGCACGTGCTTATAATTCCAGCTGCTCTGGAGGCTGAGGTGAGAGGATCGCTTGAGCCCAGGAGGTTGAGGCTGCAGTGAGCTATGATCACACCATTGCTCTCCAGCCTCAGCAACAGACTTTGTCTCAAAAAAAAATTTCTTTTTTTAGTTCTCGGAGCCAAAATATTTGCGTTCTGTGATATTTGCCTGGTCTATAATTTTAAAATTAAGCTCACATTTTAATTTTAAAGCTAAAAATGCTTATCTTATTCAGCATTCAACAATTGTTTTTTGACTCTCTGCTTTGCTTTCACATGTAAGTGGTGATCAGAAATTGAAAACAAGACTTTATAAATGAAGTCTCAACACAGTATAGACCTGAACTGGTAATATTAGTGTTAATCTGGCTTGGAACCCTGGTGGCGACTATTCCTTGCCCTATGATCATTTTATCATGTCACCTTTGACAAATTAGTTAATGTTCCTGGGCCTTGGTTTCGCCATAGGTAGATTAAATATAGACAATTAGGAAATCAAATTCTGATTTGAAACTTTTCTTCAAGAAATGCCATTTTTCCCTATACTCTTGGTGAACAGTTTAGTTCTGGCCCAGATCTGGCCTGATGTGGGCCAGAAATAGACCTGGGCCCGTGTGAATTAGTTCTAGGGTTAATTTGGTTTCCAGATTTGAGATATTTCAAGCCTAAATAGGTCTTTGGGTAGACTGTCTTTCTGAGGAAAGGGAGGGGATAATAGGGTCAAGAAAAGACTAGGGGTAGGGATCGTAGGCTCTGATCTGATCTGAGTCATTTCCCTGGAGCTCAGTTGAGCCAGTGACATTTTTATCCTCTGATATGTCTAGCCTAGTAATTATTCAATAAATGTGTTTTTAACTGGTTGATTCTAAAATATGAGTATAAACATTCCTCAATAGACATCTCTAGGCTTCATTCTGCTCCTTTATTTTTTGAGACAGGGTCTTGCTGTGTCGCCTAGGCTGGAGTGTAGTGGCGCTATCTTGGCTCACTGCAGCCTCAACCTCCTGGGTTCAAGCCATCCTCCCACCTCAGCCTCCCAGGTAGATGGGACCACAGGCACACACCACTATGCCCAACCCATTTTTGTATCTTTTTTTTTTTAGCATTACTTAGATTTTTTCTTTTTTTTTTTTTAGGTTTTTTTTTCCACTCTTTTTAATTATACTTTAAGTTCTAGGGTACAAGTGCACAACGTGCAGGTTTGTTACATATGTATACATGTGCCATGTTGGTGTGCTGCACCCATTAACTCGTCATTTACGTTAGGTATATCTCCTAATGCTTTCCCTCCCCCCTCCCCCCACCCCACGACAGGCCCCCAGTGTGTGATGTTCCCCTTCCTGTGTCCAAGTGTTCTCATTGTTCAATTCCCACCTATGAGTGAGAACATGCAGTGTTTGGTTTTTTTGTCCTTGCAATAGTTTGCTGAGAATGATGGTTTCCAGCTTCATCCATGTCCCTACAAAGGACATGAACTCATCCTTTTTTATGGCTGCATAGTATTCCATGGTGTATATGTGCCACATTTTCTTAATCCAGTCTATCATTGATGGACATTTGGGTTGGTTCCAAGTCTTTGCTCTTGTGAACAGTGCTGCATTAAACATACGTGTGCATGTGTCTTTATACTAGCATGATCTATAATCCTTTGGGTATATACTCAGTAATGGGATGGCTGGGTCAACTGGTATTTCTAGTTCTAGATCCTTGAGGAATTGCCACACTGTCTTCCACAATGGTTGAACTAGTTTACAGTCCCACCAACAGTGTAAAAGCGTTCCTGTTTCTCTACATCCTCTCCAGCACCTGTTGTTTCCTGACTTTTTAATGATCGCCATTCTAACTGGTGTGAGATGGTATCTCATTGTGGTTTTGATTTGCATTTCTCTGATGGCCAGTGATGATGATGATGAGCATTTTTTCATGTGTCTGTTGGCTGCATAAATGTCTTCTTTTGAGAAGTGTCTGTTCATATCCTTTGCCTACTTTTTGATGGGGTTGTTGGTTTTTTTCTTGTAAGTTTGATTTCTTTGTAGATTCTAGATATTAGCCCTTTGTCAGATGAGTAGATTGCAAAAATGTTCTCCCATTCTGTAGGTTGCCTGTTCACTCTGATGGTAGTTTCTTTTGCTGTGCAGAAGCTCTTTAGTTTAATTAGATCCCATTTGTCAATTTTGGCTTTTGTTGCCATTGCTTTTGGTGTTTTAGACATGAAGTCCTTGCCCATGCCTGTGTCCTGAATGGTATTGCCTAGGTTTTCTTCTAGGGTTTTTATGGTTTTAGGTCTAACATTTAAGTCTTTAATCCATCTTGAATTAATTTTTGTATAAGGTGTAAGGAAGGGATCCAGTTTCAGCTTTCTACATATGCCTAGCCAGTTTTCCGAGCACCATTTATTAAATAGGGAATCCTTTCCCCATTTCTTGTTTTTGTCAGGTTTGTCAAAGATCAGATGGTTGTAGATGTGTGGTATTATTTTTGAGGCCTCTGTTCTGTTCCATTTGTCTCTATCTCTGTTTTGGTTCCAGTACCATGCTGTTTTGGTTACTGTAGCCTTGTAGTATAGTTTGAAGTCAGGCAGCGTGACGCCTCCAGCTTTGTTCTTTTTGCTTAGGATCGACTTGGCAATGCAGGCTCTTTTTTGGTTTCATATGAACTTTAAAGTAGTTTTTTCCAATTCTGTGAAGACAGTCATTGGTAGCTTGATGAGGATGGCATTGAATCTCTAAATTACCTTGGGCAGTATGGCCATTTTCACAATATGATTCTTCCTATCCATGATCATGGAATGTTCTTCCATTTGTTTGTGTCCTCTTTTATTTCGTTGAGCAGTGGTTTGTAGTTCTCCTTGAAGAGGTTCTTCACATCCCTTGTAAGTTGGATTCCTAGGTATTTTATTCTCTTTGAAGCAATTGTGAATGGGAGTTCACTCATGATTTGGCTCTCTGTTTGTCTGTTATTGGTGTATAAGAATGCTTGTGGTTTTTGCACATTGATTTTGTATCCTGAGACTTTGCTGAAGTTGCTTATCAGCTTAAGGAGATTTTGGGCTGAGCCATTTTTGTATCTTTTGTAGTGATGGGGTTTCGCCAGATTGCCCAGGCTGGACTTGAATTCCTGGGCTCAAGTGATCTGCCCACCTCAGCCTCCCAAAGTTCCGGGACTACAGATGCGTGCCATCATGCCCAGTTAATTTTTGTACTATTTTAGAGACAGGGTTTCACCATGTTGGCCAGGCTGGTCTGGAATTCCTGACCTCAAGTGATCCGCCCGCCTCGACCTCCCAAAGTGCTGGGATTACAGGCATGAGCCACTGTGCCCAGCCCAGTCTACTCTTATTTTGAACTGAGAGGGCTTAGATTTGTTCATGTCTGAGGCCTTTACAACTCTAGGTTTATTTCAGTCATGCTGTCATCCTAGAGCAGTGTTCTGAAAATGTGGTCTCTAGACCCCTGGGGATCCTCAAGATCCTTTCAGAGGACCTACAAGGACAAAACCAAGTTTGCAGAAACACTAAAACATTTCGTTTTTTGTTTTTTTTTTTTTTCACTGTATTGACATTTACAATGATGGTGCAAAAGGAATGGTAATTAAAACTGGTTAGCACCTGAACACAAATCAGAACAGTAGTACCTAACTTCAAATAGAGATTTTTTTAAAAAAACGAAAAAAACAGTGGTACCAAGCTGTACTGATGGTCATTGTGTAATTCTCACCATGTGCTCACAGTGGGTTTTGTTTGTTTGTTTTTTTGAGATGGTCTCATTCTGTCACTCAGACTAGAGTGCAGTGGCGCAATCATGACTCACTGCAACCTATAACTCCTAGGCTCAGGCGATCCTCCCGCCTCAGCCTCTCAAGCAGCTAGGACTACCGGCACACACCAGCATGCCCAGATAGTTTTTTCACTTCTTGTAAAGATGAGTTGTCTCTTCTTGCCCAGGGTGGCCCCAAACTCCTTGCCTCAAGTGATGGGTTTTATTTATTTATTTTTTCTTTTCTTTTTTTTGAGACGGAATTTCACACTTGTCTTCTAAGCTGGAATGCAATGGCATAATCTCGGCTCACTGCAACCTCCCCCTCCCAGGTTCAAGCAATTCTCATGCCTCAGCCTCCTGAGTAACTGGGATTACAGGCGCCCACCACCATGCCTGGCTAATTTTTGTATTTTCAGTAGAGACAGGATTTCACCATATTGGCCAGTCTGGTCTTTAACTCCTGACCTCAGGTGATCTACACCTGGGAGGTTTCTCGGCCTCCCAAAGTGCTGGGATTACAGGCGTGAACCACCACACCTGGCCAGTTTGTTTTTGTTTTTGTTTTTTTTTAAAGCTAGTTTCACTTAAAAGTGTTCTTGGTTAGGCAGTACAAGTTATTTTTATTGTATTTTGACTTTTGGCAACACATCTTTTTAGTAATCTCATATGATATAATGGGAAGTACACATAAAGCACTTCTGCTGTGTGCTAGGGTGTGAAGTCCGATAGCTGTCTCAAGGGAAAAATGCTTATGTGATTGAGTTACGAGCTAAACTGGCTACTTTTTTCAGGGAGTATTATTTTTGTTTGAAAGAATGACAGGTTGTGGTTTTTTCAGACCATTTAGATATTTGGCATTTTTTTTTTTTTTTTTATGAACAAAGGGAATCTGTTACTTTAAGGTAAACAACTGGCAGTATTTGTTGTGAATGATAAAGTTAGAGCTTTTAAGAAAAAAAATAGAATTATGGAAAACTTGTGTTCACTCCCCTGAGTGTGACAGCTTCTCCATAATTAAAGATTTTTTCTGATGAGATTGGGGGTGATAATAATGAGTGTCATTTTTTAACATCCTATAATGAAATGTAGGTCTGGATTGGAAAATCTGCATAACTCAGTGAACCAGTATTTTCCAAATGACTAATGCATGAGTTTTAAAATCACGTATGAGTAAAAAATACATTCAAAGTGTAAGGTAGACCAATGTTTTTTTACGTAACAGAAAATGAAAAGTTCATTGACAGGTGTGAGATTTCGCTTTACAAGAAATTACATTTGTTAAGTGTTGGTGTAGTATCAAAGAAGAATCTGAAAAATCTATTAAAGTACTTTTCCCTTTTCAACTATGTTATCTATATGAGGACAGATTTTTTGTCATATACTTCAACCAAAACAAATTAAATTATCAAAACAGATTAAATGCAGAAGCAGATGTGGGTTCTTACTTATGGGGTTATTATTGTTATTTTTAAATACATATATGTTTTTAAATGTATGTATTTAAATTTCTAACATAAATATTCATGTATATAACCCCCAAAAAAGTTCTTTGAGGTCCTCAGTAATTTTTAAGATTATCAAGATTTTGAGACAAAAAAGTTTAAGAATCTCTGCCTTAGAAAATTCTGTTTGTAAAGAGAATTATAGGCCGGGGGCAGTGGCTCACTCCTGTAATCCCAGCACTTTGGAAGGCCGAGGTGGGTGGATCACCTGAGGTCGAGAGTTCAAGGCCAGCCTG
Source organism: Homo sapiens (assembly GCF_000001405.40). Classification (NCBI taxonomy): domain Eukaryota; kingdom Metazoa; phylum Chordata; class Mammalia; order Primates; family Hominidae; genus Homo; species Homo sapiens. Next base: position 42,192,987 of record NC_000015.10, on the reverse strand, counting down.
GCCAACATGGTGAAACCCTGTCTCTACTAAAAATACAAAAATTAGCCGGGCATGGTGGCACATGCCTGTAATCCCAGCTACTCCAGAGGCTGAGGGCACGAGAATTGCTTGAACCCGGGAGGTGGATGTTGCAGTGAGCTGAGATTGCACTACTGCACTCCGGCCTGGGCAACAGAATGAGACTCTGTCTCAAAAAAAAACAAAACAAAACAAAACAAAAAAATAAGAAAAGAGAAGTATTAAATGCAATAATAGGACGCTTTCAAGTGTAGGAAGTGTCTGAATTGTTTTTTTTTCTCATGAAATGTAACAGCAGAATACCAGGGCACACTCCCTGCAACTTTAGGGCCCTTTCTTCATCCCCTCTGCTGAGGGACACATGGAAGAAGTAAGACCAGCTTTGGTGGCATGAGTTCTTATGGCTGCCCCAAAGAGTCTCCCTGATTTCCAGAGGGCAAGGGCAGAGCTAGCTGTGGGGAACAACTCAGGTCAGCAGTGCGAGCATCCTGTCCATGAAGTAGAAGGCAGGTAGCAGGGCGTGGGTTCAGAGCACAGGCTTTAGAGTCAGCCTGGGTTTGCTTGTAGGCTCCCTCACTGGCTGTTACCTAACTGCTTTACCCCTCATGCCCCTCAAATATGAGCTTGGAATAATAATACCTACTTCTTGGGAGTAGTTGTGAGTTTACAGAAAAAAATATATATAAATTTTTAAACCCCGAACCCAGTATGTAGTTATTGCTTCATGATAGCTGCTCTGATGATGATGATGATAATTATTCTCTTTTTGACTCATTGGTGACTTTTGAGGCTGAATATTTTTGTCATCCCCAGCAAGGCTGAATTCACATGTTTTTATGGTATATAACTTTCTTCCCCTTTTTTGTAACAGTGCCAGCAGATGTAGCATCACCTGAAAGCGGCAGTAAGTGTAGACGCATTGAATTGCTTTAGCTCTGGAGATGGGTTTGAGTGTTTGCTCTGTCTCCGTGATACAGAACTTAGTTAGAATAGTTGCTGGAAATTAGTTGGTCTAGATCTAAGGATGCTTTGGGCTGGGTTTCATGGCTTGGGCTCTTATATTTGACTGTTACTTTTTACACCCTTCCTTGTGGAACACTTTGCCAAGGTACTGATTTTGCAAGATAAGATCTTCAGACTCACGAGTACCTTGCCGCTTCAGTGAACTTTGTGTGATCCTTTCTGCTGATGCCGAGTGAAGGTGCATGAAACGCTCTGCTCTAAAATTAGAGTTGAAAGCATCTTATAGTGCTTGTAAGAGAGCTGGCTATTTAGATCTCTGATTTTTAGTCTTTCAGGAACTTCCAAAGATTTATATAGGAGAGCAGTATGGAGCAGTATTTTTCTAGTAGTGGTTTTTCTATGTATCCCTGTATTTGGAACTACCAGTGTTTATTTGTTTTCCATAGGTTGCAACAGATTTGAAGTGACACTAGAGAAATCCAATAAGAACTTCTCCAAAAAGATTCAGCAGGTAAGCAGTGATGGCAGTCCTTACAAGAATATTTGACTTACATGAGACCCTGTCAGACTAGAACTTTGGTAATGTTATTTATTAACTCTGAATCCTCTTCTCTTTGACCTTCTATTTATGCAGGAGTGTCTGCTCATATATCATGTGCCTGAGATCCTCTCTCACAAGCAGAAATGATAATCACAGAAATTATAGTGCCCAGAAAAATCAGTGAGATCCCTGTAACTGGATAGGCTCCGTGGTCCCTTTTTATTACTGTTATTGAATGAACATTTGCTAAACCTTGTCAGAAATGTTTAATTGGGTCTCATGATTTCCTATTTTCCAGATCCATGTGGTTTCCCAGTTTAAGATTCTGGTCAGCTTGTTAGGTAAGAAAAGGAGTTGCATTTGTATCCTGTGTCTAACAAGAAAAGATATGACCTAATTAATCCTTTCATGGTTAATTTGATAGTGGTTACTTAACAATGAACTGACGTGTTCCAAACCTGGTATAACAGGGTACATGGTTAATAAAGGCAGCAGCATCCTCCATAGACTCGAACTCTTCTCTCCAAGGAGTCTCACTTTATTCATTCATTCGTTCATTGATCAAATATTTATTGAGCCTATTCTATGCAAAGTCTGGACTAGACATTCGGGATACCAAGTTCAGTGAGACATAGTTGCTATCTTTGAGACTTACATTCTGATTATGAAGACTAAATGACAGGAAGTAATCACGATACAATGTGGTAAGTTACAGTGAAAATTTATAAAAAGTGTTGTGGAATCTTGGTAATGGGAGGGACTATATTGTCTAGTAGATAACTAGACTTTCAGTAGGAAAAGAGGCCAGCAGCGTATCACAAACACAGGGAACAACTAGAACAAAGGCCTTGAGATGTGGCAGTTTGTGGCAAATTGTTTATTGTGGCCAGACTAAGGATATGTGGTGGAGATTGGCAGGATATCAGGTAAGAGACAGAGCAGGGCTACACTGTTGAGGCCCTCATGTGAAAAACCATGGTTTCATAGAAAGCAGCCAGTGAGGCCTTTTCTGGACATGCAGGGGACTAGCAGCTGATCTCACACTTTGCGCTGTTGACCCTGGGGCCCAAAGAGTAAAATCATGTTAAATGTTGTTCCTGGGTCCACAGATAAACATCTGAGGTAACTTAATCTTCATGACTAAAACTAGATATGAGGCCCAGGTAAAATGATTATTTTGATTGCTTTGCTAGGAAAGAAATCATTGCCATGGGTTAGTACAAAATGCACAGGGGATTTCCCTTTTCTAATTGGAGCCTCCTAATGTGAGTAGCTTTGAAAGCCATTTCTTGTATAAATACTGCATCATAATATTTCAGACTTGAAATGGACAGAGTATAAGAGTGCTTTGGACTGGGTGCAGTGGCTCACACCAGTAATCCCAGCACTTTGGGAGGCTAAGGCAGGAGGATTGCTTGAGTCCAGGAGTTTGAGACCAGCCTGGGCAACACAGGGAGACCTCATCTCCACAAAAAATAAACAAAATTAGCCAGGTGTGGTGGTGCATGCCTGTAGTCCTAGCTACTCAGGAGGCTGAGGTAGGAGGATCACTTGAGTCTCAAGGAGGTTAAGGCTGTAGTGAGCTGAGATCATGCCCCTTTTGTTGATGCACTCTAGCCTGGGCAACAGAGTGAGACCGTGCCTCAAAAAAAAAAAAAAAAAAAAAAAAAAGAGTGTTTTGGAAGTGAAAGATCTCTTTTACTCAAGTCAGCCCCAATTTTTTTTTTTTTTTTTTTTGAGACGGAGTCTCACTCTGTCGCCCAGGCTGGAGTGTAGTGGTGCAGCCCTGGCTCACTGCAACTTCTGACCTCCTGGGTCAAGGGATTCTCCTGCTTCAACCCCCTGAGTAGCTGGGATTACAGGCACCCACCACCATACCCAGCTGATTTTTGTATTTTTAGTAGAGACAGGGTTTCACTGTGTTACCCAGGCTGGTCTCAAACTCTTGACCTCAAGTGATCTGCCTGTCTCAGCCTCCCAAAGTGCTGGGATGACAGGTGTGAGCCACCATGCCGGGCCAAGCTCAAATGTTTAAGGAAGAAAATATCCAAGTTTAGAAGACCAAGTGACCTCTTAAATGCTTTGTACTGGTTATAGGTGAGAATGAATCATCCTAGTGAAACTGAAGGGACATCTTCAACCAACATCTGCCATTTGCTTCTTCTAGATGTTAACACAGTTACTTTTTTTGCCTCGATAGTGGCTATGCTAGAGAATTATGATCATTGATCCTGATGTTATACCTCCTCCCAAACAGAAAATAACATTTATGTCCATGACCTATTGACATTTCAACAAATCACTACGGTTTCAAAGGCAAAGGGAGCATCACTGTTTACTTGTGACCTCCAGGTAAGTTTACCCAAGATGAAATTTGGCTTTATGCTTTAATCAATACAGTCTTTCCTACATCATTCCTACCATTAGATGGGAAGAATGACACTGATGATCCATACCCAACAGAGACTCCAAAGATTATTTATTTATTTATTTTTTTCCTGAGATGGAGTCTTGTTCTGTCGCCCAGGCTAGAGTGTAGTGGCACGATCTCGGCTCACTGCAACCCCTGCCTCTCGGGCTCAAGTGATTCTCTTGCCTCAGCCTCCTGTGTAGCTGGGACTACAGGTGTGCACCACCACGTCCGGCTATTTTTTGTATTTTTTTAAATTAGAGATGGGGTTTCACCATGTTGGCCAGGCTAGTCTCGAACTCCTGACCTTAGGTGACCTTGGCCTCCCAAAGTGCTGGGATTACAGGCATGAGCCACTGCACCCGGCCCAAAGAGAATATTTAATTGTATTAGAGAAATTTCTCTGTTGGTGCATAGTGTGAAGTTGAAGCGTTTGCATTCCCTGTGCGTGGGTTAATGAGAATCTAATACTATTGGCAAGAGGCAGCTAACCGAGGACAAAAACTCTCGTCCTGGACAAACCATTGTTGGGAAAGCAAGACTGTAACAATATCATGAAGATAATTATAAGACATTAAATGGAGTCTTGTTCTAAACAGATCACTGAGGTCTTTGTCATTAGGGACTTTTCATTGTTCAGAAAAGATATCGCTCTTTATTTTTGCCAATTTATCATTCTTTTATTCTTCAGAATCTGCCTCACCCCTCTCTCTACTCAACTTACCATTTTTTAGCATTTATGTTCTACATTGACACTGCATCATTTTATGCTTAGGAATACTCTTTTCCTTGCTCTTTAAAGGCTTAAAAGTGGGCTTGATGTCACTGGCACATGGTCACCCTTAACCCAGCATGCATTGACAGCCAGGAGCAAGAAACATTTAAGAGCAAAAAGGAGGGAGGAGTTATATAGGGGAAGGACTGCCCCAGGATTTTCTCCTCTGAATTGTGAATGTCCATGTGATTTGCTGGTGCTGTGGTCTTTGGCTGGCAACCCTTCGGGAGGAAGTGTTCCTCAGTCACTTGTTTCTTAGCGCATCTTAGAGAATGGTGTTCTGCTCAGCTTTCCTGGCAGGATGACTGTGTTACAGGGAATTTTCAGAGTAGTAGCAATTTCAAGGTAGACAATCTCTAATTTAGTTATCACTCAGTTAGAGAGAGTCATTGTATTTTCATTTGCTCTGCATGTCTCCTCCCAGCACACAGAGACCGGTGAGGAGGTGTTACGGATGTGTGTGGCAGTAAAAAAGAAGCTGCAGCTCTATTTCTGGAAGGACAGGGAATTTCATGAATTGCAGGTAAGTCCACTGTTCCTTGGTCCATGGTTGGGTGGGAGCTGCTGCAGTGGCTCGGTTCTAGTGAAGTTCAGGACTCCAGTCTTGTCATTCTACGCAAATGAATACTCTGGTATGAAGTGCATGAGAGCTTGTTGATGCCTACTTGTAATATGATTCTACAGTGTTTTTATAGATTGGTTTATTTCAAAGTGGGTTTTCACCTTTTCCAAATGTACTTTGTCCAGTTCATGGACTTGTATTTTTATTAAGGGTAGTTTCCTGGCCTTGTGCCTGTAGAATTGTGCCCGATGAGGGTGAGGGTTGTTTTGCAGAATGGAGGTTGCAGAATAACAGGAAAGTCATGATTTTTTAAAAAAATATTTATTTCATTCAGATCCTTGCTCTCTTTTTTCAGGGGGACTTTAGTGTGCCAGATGTGCCCAAGTCCATGGCGTGGTGTGAAAATTCTATCTGTGTGGGTTTCAAGAGAGACTACTACCTAATAAGGGTAAAATCTTATTATTTTGCAAATATCATTAGTTTATCTTGGGGAAGATGATTATCTGCTCCAAACTCCAGGTCAAGCGACCACTTTAAGTAGAGCTTTTGGCATAACAGGATTTGTTATTTGTATGTGTAGTTATCATTCATGCTCAGCATTTTTCACAAATAGGATATCTTTGTAACTTAAGTCAGTCCAAGAGTCAACGCTCAGTTCTTTACGTAATGATGATCCACAGTGTGTATTTTACTATTGGGACAGATAATGAAGGCTGTTTGCCTCTGTCCAGTGGATCATCATGGACTGCTATCCTAAGGCTTCAGTGCTTAGGAATTTTAAACTAATTTTAGTATAAACTTAAGTATTTTTAAGACTTTGAGTTTCCTCTCCTGCCGTCAAATCTTTTTGTATGTTTGTACTAAAAGTGATTCTCACTATTTTTTTAAATTTCAAAAGCCACGTGTTTTTACACGTGTTTATTACAGAAAATATAGATAAGGAGATAAAGGAAGTGCAAATCAACCATAGTCCCCCCACTCAGAAATAGTCACTGCCAACTTCTTGGTATATGAACTTCCATCCTATTGGTAAAAATACTATGCTATACAATTGTTTTATGACCTGTGTTTTCTCTTAACGTAAGTTGTAAATATCCATGACGTTGTTTTTCTCCAATATGCATACTATATGTAGAAAAGATTGACACACTGTTCGTTTCATTGAATAATCTAAATCTCTTAGCTTCACACCCCTTGTAATTCAGACATGGCAATTCTAGAAGCCTCTCTCTCTACCTTCCACTGGGTGAGCTCTTCATTGGTTATTTTATTTTATTTGAGACAGGGTACCCCTCTGTCACCCAGGCGGGAGTGCAGTGGCAGGATCTTGGCTCACTGCAGCCTCCGTCTCCTGGGCTCAAGCAGTCCTCCCACCTCAGCCTCCCAGGTAGCCCAGATGCCTACCACCATGCTCAGCTAATTTTTGTATTTTTTTTTTTTTTGTATTTTTGTAGAGATGGGGTCACAATATGTTGCATAGGCTGGTCTTAAACTCCTGGGCTCAAGCAGCCCTCCTGCCTCAGCCTCCCAAAGTGCTGAGATTACAGCCACCATGCCTGGCCCCATTGTTATCTTGTTAATATATTTGTTCCATCTTTGTGTCATTTGAATATCCTGATTTTATCAGCATCAGAGTTGCAGACTCCTGGAGGAGTCACTGCTGTGCCACTGACTCAATAGCAAGTAGGCCTACAGATGGTGAGAGAGCGCACAAGGAATAAGGGAACTGAGCAAAAGCTGGACTTAAGGCTCTCAGTTCTCTGACTGCCTTGGATGCTGACATCACCTTCAGGGTGGGAAACCTTGCTTTAGGACCAGGCTATTCAGAAATTACTTATTTACATACAGTAAAATTTATTCTTTTTGGTGTACAGTTCTGTGTTTTGACAAATGCTTAGATTTATGTGACTAATGCCACAATCGAGATTCACAACACTACCATCACCCCCCAAAATTCCCTCATATTGAAGTCAGCCTCTCCTTCTGTTCCTAGACCTCTGGTAACCACTCATCTGTTCTTCATCTCCTATAGCTTTGCCTTTTCCAGAATGTCATATAAATTGAATGACACAATATGTAGGCTTTTGAGTCTGGCTTCTTTCACTTAGCAGAATGCACTGGAGATTTATCCATGTTGTTGTGTGTGTTAATAGTTTATTCTTTCTCATGGCTGAATAGTAGTCTATGGCAAGGTGTTTGTTTATCCATTCATCAGTTGATGGACAAAGTTGATTTTGGCCAGGCGCGGTGGCTCACACCTTTAATCCCAGCACTTTGGGAGGCCGTGGCGGGTGGATCACGAGGTCAGGAGATTGAGACCATCCTGGCTAACACGGTGAAACCCCATCTCTACTAAAAATACAAAAAAAAAAATTAGCCTGGCGTGGTGGCACACGCCTGTAGTTCCAGCTACTCAGGAGGCTGAGGCAGGAGGATTGTTTGAACCCAGGAGGCGGAGGTTGCAGTGAGCTGAGATTGTGCCACTGCACTCCAGCCTGGGCGACAGAGCAAGACTGTCTCCAAAAAAAAAAAAAAAAAAAGTTGTTTTCAATTTTTAGCAATTTTGAATAAGCATCTAAGACATTTGCATACAAGCGTTTGTGTAAACATACATTGGCATTCCTGGGCAAATGCCTGGGAATGGGATTGCTGGGGCATATGGTAAGTGTATCTTTAAGGGGCATATGGCAAGTGTATCTTAAACTTTGTAAGAAACCAACAAACAAAACAGCTGCACCATTTTGCATTCCCACCAGCAGTGAATGTGAGTTCTAGTTGCTCTGCATTCTTGCCAGCACCTGGCATTGTCAGTTGCCAGGCTAGATGCTTTCCTTTGCATTAGAGAACGGGTTTTACATTGTGATAACAACGGTTATTATAATAAACTCTGTAACATTTTCTTATGTCAAACAAGGAATATTATTGGCTTCTCTAGGTTTCGGGTTCTATCTGGATTTTTCCTGTGTTCTTACCTCTGGCTGGGGAATGCTAGGTGACTCACTCTGTTTCTTCCTATAGGTGGATGGAAAGGGGTCCATCAAAGAGCTCTTTCCAACAGGAAAACAGCTGGAGCCCTTAGTTGCACCTCTGGCAGATGGAAAAGTGGCTGTGGGCCAGGATGATCTCACCGTGGTACTCAATGAGGAAGGGATCTGCACACAGAAATGTGCCCTGAACTGGACGGACATACCAGTGGCCATGGGTGAGACCAACAGTAGCTGCTGTTTCCCACTTTGGGTTGAGGTTGTGTGCCATTCCTGCAGAACGGAGTCCCATTCGTAGCTTTAGCAGACTGGTTTACGTTGTGTCATTCACTTTCAGTTCCCCTTCTTATAAGTAGATGACATTTTAGGGTCATTAAAAATGGGATAGTCTAGTTCTTGCAAGAAGCTGAGTTTTACTCCAGAGGGGGAAAACATATAAACAGAAATGTTTATTTTAGGAAGTGATTATCTACTGCTATCTTTTACTTCTTAGTTTTTTTCTTCCTCCTTTTTTTAAGAGTTTTGATTGTGTCCTCTGCCAAATAGACTACATTTGGAAATTAGTGGAAATTCCTTGTGTATTCCTATAGTATGAGTAATTCCATATTGAAGGGTTTTTGATATAGTAATTCCATGTTGAAGGGTTTTTCTATTGTTGCTTTTTTTTTTTTTTTTTTTTTGTAGCTTAGAGGCACAGACAACATTTAGGTGATTTTGGTGTCAGCCTCTATTCTACGCATTAGGTGCTTCTGTTCTTATGCTTGCTTCAGGTTCCCAGCTCTCCACAATGGAATTGCCTGGAAGCATATAACCACTCTTGCCCCATTTTATTTTCAGTCGGAAGAGTGAGCATTACTAAAATAGTTACTGCTGTGAAGTGGGACGTACTGACATGCTTTCTGTCTTTAAAGACCCCTGTCTCTGGAGACAAGGGTTACAGTCTTGGATAAAGAGACAAAACAAGGCACTGCTTAAGGTGTTAAATTGGATGAGTTAAAATTCAGTAGTTCAGAGAAAGGGAAGTTTGTTGTTTAATTAGGAAGAAGTTTCATTACATAGGTAAGACTGAACTATGGACTAGGTCAGGCAGGGAGTTTGGAACCTGGCTTGAAGAAAAATTTCCATTCAATCTAGGCAGAAAGCCCAATAAATGAGTAGAAGTCCAAAGAAAGACATGCCGATTTGGGAGAGGGTATTACAGAGCCTGACTTGATACAGGTGGTCTGAATTACAGAGCAGTGAAATAGGGCCAGTTGGTAGATGTCCGTGAGAAGGTCTGGGAGGCCAGTAGATTCCTGAATGGTAGAATGTCTTGATAAAAGCATCATGTTCTGGCCGGGCACAGTGGCTCACGCCTGTAATCCTAGCACTTTGGGAGGCTGAGGCAGGCAGATTGCCTAAGCTCAGGAGTTCACAATCAGCCTGGGCAACATGGTGAAACCCCGTCTCAAACACGAAAAAAAAAAAAAACTAGCTGAGTGTGGCAGTGTGTGCCTGTGGTCCCAGCTACTTGGGAAGTTGAGGCAGGAGAACTGCTTGAAGGGAGGGGGAAGTTGCGGTGAGCCGAGATTGTGCCACTGCACTCCAGCGTGGGTGACAGAGCAAGACTCCCGCCTCAAAAAAAAAAACAAAAAACACATCATGTTCTAGGGTGATTGTTCTGGTTGTGGTTAGAGATAAGTAGACTAGAAGGAAGAGAAATCAAAAGGTCAGTATTTTAAAAGGCCCAGGATTATGGATAGTCACAAGTTTGAGGGGCTTATGGAGCTTTATGAGAGGCTTTCCCGATGTTCTAGGCGACCTTGTTTTCCCTTCAGAAGAGGAACTTTGGTAGATGAGTTTAAGAGGCATGTAAAAGTCAAGCGTGTTTCTGATTTCCCAGGATGAGAGTTCCTGTCTTCCAACCTTCGTTAGTGCCTGGGGCCTTCATCAGTGCTTCTCAAAACCATGTCTGTGTCTTACTGCTGAAGAAAGTTTTGAGGCACTTGCCCTGTGAGGTCTCCTTTGACCCACAGGCAGGATTAGTCACTTCTTGGTGCTTCCCTAACCCTTTCAGGTATCTCTGTCACAGCAACTTGTCACACGTGAGCGATCTGTCTCCTCTGTTCCTGTAGGAGCTCTGTGAGGTCTGGATGCATGTCTTGATCCACTTTGAGTCCTTACTACATAGTACAGTGCCTGAAACATCAGAGCGTGTAAGAAAATGCTTGCTGAATAATTGCATCATTATCCTGGTCAGTCATTATTTATATGCCTGCTGTACACCAGCCAGTCTCCCAACTTTTGGAGATATAAAGAGATCCAGACCATCTCTATTGTCAACAAAAGATATGACAACCAAAGGGGTTTCTGTTATAGATTACCTTTTTAATTAAATGAGAACGTATTCAAGTGGGACAGATTTTAAAAGGAGAAAGAAATTTTACATATGTTATACAAGTTAGCACTAAAGAAAATTGTACTAACTTTTCAAAATGAGGCCAGCATAAAAATAAAATAAAAAATTCAATATAAAACAATATGCTTTTAATTTCATTTTTCTGGTAAGATGAAAAATATCAGTATAATAGCAGTAGCGTTCAAAATGATAGAAATATAACTTAGTTCTCAAGTTACTCATTTCTGAGTTCCCTCATAGCTTTGAAATTTTATTGTACTATTCATTGATAGTATAAATTGCAAATATAATAGGAAAAACTTTTTATCAGAAAATGGATAATTAAACTAGTGCAGCGACTCATGCCTGTAATCCCAGCACATTGGGAGGCTGAGGCAGGAGGACTGCTTGAGCCCAGGAGTTTGAGACCAGCCTGGGCAACATAGTGAGACCCTGTCTCTACAAAAAATACATTTAAGAAATTAGCTGGGCATCGTGCTGTACGCATATATTCCCAGGACTTGGGTGGCTGAGGTGGGAGGATTGCTTGAGCCTGGGAGATGGAGGCGGCAGTAAGCCGTGATCACACCACTCACTGCATTCCAGCCGGGCCTATAGAGAGAGACTCTGTCTCAAAAAAAAAAAAGGATAATTAGAAATATTAGCAAATTAGACACACTAAGAAATTATTTTTATGAATATATATTTTGAAGTTAAATTTCTATGTGGTAATTATGCATCTAGTGGTTTGCTTTTTACTAATTTTTTTACTTTTAAAAACATTTTTATTTTTAAATGTAAAAAACACATAACATACAATTTACCACCTGAACCATTTTTAAGTGTACAGTTAAGTGGTATTACGTATGTTAACATTGTGGTACAATAGATCTTCAGAACTTTTTTATGTTGCAAAACTGAAACTCTATACCCATTAACAACTCCTCAGTTCTTCTCCCTCCAGTCCCTGAAGCCACCATTCTCCTTTCTGCTTCTATGAATTTGACATCTTCTAGATACCTCATATAAGGGAAATCATACAGTATTTGTCTTTCTGTGACTGCCTTGTTTAATTTAGCATAATGTCCTCAAGGTTCATGCCTTCCTTTTTAAGGCTGAACCTTAAAAAGGTAATATATATTCCACTTAAAAAGGTAATAAAATAATTACTTAAAAAAGTAATAATATTCCACTGTGTGTATATACCACATTTTGTTTATCCATCCGTTCGTGGATACTTGGGTTACTTTCACCATTGGCTGCTGTGAATAATGCTGCTACGAACATGTGTGTGCAAATATCTCCTTGAAATCCTGATTTTCAACTGTTTTGAATATGTACCCAGAAATGAGATTCCTGGACCATATGGTGATTCTATTTTTAATTTTCTGAGGAACCACCATACTGTTTTCCATAGCGGCCGCACCATTTTACAGTCCCACCAACAGTGCGCAAGGGTTCCAATTTTTCCATATTCTTGTCAACACTTGTTATTTTCATTTTTTTAATAGTAGCCATCCTAAAGGCGTATGAGGTGATATCTCACTGTAGTTCTTTACGGATTCTTGATATAGCACAGAATATAGTCATAGAAAATATTTCTATTATCTCTAAGTTAGTGAAATTATGTTTCATATAGTATACAAACAATAAATTTATCTTACAGTTCAGTGTAAGGTAAAGCAGATCCTTATTCAGTCTTGTTCTGAGATTTGTGTTTTTAAAGATATGTTTTGTGTTGCTTATTTTCTAAATTCCCTCCATTTATGTTAAATCTCCTTCACCATACAACTTCTCAAATATTGGAAGACTTGATTTGCAATGATTTTATGGTTTTGTCAGTCTGCTTTTTGCATGCTGACTTCTTTAGCACTGTGTGGAATTGTTCTGCTTCATCCAGCATTTTAAGCTTTGGACTGTCACATGCTTGTCAAAAAGTACAGAAAAATATAGTGGATATATTAAAAGTTATTTTCAAAAGAGAGAGGAAGAGTGAAGAAAAGGAGTATAACCCAATAATTTGTACTGGATCAGAAGGGTAAATTTGGGGTCATGGATAGATGAATGAAAGGTTTTTTTTTAGATATAATAGAGGAAAACAATTTTAAGACTCGACAGCAAGTATCAAATAGAAATGCCTTCACTGAGAAGTCCATCCAGCCACCTTCTCTGTGTACCATTAAGCCATGTCTTAGTTCATTTGTGCAGCTATAACAGAATACCACAGACTAGGTAATTTATAAAAACCAGAAATTTGTTTCCTCACAGTTTTGGAGACTTGGAAGTCCCAGATCAGGGTGCCGGCATCTGGTGTCTGGTAAGGGCCTTCTTGATGCTCCTTCACATGGTGGAAGGAGAAGGGTAAGAGAAAGATGAGCTCTGCATTCTCACATGGCAGAAGAGAGAGAACCCACTCCACAAGCCCTTTTTATAGTGCATTAATCTATTGATGAGGCTGGAGCCTCACCACCTAAACACCTCCCATTAGGCCCCACCTCCCAACACTTTTGCACTGAGGATTAAGTGTCCAATGCATAAGTTGGGGAGGGAATAAAAATAGCCAAACCATAGCAGCCATCAGGTGGAGCATCACACCTTTTCTCTGTGAAAATCTCTAGCAGAAACAACATTGGCTAGAAATGTGGAACTCTTCCCTTAGAGTAATTTTAGGGAAAACAGAATTTGCCTTCCCCCTACCTTTCTTTTTTATTTCTTTTTTTTTTATTTTTTATTTTATTTATTTATTTATTTATTTATTTATTTATTTATTTATTTATTTATTGAGATGGAGTCTTGCTCTGTCGCCCAGGCTGGAGTGCAGTGGTGCATCTCGGCTCACTGCAAGCTCCGTCTTCCAGGTTCACGCCATTCTCCTGCCTCAGCCTCCCGAGTAGCTGGGACTACAGGCGCCTGCCACCACGCCCGGCTAATTTTTTTGTATTTTTTTTTTTTAGTAGAGACAGGGTTTCACCATGTTAGCCAGGATGGTCTCGATCTCCTGACCTCGTGATCCACCTGCCTCAGCCTCCCAAAGTGCTAGGATTACAGGCGTGAGCCACTGCACCCGGCCTTTCCCCCTCCCGCCACTTTTCTAAGAGAATGAAAGAAGAGGTTCTGTTACCTGGTTCTCCCACTGATGCATTGTTATGGGCAGCTGCAACTGGCCTTTGTCTGGCCTGGCTTTGTGACTGATGAAAAAGGAGCAAGTGAAACTTTTATCCAGTTCTTTGGGGAATAAGGCAGGAGTGGGATCAGGTGACTGTCAGCACAGCTGATGTGTCTTTTTTGTGCAAGAGATTTCTCTGATCATAACTCAAGCAAAGCAATTTTTTTTTATTTTTCTTTTTTTTAGAGTCAGGATCTCACTCTGTCACCCATGCTGGAGTGCAGTGGTGCAGTTATGGCTCATTGCAGCCTCAAACTCCTGGGCTTAAATGATCTTCCCACCTCAGCCTCCTGAGTAGCTGGGACTACAGGTGTGCACCACCACACCTGACTAATTTTTTAATAAATGTTTTTGTTGAGGCAGTGTCTCACTAAGATGCCTAGGTCGGTCTCAAACTTCCGGCCTACGTGACCTTCCCACCTCAACCTCTCAAGTTGCTGGGATTACAGGCCAATTTTTTTTTTCTTTCTTTCTGAATCACAGTGTAAGATCCTGGCTTGATATTTGACTAGGGGACTTTTTGGAGATCCATTTAAATGTATCTTAGAATGGGCAGCTGAAACACTCCATAAACCCAAAGCCTTAGACCGGAACAACTGCTGTGTATGTTCTCTTTCACAGAGCACCAGCCTCCCTACATCATTGCAGTGTTGCCTCGATATGTTGAGATCCGAACATTTGAACCGAGGCTTCTGGTCCAAAGCATTGAATTGCAAAGGCCCCGTTTCATTACCTCAGGAGGGTAAGGAATTTCTTTTTTTGCTATGGCTGTATATTATCCCAAAGTTGTAAAGTCACCTGTGTCATCACAAAGCCTGTGATCTTTTGCTAATATTCTTACTCTTGCTTCCAGATCAAACATTATCTATGTGGCCAGCAATCATTTTGTTTGGAGACTCATCCCTGTCCCCATGGCAACCCAAATCCAACAACTTCTCCAGGACAAGCAGTTTGAATTGGCTCTGCAGCTCGCAGTAAGTCTTGTTCCTGACTAGTCTTCCTTCCTTATTGTTCTTGAAAGTAGGTGATTTGGGTTTCAATGTTCATATTTATTTTGGGTTAGTAGAATAAGCACATAGCTGAAAGTCCAGGGCCTTGAATACTAGGTCTGACTCCACCGTAAAATATCTATGTAACTCTAAGTGAGTTTACTTTTTCACTTTATCTGTCAAATGTAGAATGAATATCAATTCTAGTAATAGTACCTTGTAGAATTAAGGTGAGAGTCCGGGAGCAGTGGCTCACGCCTGTAATCCCAGCATTTTGGGAGGCCAAGGCGAGCAGATCACCTGAGGTCAGGAGTTCGAGACCAGCTTGGCCAACATGACAAAACCCTGTCTCCACTAAAAATACAAAAATTAGCTGGGCATGGTGGCAGGAACCTGTAATCCCAGCCACTCAGGAAGCTGAGGCAGGAGAATTGCTTGAACCCAGGAGGTAGAGGTTGCGGTGAGCCAAGATCATGCCACTGCACTCCAGCTTGGGTGACATAGCGAGACTCTGTCTCAAAAAACAAAAAAAAAAATTAATGGGAGAATAAAATAATTTAATATATTGTATGGTCATGAAAAATTAAAGATAATGGAGACATTAAAGTTTAGTAGCAATCATAAATATACTGTTATAGTAAAGTTGAATGCAACAACTAGAGGACCCCTCAAAATTCCTTTCCACAGTAGACTCCTATGTTTGGATAAGTAGGCTTTCTTTTGATATTCTGAAACTACTTCAAGTTGTTGTATTCAGCCAGGCGGCAGTCTTATATTTATGATGCTTACTGTAATGTTTGCAAGGGATCTTGTTCACAGCAAAATAGTGACCACCTCTTGTTCCAATGTTGATGTCAGAGTCTGTGTCTTGTTCTTTTAAACATCGTCAGTGATGATTATTGTCATCTGTAGGGGGTGGATTTGCTTTTAGGAAACAACCAAAAGTCATTCTGAGCCTAACCTAGTTGTTAAACCAGATATTGCTACTTTATGTATTTGGGGGTTTTTTGAGGTTTTTTTTTTTTTTTTTTTTTTTTTTTAAAACAGGGTCTCACTCTGTCACCCAGACTGGAGTGCAGTGATGCAGTCTTGGCTCACTGCAGTCTTGACCTCCTGGTCTCAAGTGATCAGCCCACCTCAGCCTCCTGTGTTGCTGGGACCACAAGCATGTACCACCACACCCAGCTAATTTGTTTATTTTTTGTAGAGACAGGGTCTCACTTTGTTGCCCAGGCTGGTCTTAAACTCCTGAGCTCAAGTGATCCTCCTGTCTCAGCCTCCCAAAGTGCTGGGATTATAGATGTGAACTACTATGCCCAGCCTCAGATAGTGATACTTTAAAGAAGAGATGTTTATGAAGATAATAGTAATAAAACTGAATTTCTAGAGTATCCTGTAAACTATTTCTAAAAGGAAAGCACTTTTTTAGAATGCAGATACTTTAAGTTACCTATGGTGGCTACTCGTGAAGAACATTTACTTTGGACATATATGTTCTGGATTTAAAATAAAAATCTGATCTTAATAGTAAGACATAGTTAATATTCCATAAAGATGATTGCTTTCTTAGAGCACTGAATTTCAGCATCTTACTGTTTTTTTTTCTACTCATGCATTGTCCTATATTATTTTATTTTCATTTTTAAAAATAATACAGTGAATACCCATGAACTCACCATCCTACCCAAGAACCATAACTTTTATAACTTTTTATAATCCTTCCCATCCCATCCCTCTGCCTCTCCTCCAGATGTAATCATTATCCTAAATTTTGTATTTATCATGACCTTACTCTTTTACATATATATTTAAAATATAAACATATTTAGTATACGTTTAAAATATATATTTAATGATTAAACACATATGTTTAATCTTTTACATATATTTAACATATGGAAGTAATGTATTTAGTTTTTGATAAAAAGGTTATGCAGTATGAAACTCTTTAGTCTATTTTTCTTAGCAGAAAGGTCTCAGAGTCTTTTCAGTGATCTTCCTAGTTCAGGTTGTTTAATCTCAGGTAAAGAAAATGGAAGTGGGTTCCCATTTTTCCTTCTCTTTTCTAGGCTCATACTTATTTTGTGCTCTGCCCTTTTTATGACAAAAAAAGGTTGATTGACATCATGTTAGTCCAGGAAGAACCTATCTTTTATTTAAATAGATACACAAACATAATGGAACTTTCAGAGGGAAATTACAAACTAAACTTTGGCATTGATAAGTCCTGGAGCCAAGTGTCAGAGAGGGACAGTTCGCTGTGGGCTGGAAAAGGCATCCTACGGCTGGACACTTGAGTTGACCGTTTAAGAATATGTTAGATTAGGATCAAGAGCAGGAAATGGAACATTCCAGATGGAGAGGAAGTTAAAGAAGTGTAAAGTGTGGCCTGTGTCTATCGCATTTGGAGCCTGTCCTGACTGGAGAAGAAGGTATGGCCTAAGTGTTTGGGACTCAGCTAGATAAGGAAGCTGGCACCAGGTTTTGGAAGCCTTTGAAGCACCAAGCAGGAGAGCGGAGACCAGGGACAGCCACATGTTGATGATGGCTTGGACTAGTGTGGCGGTAATAGGAAAAGAAAGGAAAGGGGGAAATTGAGAGACATTTTGAAAGAAAAAACTAAATTTGATAAAGATTGGCTAAAGAGGTATAAGGGGAAAATAGGTTATGAGGAAGAAGCAAAGCTCATAGCAGCTGCATTTGTTTAGCTTTTACTGAGAATAGGACCTTTCCCGACCGTGCCAGCTATGCCAGATGGCTTTCTGTTTTTTTTCTTTCTTTTTTTTTTTTTTTCCCGAGACAGAGTCTTCCTCTATCGCCAGGCTGGAGTGCAGTGGTGCAATCTCAGCTCGCTGCAACCTCCGCCTCCCGGGTTCAAGCAATTCCCCTGCCTCGGCCTCCTGAGTAGCTGGGACTACAGGCGTGCGCCACCACGCCCAGCTAATTTTTTGTATTTTAGTAGAGACGGGGTTTCACCATGTTGGCCAGGATGGTCTTTCCTGACCTCATGATCCGCCCGCTTCAGCCTCCCAAAGTTCTGGGATTACAGGCGTGAGCTACCGCGCCCGGCCCATCGGATGTTTTTCATTCCTTGAGTACACTGTGCTCTCTCTGCCATTTTAAAGCCTTGCACATGTGCTGTCTCCTTTGCTGGGGAGTACATGCTCCTCTTCCCCTCCCTGTCATCTGCTCAGCCTCATTTAGCTAACTCAAACTCATCCTTTTGTTTGAGATGGAGTCTCGCTCTGTCACCCAAACTGGAGTACAGTGGCGTGATCTTGGCTCACTGCAACCTCCGCCTCCTGGGTTCAAGCAGTTCTCCTGCCTTGGCCTCCTGAGTAGCTGGGATTACAGGCACATGCCACCATGTCCAGCTAATTTTTGTATTTTTAGTAGAGACGGGTTTCACTATGTTGGCCAGGCTGGGTCTCAAACTCCTGACCTGAGGTGATCTGCCCACCTCGGCCTCCCAAGGTGCTGGGATTACAGGCATGAGCCACCGTGCCTGGCCCAACTCATCCGTTATGTCTCAGTTTAGGTCCCTCTTGGAATCCATCCTGGACCCCGGACTCAGACTGGATTGGGGACCCCTCCCACATGCTTATCATCACTCTTACCCTATTTTGTGTTTTTAAACTAAACTCTAGGTTTTATTCAGATTTGGCCAGTTTTTCTATTAGTGTCCTTTTTTCTGTTCCAGAATCAAATCCAGAAATCAGATTGCATTTAGTTGTCATGTGTCCTTAGTGTCCTCTGGTCTGTGACATTTTATCTTTCCTTGTTTTTCATGACCATGACAATTTTCAAGATTACCGGTTAGGCATCTTGTAGAAACCCTGTTGTGTTTTAATTGCGTAGTTACTTAGCAGTCTTACAGTTAGACTGTAAGGGCAGGCTGCAAGGTGGATACCATGTGGCTGTCTTGTACACTTTGTTTTATTTTTTATTTTTTTTTTGAGATGGAGTCTCACTCTGTCACCCAGGCTGGAGTGCAGTGGCATGATCTTGGCCCACTGCAACCTCTACCTCCTGGGTTCAGGTGATTCTCCTGCCTCAGCCTCCCGAGTAGCTGGGACTACAGGCACGTGCCACCACGCCCAGCTAATTTTTTGTATTTTTAGTAGAGACGGGGTTTCACCGTGTTAGCCAGGATGGTCTCAATCTCCTGACCTTGTGATCCGCCCGCCTCGGCCTCCCAAAGTGCTGGGATTACAAGCGTGAGGCACCGCGCCCGGCCTTGTCTTGTACACTTTGGTGTCTGTAGCTCCTAGCATCTTCTCTAACATCAAGAACATACTGAACAATATTTGTTGAGTGAGTGAACTCTTACATATTCTGCTCCGTTATTAGGAAATGAAAGATGATTCTGACAGTGAAAAGCAGCAACAAATTCATCACATCAAGAACTTGTATGCCTTCAACCTCTTCTGCCAGAAGCGTTTTGATGAGTCCATGCAGGTCTTTGCTAAACTTGGCACAGGTAACAAGTGGTGAGGCCTTTATATAAGGGACTAATGGAGGAGGGGAGCCTGAAAAGTATGGGGAGAAATGATAACAGACTTCTGAGAATGGAGAAGGTTTAGGCTCAGCTAAATTGATCCTCATACCTAGCAAGATCCTGTGGGGTGACCACAGTGGTTACATATCTATACTCCTAATCCTATGAATCTGGTCTTCTCAATAAATGTGGACTCCCAATTTTCCAGTATGATATGCCCTTGCCATTAGAGAAAGGTAGCAGAAAGTCATTCAGTTCAACAAATGGGTATTTGATCAGCTAGTGTTTATTGAATGCTGTTCTGAACCAAAGTCCTTGGATTAAACTGCAGATCATTTATGAGAGCCAACACAGGGCAGTGCCATGAAGCTCTTCCTTTTCTTAATGTCCTGAAACCTCTAGACATGAGTGTAGTGGCGAGGAGCAGGTACCCTGGGGTCTGCCTGAGGTCTGGTAGAGTTACTGGACCTCTCTGTGTTTCTGCTTTCTCCTCTGCAAAAAAGAGATGATCATACTACTGCTTGCTTTAGAGTGCTGCTATAAGGATTATATGAAGTGCTTTGAACAGTGTGTGGCACTTAACAAGTGCTCTGTAAGTGTTTGATGTTATTAGTATTGAATTTCATTACTGTATATTCAAAACTGTATATCCCAGTTTTGCTTAATTTGGATCAATCTATCTATATATACTTGGATTGACTCTATATCATACTAGCATCTCCTCTTTTCTCCTCTTCATTGCTTTGCCTTTTTTCCACCATTCCTCAACCTTGGCCAGTAATGAACTGTGGTAATTCCCTGTATCAGTCAAGATTCTTGGTTGTGAGCAATGGAGACCAACTCTGGATCGTTTAAGTAGAATCTGGATAAATTAAGCAGAGTTTATTGGAATATTAGGGTAATGACAGTTGAAAGAATTCATAAAATTGATGGGAGATTAGGCTGGGGAATAGATGGAAACGAAGGGAGCTCTGGAAGCCCTCCCAGCTGGAAACAAAACAGGAAGCCAGACAATGATCAGTTTGTAGCCAGGACAGGCTGGGCCATCCTGCACTAGCATAGCCACCTTCTTAGCCGTTGCCACTGCCACTTCCCCTGTTGTTGCATCCTTGATAAAAATTGCCCTCTGCTAGTGTATTAGCTGTCTAATGCTACGTAAGAAATCTCCCCAAAACTGTATGGCTTAAAGTAACAGTAATCATCCATCTCTGTTAGTACTTGTTGGTCCGGAGTTTGGGAAGGGGTCAGCTGCACTGTCCTTGCTTCAGATCTCTCAGGCAGTTGCAGTTTTATGTCACCTGGGCTACCATCATTTGAAATCGGGGCTAGAAGATCCACTTCCAAGCTGGCTCACTCATATGGCTGAAAAAGTGGTGCTGGCTGGAGCCAGGGGCCTCAGTTCTTGTCCAAGGGGGTCTCTCTTCAGAGCTGCTTGAGTGTCCTCATGCATAACAGCTGGCTCTTTCCGGAAGGCGTGTTTAAGAGACCTAGGCAGAAGCTTCAATGTCTTTTGTGACTCTCACTCTTCCTATATTCTGTTGGTTTACAAGGGTCCTGCCAGGTTCAAGGCAAGGAAGTTCATCAGACTTCCTCTCTTGATGGAGGAGTGTCATGTTACCTAAGAGGAGCACATAGGATGGGATGTATGATATATGTTGGTGTGTACCACGCTACTTGTCATCCTTGCATCATTTCCTCCAGATCAAGGGATCTGATTAGCCAGGATTAGGTCATGGTCTGACCCCCAGACTCTACTAGGGGTGGAGAAAGAGGTTTGGCTCCCCTCTGCTTCTGAAGGCAAAGGTAGGTCCCTAGAGCTATCCTACCACCAAGACTCCACATAGCCTGGAAGAGAGAACTTGCCCTTATCTGAAGTACCTAGAGTAGGCAGATTCATGGAGACTGTAAGTAAAATAGAGAGGTTCCCAGGGGTTGGAATGGAGGGAGAATAGGGAGTAATTGTTTATTATTAAGGTAGTTTCAATTTGAGATGATGGAAAAGTCCTGGAGATGGATGGTGTGATGGTTGCACAACAGTGTGAATGTATTTAATGCCACTGAATTGTATGCTTACAAATGGTTAAAAGGATAAATATTGTGGCATGTATATTTTACTACATATAGACACACAGATTGTTGGATGAGCTGAATGAGCAGAAGACAGGGTTCCACTACTGGACATTGATGTGGGCACATCCCTGTGATCCAGAGGTCAGCAAGTTGCTACTGCTTCCACAGCCTAAGCCCTGTAGTATCCTCAGTTCCCACAGAGCTGGTGACTGAGTGCAGGCTGCTGTATCCAGGCAGGTGCCTCTATGGAATGGCAGAGCTGATAACCAGACACTGGAAATGCCGAGTCTGGCTGCACACACTCATGAGCTGGAAGAGGGAGGCTTCCATCTCACTTTCAGTTTCCAAATCTCATATCCTGTTTCTGGGTGGAACCAGATTTTCACTTAGAACCCTGACTGCTAGGGAGTTTGATAAAAGTAGTTTTCAGTTTTATAGCCCCTGTGGACTATAAAGGAGTAGAAATGGATGGGAAGTGCCAATTGACCATACACCATAGTGTTCCACAGCATTGATGCACTGTAAATTATATAACCAGCCCCCAGTCAGTGAGGGGATATGTTGGCTACTTACAGCATTTTGCTGTTACAATCTGGGAGTGGCCAGGTACAGTGGCTCATGCCTATAATCCCAGCATTTTGGGAGACCAAAGAGAAGAGGATTGCTTGAGCCCAGGAGTTCAAGACCAGCCTAGGCAACATAGTGAGACCTTGTCTTTACAAAAAATTTAAAAATAATTAGCTGGCAGGATAGTACATGCCTGTAGTCCCAGCTACTTGGGAAGGTGAGGCAGGAGGATCACTTGAGCCAGGAGGTCAAGACTACAAGAAGCCAAGATTGTGCCACTGAGCAAAACCCTGTCTCAAAAAAAAAAAAAAAAAAAAAAAAAAAAATCTGCGAGCATCTGTGAGAACACCATAAATTCTAAGGCAGAAGGAAAATGTCACCTCTTTGACATTGTTAACGTGCACCATTTTGATTCTTAATATAGCAGAACATTTTCCCACATATTTATATTCTCTTGTCAGTTGGTCTTGTCTTTTGGTCATTTGTCAAATGAAGTCTTACATTTTATTGCCAATTTATGTGAATTTGTTTAATCAACATATTACCCTCTTTTAAAAAATTTTTTTGAGACAGGGTCTCCACTCTTGCCCATGCTGGAGTACAGTGGCATGATCACAGCTCACTGCAGCCTCGACCTCCTGGGCTCAAGCGATCCTCCCACCTCAGCCTCCCAAGTAGCTGGATACAGGCACATGCCACCATGCCTAGCAAATTTAAAATTTTTTTGTAGACATGTGTTCTTACTATGCTGCCCAGTCTTGTAATCAACAAATTAGCCTCTTGCCATATATACTACAAATATATTCCCTAGCCTGTTGTCTTTTTTTTTAGTAATGTTTCTTTTTTTGACTTAAATTTTTTATTGTTGAGTCTCTTGATCTCTTCTACTTCAATATCAGCATTTTTCCTTAGAAATTTTTTATTCTCTACTTTCAGAGGCTTGATAAATATTCAATTCTAATTATGTGTGTGTATTTGAATATAGTCAGGCATTTTTGTGATGTTTTAGTGAATTTTAACATATGTATAAAAAGTGCTCAAATCATAAGTCTACAGCTCGTTGAATGTTTATGAACTGAGAGTCTTTTTTTTTTTTTTAAATCAGTCTGGAACTTATTTTGCTATAGTAATAGTCCTGTTTTATTTTATCCCTAAATTGTTGGGCTCCTTTCCAGAGGAATCATGTTTACCTTCCATATAGATCCCACCCATGTGATGGGCCTGTACCCTGACCTGCTGCCCACAGACTACAGAAAGCAGTTGCAGTATCCCAACCCATTGCCTGTGCTCTCCGGGGCTGAATTGGAGAAGGCTCACTTAGCTCTGATTGACTACCTGACACAGGTAGGTATAGTACAGAGTGCGTGAAAGAGTTTGCCTGGGAGTTTCAGTACTTGTTTCTTTGTGGCAAGGAATTGAGGGCCTTCTCTAATGCCAAGGCAGTCTGTAAATTAATGCTGTAGGAAGTCTGCCTGGGGTAAAGTTTCTTTCTGCTACTTCTAACTTTACAGTACCATTGAGGTGGGGTTTTCTGCCAAATCTTGATAAAAATAAACACACCCAATTCCTAGTAAATTCACACAAAGCTGTTATAGAAACTAAAAAAAGTAAATTTTAGTTGATAGAAGCATACAAGTTTTTTTAAAACAAACTTTTTGTAATATACATGGTTTTGGGGAAAATGCCTCCTGTATGTGGAACCACTTGGAAAACACACACAAAAAAGTACAAAGCAGAAATACAAATTACCTATAACTCTACCACCAGAATGTAAGAAACTAACATTTTAGTGTTGTCCTTCTAGACTTGTATATCTATGAATTAGCTTTTGTTTATTTACTTCTTGGTTTATTTATTGCAAATGGATATCAAATTGTAGATTGTTTTATAGCTTAACTTTTTAAAAATTTAGCCATATACTGAGAAAGTACTTCCTTATCAATAAATGTCCTTATATAACATGTTTTTTAGGGAGGTATTTAGATTTAAAATTTTTTATGATTTACTGTTATAGACAGATACATTTTTTAAGTCAGCACTAAAGCCAGCATCTCCATTAAAGTCTCTTAACCCTAGATTTCTGTCACAGAAGGCTATTGTTTATTTCCTGTGTACCCATTCAGAATCAGAGACCTTATTGATATTTTTTCCTCTTAAGTGTTTTGCAGATCTTTGTAAGAGGTCTCCAGAATGCTCTAGGGTAGGCACTGAGAAGTATTGCTGTTGGCCGGGTGTGGTGGGTCATGCCCGTAATCCCAGCACTTTGGGAGGCTGAGACAGAAGATCACCTGAGGTCAGGAGTTCGAAACCAGCCTGGCCAACATGGCAAAACCCAGTCTCTACTAAAAATACAAAAATTAGCTGGGTGTGGTGGCCCACGCCTGTAATCCCAGCTATTCAGGAGGCTGAGGCAGGAGAATTGCTTGAACTCAGGAGGCAGAGGTGGAAGTGAGCCGAGATTGCGCCACTACACTTCAGCCTGGGCAACAGAGTGAGACTCTGTCTCAAAAAAAAAAAAAAAAAAGAAGAAGTATTGCTGGAAAAATTGTCATGCCACTTTCCACTCCCTGCCTCTGGGTCAGTGAGTCCCTGCAGGTCTGATCAGGCATGGGTGGCCTTGGCCCTTCCTTGACATTGGGCTCCAGGGGTACCCTCCTGGGGCTGGCAGCCTGCAAGGAGCACACAAACTTGCCACTGCCTACACACTGCACACACTGTGCTAAGTAAAAAAGATTCCTGGGCATACTATCTCCCAAAGCCAGTGGCATTGTGGAAGGCCCTCCACTGCCAATGTCTTAGCTGTAGGAAGGTGAGCACACGTCCTTCCCTGGCCTTCTTCACTGACAATGGGAATGTGTGAAGTAACTGACACTAGTATTGTGCCAGAGAGATGGCAGAGCAAGACCATGGGCTCTGCCAGACTCAAGAGAATACATACTGGATGAAGTTCTAGGATAGGCAGAAACTCATCTCCAGGGATCAAAAGCAGATCAGTAGGTGGGATTGTTTGGGAATAGCACGAGGAACTTTCTGGAGTGATAGAAATGTTATCTTCCTTCACTGAGGTGGTTACATGCATGTACACATCTGTCAAAATGTATCTGATGGTACACTTTAAAAGATTAGATTTTATTGTAAGTTATACCTCAATAAGGTTGATTTTTAAAAAAATAAAAGAACATGGGCTTTGGAGTCAGCCCCCAGTGTGAATCCTGCCCTACCCCTTATGTAGCAGCTGACACCTGTGCCTTGGGTTCCTCACCTGTAAAATAAGGATAATATTATCGGCACTTGTTTTAGGTTTAAGATGGTATATATAAAGTGCTTGGCATGGTGCCTGGTCTGTAGTAAATATTCAATAAATAATTGTTGTTGTCTCTGTGGCAATTTGGCAGTGCTAAAAATCGAATGCTAATGTGAGATCAGGCCAATAGGCATGAGCTGATTGGAGGTATTCAGAATTACCCAGTAGCTCAGATGACAAAGGAAGACTTAGTCCTGGCCTTAACCCCACATTTTGACCTTTGCAGAAACGAAGTCAATTGGTAAAGAAGCTGAATGACTCTGATCACCAGTCAAGCACCTCACCGCTCATGGAAGGCACTCCCACCATCAAATCCAAGAAGAAGCTGCTACAAATCATCGACACCACCCTGCTCAAGTGCTATCTCCATGTGAGTTACCTGAGCGCTCGGGTGCCACAATTCCCAGTTACCCTGACAGTCTGGGAAAGTAAAAGGGAGTGCTAGACCCTGAGGGACCTGCCATTAGTAAGAGTGAAGTCTTTGATTCTGGAAACCATATAGACTTCTCCTGATGTCTGTGAGTCTCTTGGAATTAAGAGGATAGGGCAAGATATCAATGCACAATTGTACAGTGGATTCATCTTCTCTGGTCGGATTGCAGTTAGTGCTACAAAGTCAGCTGGGACAGTATTTCCTTCAAGAAATGTTCTCCCCCACAGAACATTAAAACACATTGTGCGAAGGTCCATAAATGCTCTAAAAGCCTCTACCTGCTGTCCTGAAAGAGGGCTGTCTGCTTTCTCTTGCTTGTGCTACATTCCTGGCCTTTCAGCCTAGAGCAGGCCTGGGCCAGGGAAGGGTGGGGCTCCCCAGGAAGCAGTTTCCACTGAACTCCTGCTCTTTCTGCAGACAAATGTGGCCCTGGTGGCCCCCTTGCTACGCCTGGAGAACAATCACTGCCACATCGAGGAGAGCGAGCACGTGCTAAAGAAGGCTCACAAGTACAGTGAGCTTATCATCCTGTATGAGAAGAAGGGGCTCCACGAGAAAGGTGTGGGAGTGGTTCCTTGGATCTGGGAGGGGCTCTTGTACATGGCAGGGGAAACCCACTGAGATATGGAAATCTCCCGTGGGGAAAAGGCTCATGACCTTGTTCTTGGGCTTGGTGGCCAGCTCTGCAGGTGCTCGTGGACCAGTCCAAGAAAGCCAACTCCCCTCTGAAAGGCCACGAGAGGACAGTGCAGTATCTGCAGCATCTGGGTAAGTCCGCCTTTTGAAAGGGGTGGGAAAGCGCTCCTGTTCAAATGACCTGGTCTCCCTCTGTTTCTGTTTCTGGTTGGTTGCTCCCCTCCCTCCCGTGCTCGTGTTCACTCAATTTCATTCCTCCAAATGGCATAAAAGTCCCTCGGTGGTTGGCCTGTGACAGCCCCCTGGTATGGAGCCAGCCCAGTAGGGCTAACAACCCCAAGTGGCTCATGCTTGAGCTGTCTTTTCAGGAAAATGAATTCTGGGGCAACCTGCCCACCTGCCTTCCCAGTGCCACAGGCAAGATGGGCCTCAACTGCTGACAAGTCCTGCTTTTCCTTCTAGGCACAGAAAACCTGCATTTGATTTTCTCCTACTCAGTGTGGGTGCTGAGAGACTTCCCAGAAGATGGCCTGAAGGTGAGCCACAGGAGTCCCTTGGATTTATCTGGTAAACACTTGGTTCTGATTGCACTTGAGACAGCAGTGGATGGAGAGGAGGGTGGATTCATGCATCTGTCTTCATTGGTGCATGAAGAAAGGGTGGACTGGGAAGCGCGAGCCAGCACTGTAGTTGGTAGAGAGAGCCTTACACAGGCATGAGGAGGCCTGTGCCTCGTCTGACATGCTGACTGCCTACAGATGCCTTCTCGTACCCTTGCCCTCCTAAAGTCTGTTTGATCCCTGCGCTCACATGCGTGTGTGTTTGCTGGAACTGCAGTCAGATGGTTCTGCTGCTGGAACTCGGGTTCATTCTAACAGATATTTACTGAAGATCTCCCGGAAGTGGAGTCTCTGCCACGTGATCGAGTCCTCGGCTTCTTAATAGAGAATTTTAAGGGTCTGGCTATTCCTTATCTGGTAAGGTATTTTTTGGTCTGCACTAAAAAGCTTTAAACCCAGGATCCAGGACTGCGTGGTTCTGTTATCGGGCTGTTCAGATTTGGGATTTATGTCACTTGGGGATTGGAAGGATGAGGGTTATTTCAGCTTCCTCTGAAGAAAAAGATCCCAGTAGACCAAGCTGGAAATGCTACCTACCAAATCTAGGTAAACTACAGAGGGATAAAAGAATAATGTTTTAGAAAAAAAAATTCCAAAGCCACATTTGGAAAAAAAATTCCAAAGCGAAACTCAAAAGTGACCACAGGACAATCAAATAGGCTTAAGTACCAGGATGCAGATATTTAACCACAATTACATGAGTCGCTATGAGAGTTTGGAGGATTATGGGACAAAATTAGTAAAATGGAGTTTAGTAATTGAGAAGATGGCTCCTCACGTTACTGGGTCGCATTGTGAAACTTCCTGGTGGCTTTAGACGAGCTGTCTCTTAGTCATCTTTGCAGCCCGATTAGGGGATAATCTGGATGGGACCTGTTGGGCCTTAAAAATGTGAGGGAGGCTGGGAGACCAGGTCACAGCCTGGAGAATACCAGTGACAAAGACCTACATCTTGCCTCAGGAACACATCATCCATGTTTGGGAGGAGACAGGCTCTCGGTTCCACAACTGCCTGATCCAGCTATACTGTGAGAAGGTGCAAGGTCTGATGAAGGAGTATCTCCTGTCCTTCCCTGCAGGTACCAGTTCTTTTAGGAAGCCGGTTGGCCCCAGGCCTTAGAGGAGAGCACAGACCCAGGTGCCACGTGTGGTGGGGGTAAGCAGGCCACCCTATTCTCTGCCCAGGTGCGCAGAAGTTCTGAAGAGGAGCCAGGGGAGCTAAGTGACACAAGCCTGGCACATGAGACTCAGGAGCTCTTGTCTAGGTCCTGGCATCTCTGAGTGTCTCAGAGTCATCCCTCGGGGAGGGTGGAAGGAACAGACCTGTCTGCAAGATGACAGCTATACTGATAAGAAACAGGTTTGCCCACAGAGTATTTCTCTATTCAGCTTATTTTTTTAACCGTAAGCTGATGTTTTGGGGCCACATGGAGACTATGAACTAAAAGAAGTTAGCATGGAAGCCACCCTGGAGGCCCTTTCTGGTCATGTGGTGACATCCTTGAACCCCATTCCCTTCATTTTTCTTGATGACCCTACATTGCCACCTGGCAGTGTCCTTTCATTTTGAGCTTGGTTTCCCTTAAAGGCAAAACCCCAGTCCCAGCTGGAGAGGAAGAGGGTGAGCTGGGAGAATACCGGCAAAAGCTCCTCATGTTCTTGGAGATTTCCAGCTACTATGATCCAGGCCGGCTCATCTGTGATTTTCCCTTTGATGGTGAGTGTCTGGCTTAGGGCCAGAAGCCACTTCAGCGAAGGTCATGCAAAGACTAATCCACCCCTTTAATTGTTCCCCAACTCTCCACAAAAGTTGGGCCTGGAAAAACCAGGCATTTCAGGCCAGTGCTCCTGTTTTGTCCTCTCTGAAGACTCACTTTTGTACCGTGACTGAGAAAAGTCTCCTTCCTGGGTATGAACCACATGCTAATTGATAGCCAGGTTGCAACCTGTTTTTTGCTTCAGAACATGTTCTTGGCCAAGTTCATTGTTCAGCAGTTTTTGTAATCTGGCATAATTTGTCTTTATGAGAGCTGAGAGCAAGCATTTGCTCATCTTACCTGAACCACCTAGCATGTTGTAGGTGGTTGTTAAGTACTTGGCTGCTGAATGAATATTCTTACCCAGTTTATATGTGACCTCAAAAAAGATGGGATAAAGTACTTCCTAAAATAGCTCCCTCCCCCTTTTTTAAACTTCAGTTATTTTCTCCTTGAAGAAAAACCCAAGCAATAAGAATCCTATTGTCTTCCCTTTATATTGCCTCGTGTCCACTCCTCTGACAGCATAGCCCCCACCTTGTGCTTGCGTGATGGCGGCAGTGGTTCCTCATATTCCTTTTCCTCCTAGGCCTCTTAGAAGAACGAGCTCTCCTGTTGGGGCGCATGGGGAAACATGAACAAGCTCTTTTCATTTATGTCCACATCTTGAAGGATACAAGGATGGCTGAGGAGTAAGTTTGCCCCAACATCCCACCTCCTAAGCAGTCTAAAAGCAGGCCCTGCAGAGAGATGAGAGTTAAGAAGGCCATCTCCCCATACTCCACTGCGGGAGCAAGAATCGCCTCCGTCCTGGCCCGCAGTTTTGGCTGTGGTTAGGCTGCTCGAGCAGGCTGCACGCACAGCCTCTCATTTAGATGTGCCCCCCTCACACCACCTGCTCTCACCACTCTCTCCCTTGCAGGTACTGCCACAAACACTATGACCGAAACAAAGATGGCAACAAAGATGTGAGTAGTGACCCTGACCCAGGGAGCACGTGTGCATACCTCTCCCCGTTGGTTTGACCAGAGGTGGCAATAATATGAGTGGCAGAATAAGACAGGGCACGAGTCAGGGCTCTGATTGATCTTGCATGTGTGTATTGAGGGACAGCAGGGGACCATTCATCCTGGTGTGCTTGGGGTAGTTCTGGCGTATATCTTTGTTATCCCTGTGATTAATAGCACTCCTGTCTCTTTACTCTCTTGATTTGTGTCATAAATTATGAGGTCTGCCTGTCGAGCGGGAACCCGTCATGGTTCTGATGTACTATATCTTGAATACACATTGACTTTTCAATGTCTGGAGACATTTTTGATTGTTGTGACTGAGGACAGGGGTGCTTCCAGAATCCAGGGGGTAGAGGCCAGAGATGCTGCTAAACAATGCACAGGACAGCCCCCAAACCAGGAATCATCTGGCCCCGAATGCGCACTGAGGTTGCGAAAGCCTGTGGTACTGGCACCAGTAGGCAATGCAGCATCTCACCTTAGGATATCCCCACCTGCAAAAATGTGACGGAGTCTCAGCTTTTAAAGCCAAAGGAAATGAGGAATCTTTTTGAATTGTTTTACAGTGGTAGCATTTTGTAAATGGCATAATGGTAAACGAATACAAGGCATTTGGTTTTTTCTCTCAGGGAAAAAGCAATCCTTAATTAACATCTTCAGTTGCCTGTTTGACCTTACCAATTTACAAGGTGAAAATGACCAGTTTTACATGCTCAGTGATAGCTGTTACTGTAGGCGAGCCCCTCGAATCGTTAGGCATGCTCAGTGCTGGGGGTTCTGGGAGGGTTGCTGCCAGCCTGACGTAGCTCATGTCTCTCTGAGACAGGTGTATCTGTCCCTGCTTCGGATGTACCTGTCGCCCCCCAGCATTCACTGCCTGGGGCCAATCAAGCTGGAACTACTGGAGCCAAAAGCCAACCTCCAGGCCGCTCTGCAGGTCCTCGAGCTACACCACAGCAAACTGGACACCACCAAGGTCAGGAGTTGTTCCTAGGGAGATGGAGGGTGTTTGCAGGGAGCACCGAATGAGAAGAGGAAATGTGGAAAGGGACTAGGGTCCAAGAGCTCCACGGCTGCAGACATTTCTTCATTCTCACTCCTGTTCACCTCACCCAGTCCCTATCTCTGTTCCTGTCCCTAGGCCCTCAACCTTCTGCCAGCAAACACTCAGATCAATGACATACGCATCTTCCTGGAAAAGGTCTTGGAAGAAAATGCACAAAAGAAACGGTTCAATCAAGTGCTCAAGAACCTTCTCCATGCAGAATTCCTGAGGGTAGGTATGGGCCTTCCAAACTCTAGGGTGGGCTTTTAACTTTTAGTATGAGACAATGTCCACATGTTCCCTTCTGACCAAGGCAGAGCCTGTACAGTGCAGCTCAAGCTGATCCAGTAGCCAGCTTGACATTGAATTGCCAATGTTCTAAGCAGAAGAATCTGTGACGACTGAAAGAGGACACAGTTGCTGGCCTCTGCCTCCTGTTTCTGGGTGCCACACTGTAGAACTTCTTCCTCAATCCCCCTGTTCTTCCAGGTCCAGGAAGAGCGGATTTTACACCAGCAGGTGAAGTGCATCATCACAGAGGAGAAGGTGTGCATGGTGTGTAAGAAGAAGATTGGGAACAGGTGAGCCTCCTTCACACCTGTGTGGCATCTGGGCTTTGTGGAGGTTCCCAGGGGTGGAGAACGCTCAGGATGGATTTCTGCCCTTTAACAGAGAAGGAGAACATGGCTGCTGGCTGTCCTGACAACTTTTAGTTCTTGAGCCTTCAGAGAGCAGCCTGTTCTATCTGTTGGGAGTGGGCTTCGAGAATTTAAAGACCTGCAATGTATGGTATGGAGCTGTTGGATTCTTGTCCATAAAACTCTTCCCCTCTTGAAGCTAGAACCTGATATAGTGGGTGCCCAAGAGATGTAGGTCTGCAGAAAGTTCTTATAAGGAAGATCCAGTGAAGGAAGAAAAAGATCTTTCAAGCTACTGCATTGTGACTCAAGTAGGATCCTGAGCCAGACTCATACTGTGTTAAGACATATACTCTAGTTAGTCCCCTTTTCTTCAAAGGAGAGTGATTTGTCTCTTATGTAGCTGGAAAAATATTTTTCTTTAGAAAGACAAACTCGCCGTCCTTTTCAGAATTAGCCTGAAACCTGTTCTGATGAACATTGTTGGCTCTCAGGAAGCCAGGGCTGAGCTTTGGGCTGGTGCACTGCCCATCTTTAATATGCCTTGTGTTTTGCATAATAAAAAAATACCCCATGCACTCTTAACTGTGTGCACCTCATCCTCTGTTTGGTTATTTGACAGAGATGATGGCTACAGAAATCCAGAGCCCCTCAGGCAGGCTGTTCTTTGAGGTTTGGGTGGGCTGCTTTTGGAATGGCCCCCCAGCAATGTGCCTCTTCTGTAGGAGGTGCCGCTGCCAGAGAAGTGGTCACTTAGAAGCAGTCCTCACTCCCAAGCCATTTTCTTCCCTGCAGTGCATTTGCAAGATACCCCAATGGAGTGGTCGTCCATTACTTCTGTTCCAAAGAGGTAAACCCAGCTGACACTTGAGCCCAGCATCCTGGGGATCCAGCGGATGGACAGCTTGGCTCTCCCAGAGAGGTGAAGGAGCACCTGGCCTTAGGAATCCTGGCTGCCACCACCACAAGGCTCCCCATTTGGACATTACTGGCTATCTTGTGCCCTGGAACAACTCTGAATTAATTAGACTCATGGTCTGGCATTGCCAGCTTTTTAATGGGAAAAGAGATTAGTTATACCTTATACCATTATGTTGTGGGCAATTCCAGAGAATTCAGTACCTGCTTGGTCAGGAGGATGTGCACCATCTTGCCTTTGCACACCAGTCACCTGAACAAGGAAACTTGTCACAAGTGTTTGTAACCATGGGGTTGTTCATCAAGGGCTTTTCTATTAAGTACATGACTTCACAAGGACCGCTCAGCATGGCTCACTGGAGAGTTCCATGAGAGAACAGCACTCAAGCTTCTGGCCGCATGGACCCGATGGCTCGCATTCTGTGTAGTGTTTTACGTCTCCATGGTAACTGTGCCCTGCACCCCTCGGTAGCCGCCCTGTTAGTTTTCAGTCTCCTTTTCTTTCTCACCATTTATCACTTCCCTCACTGCCCTACCCAGGCTTTCTCTCCCACTTCCCTGACTCTGGGAATAACTAATATTTAAGCAAGGTAAGATGAGAAGCAAGGGGTCTCAGTTCTAGGAATACAGTGCTAGTTGATTGTCAGGTATGTTGTAAATAGACCCTCTTTGGCCATACACTCCATGCCTAGATGCCTCGGAGAGCATCATTCTCTGCCTAGGCAAGGCCCTGCATCCCTTGCCTCAGGCCGGGCTGAGTGTGACTGCAGCTCCTGAGGATGGGCCTGCCCTGTCTGGGGTATGCGTGATCCCTAGATACATGTTCCCACAGAGGTGCCTGCTCCGTCTTCGCTCACCAGACACTCAGGCAGGCTGGCTTAGTCTTTGTGCGTGGCGATTTTGTGCTCTGGGCCCTTTCTCTTTTTCCAGCCAGTTTCCATTCACTTGCCTTACAGCCTGCCCTGGCCGTCACTCCCCAGCTTTGTTCAGCAATGGTGTGGTTGGAGAGTTGTGCTGGGATAGCGCAGGAAGGTGGGTCCCGGCAACACGCAGGGGATGAGTGGACCTGGAACTGACAATGGCGTGCTGCCAAGTGTTCCTGAGAGGTGTTTAGGCACAGCAGAGGGGACGCGGGGGGCAAGAACAGCAGGACGCTGGTTTAAAAATAACTCACCGCCAAACCTGTGGAGCAGTGTGGGGCATCCTGCCAGAGGTGCACAGGCTGGAGTTTCAGGCACTGCAGGCTGATGACACACAGGGAGAGTGGCCCTGCCTCCTGTCCTCCCCGGGGTTTTTGCAGACTCGAAGTCTCACTGCACCAGTGTCTTTGATGGTGGTGAGGGTGGGTGATGGTGCCCAGCACCAACAGTTTTAGTGGCCTGTCCTTGACCTGCCGTGGTCCTTTGTAAACTATGGCTCCATGCTGTGTGACAGATCAACGTGCTGATGGTAAGTAGACTAGGCTTCCCCAGGCATGCCGTCCGTGGGGGCCTGAAGAGACAGTGAGTGCCATTGGCCCCATTCGCAGATGTGGGAGACTCTGCTCAGGCCTGTGAGGCTGGGCAGCCCTTCACCAGAGTTCGGAGGAGCAGTGTGTGGCGCCACGTCCCGACTGGCCATACCCACACAGAAGCAGTGCTGCCCGGGGCCTCATCTGGGCCAGCTTGGACTCTGCTTCCTCCAGGAGCAGCAGGGAAGCTCTGGGCCACCTCCCTGGATAGCAGGAACTTGACCTGCCATGTGTGCCCTGCCTTCCTGGCCAGCTGTGCTTGTTATCTTCCATTCTCACAAACTGTCTTTGAAGCAATAGAATAAAGAATGTGTGTTTTCTTTCCTGGTATACATACATGATCCCATGCTCCCAAGCTCCATTCTTCCTTCCCTCAACTCTCTGCCCTCCACAGAGCTATGGAGAAGGCTGGAGATGAAAGCTTTGTAGTGAGGACTGATAAAGATCTCATCACTGCTCCTTATAATAAACCTAATAAAGCAAGAAACCAAGCCTATCTGGGTCTCTTATTTCTCCCTCCCGTGGAGTTTGATGAAAATAACAATGAAAAGATAGTAGTTTAGCAAAGAACTTAGAAGAATAAGCCAATTAGTGACCAAGAAAAAATGAATATAATACTTGCATTACAAATGCCACGTGGTACAGCCAGTGTGGTCATGGCTGATGAGTCAGCAGCACAGATACGGAACACATCCATCATTACAGAATTCTGCGGGACACACTGGCGTCTGGGAGATCCAAGTGTTTTCCCCCATCATGTAGTAGCACCTGGTGCCTCTTCCTGCAGCCCATGATGAAGGAATTGGGATGGAGGGACGCAGAGGTGTTTGGGAAGTGGAGAAGTGTTGGTTCACTTTGGCCAACTCCAAAGAGAAAATGTAGTCCTTGTTGTCTCTGTCCCATCTGGCACTAGGGGCAATGACTTTATTGTGCAGTGGGGCCGATGACTTCCAGAAGAGGATGGTACAGCCAGAAAGACACATCAGTCAGGAGCTAGAGCCCCAGCCTGGTTCTGCCCCCAGCTAGCTCTGTGCCCTCTCCTCTTGTATGGATCCGCAGGTCCCCTGCATACATTCACAGCTATCACCAACTGCCAGACTCTCATTTCTTAGAGCCCAGGCCAAGTCTTGGCTTCACAATCCAAATAAAGCAGAAACAGGCCCTTCTTTGGGGCCTGGTCACTGGCAGTCACACATTCCTTTTTTGGGGGGAGTTTCTGGTCTGAACTTGCCCATTCGGTTCATTTTGGAGTTGAATCACATCTTTTTTGGATGTTGTATTTTTCAGCCTGTGACTCTAGGCCTTGGGAAGAGTGGAGATGACTGAATCTTAGTTGAGGGACAGAAATTCTCTCCCTCCCACAGTTCACGGCCCCCGAGATCCTCACTCTTCCTGGAGACTGTGCCTGTCTCAGCCACCTTGATGGTTGTGGTCCACAGAAGAGCGAACATCACATCCATCTGCAGCCTAAGGCCTACGATGGCCAAAGAGAATGCTAAAGCCTGTATATCTGGTCGCTGAAGGATACGTAGACTTGTTGTTTGGCCTGTCCTTATTTATAACCCCCTGCCCATATGCCTGTCTGTACCTGGACACTGTACACTGACCCAGGAAGCGAGCCTGGGCCAAAGCCACAGGGAGTCATGAGACTGAATTTCTCCAGGATGTGGATGGGCCCGCCTCACCTCTGTCACCTTTGCGTTTCTGGGCCTAGCACAGGTCTGGCACCCACCAGGCTCTTGGTGTTTGGCGAATTAATGAGGGTGGTCAGGAGAGATTAAAAACATCTTTGATGAGTTCATGTCCTTTGTAGGGACATGGATGAAGCTGGAAACCATCATTCTGAGCAAACTATCGCAAGGACAGAAAACCAAACACCACATGTTCTCACTCATAGGTGGGAATTGAACAATGAGAACACTTAGACACAGGGCGGGGAACATCACACACCGGGGCATGTCGGGGGGCAGGGGGCATGGGGGAGGGATAGCATTAGGAGAAATACCTAATGTAAATGACGAGTTAATGGGTGCAGCACACCAATATGGCACATGTATACACATGTAACAAACCTGCACGTTGTGCACATGTACCGTAGAACTTAAAGTATAATTAGAAAATATATATAAAGAGAGAAACATCTTTGATCCCAGATGAAACACTGAAGCAGAGATTTCTAGGCTTCAGCTTAAGAGCCGCAGGGAAGGTGGGACTTGAAGGGTGGCTAGTTTCAGGCCTTTTCCACAGCTGGAGGAGACTCTTCCCTGATTTGCACTTGCCAGCTGGTCTCTGGGCCAGCTGTGCCAGCTTCACCTAGAGGTCTTGTTGGAAATAGCTCCGGTGTCTATTTTTCACAAACAGCCCAGTGATAACCAGGGCGCTGGGTTTGGGAACAAGAGTGCTAACCAGAGACCCCAAGAGTCTCTTGGAGAGGGACTGAGCTGCCTCCTGCCTGGGGAAATTAAGCTCCAGTCACTTCCTGGAGCATGTCAAACTCCACCTCCAGCAGGCCATCCAGCCTGAGTTCTCTGCAGAGCAGGCAGCTCCACCCTCCCAACTCAGTGCTGCCTGTCACACCTGAGCCAGCAGTTTGTGCAACCAGAGGAGCGCAGGCAGGGTTCCCTGCTGGGGCCCGGGCTGCCCAGCCATGCTTTGGGCACTCTGGCCAAGGTGGCTGGCAGACAAGATGCTGCCCCTCCTGGGGGCAGTGCTGCTTCAGAAGAGAGAGAAGAGGGGCCCTCTGTGGAGGCACTGGCGGGTAACGTACCTGAGATTACCTGGGAAACCCGGACTGGGGGAGTCCTGGGAGCTGCAGTGCCCTGTGAAGACTGAGACCAGCCCCAGCCCTGGGTTTTGAGTTGGGGTGGGACCTGTTTATTCTAGATGACCTGGCAGAGCTTAAATTAGACCTTGGCTCTTAAAAATAGCTCCCTCCGATTAGGAAATGGAGGGTTAGTTCACTTGACACTTGTCTGGGGTGGGTTGGCTTTCACCAAGGATGCGCGAGCCTGGCTGTAGAGTCCACGGAGCTGGTGGGGTTGTGAGGGGAGAGTTTCCCTCCCAGTAGGCAGCATGCTGATGTTATCTCTCCTAAGCCCAGCTGCAATCTGCTCGGTGACTCGTCAGACCGGTACCGGCCGGCCGGTGACTCTCGGCTTCCGCTCACCTGCTCGCTGCCTCCTAGACGGTCTTTGAGCCTCTGTCAGGGAGCAAGCAAGGGAGGGGGTGTCACAGTTTTCTCTTTTAATATTTAATCTTCTCAAGCACAACATTAGCACAGCTCTCACAGCTGCTCCCAAGCTAGAGTGGGGGCGCGAGCGTCTGAGGGGAGCTGCAGGTGTGTGGTGCGTGACAGCCATC
The DNA here is from genome assembly GCF_000001405.40 of Homo sapiens. Lineage (NCBI taxonomy): Eukaryota > Metazoa > Chordata > Mammalia > Primates > Hominidae > Homo > Homo sapiens. Next base: position 42,155,836 of record NC_000015.10, on the reverse strand, counting down.
GTTAGTTCAGTGAGTCCGTGCTGGATTTAGATTTGAACCCAGACCGGATGGGTTCCAGGGTCCAGACACATCACGAAGGTGCTGAACTCCCAATGCCTGGGACCCGCCAAGGTCTCCCTGCTCCCCGGCACAGAGACGTCAGTGACCCTATGCCAGGTTGCTGCTCCATGATGGGACGAGGGGAACAATGGGGCGAGGGACCAGGCTCACACTAGCTGACTGAGTCCCTGGAGTTCTGTTATTGCAGCGGGAAACCTACCCATACTATGACCTCCAGGTGAAGGTGCTGAGGGCCACAAACATCCGGGGCACAGACCTGCGTGAGTGACCCCATCTCCATCCTTCTCTCTGTCCTTTCCCTGCGGCTTCCTCAGAGCTCAGCTCAGGCTGGCTAACAGAGAGTGTGTGTGTGTAAGAGTATACATGGGTGAGTACAAGTGAGAGTGCATGTGTGTATACATGTGTGAGTATACGTGTAGGCATCTGTGCAAGTATGTGTGAGTGCAAGTGTGAGTACATGTGTATACGTGTGTGTGAGTGCGTGTATATGTGGTGTAAACATGTGAGTGCGAGTGTGTGGGAACACGAGTGTGTATATACATGCGTGCAAGTGTGAGCGAGTGTGTGAGTGCAAATGTGACTGCGAGTGTGTATACACATGTAGGAGTGTGTGAGTGCAAGTGTGAGTGGAAGTGTATATATGTGAGTGCGAGTGTGTGTGAACGTGAGTGTGTATGTGTGTATACGTGTGTGCGTGTTGTGTATGTGTGTCTGTATACATGACAGTGAGTGCCAGTGTGTGTGACTGAGTACGAGTGTGTGTATATACGTGTGTGTGTGCCAGTGTGAGAGTACTACACATGTGTGCGTGCATGAGTGCAAGAGTGTGTGTGTGAGTGCAAGAGTAGGTGGAGGGACTGGTGCTGACCATGGAGGTGAGGGCAGGCAGGGCTGGAGGGGACAGCTGTGCAGACTCGGCCTCCTCCCTGTGCCTGGGAGTGCCGCCCTGGGTGACAGTGTGAGGCCCGCTGTGGCTACAAGTCAGCACGCGCTCTCAGGGAGCTTTCCATGCCAGTGCCCACACAGGGAGGGGATTTTACTGCCTGAATCAGGCAGTAGCTGGAATTAATGGTCTGTGCTGCCATGGGATCTTTCCAACTGGCTGCCGCAGGATTTCTGTTCAGGTGAATGGGAGGTGTGTGGAATCAAGATGGAGTGAAAGACATCAAGGCTCTCCCTCCACCTCCTCACCCCACCATGCCACGTGGGCGGCTTCCCCTCCCCACTCTGCTCCTTCCCCTTCTGCCCTAGCCTCCCCAAGGAAACCTTTTCAGCAATGAGAGCTTGAGGCCCCGGCCCCTCCCTGTCCTACCTGCAGTGTCCAAAGCCGACTGCTATGTGCAACTGTGGCTGCCCACGGCGTCCCCAAGCCCTGCCCAGACTAGGATAGTGGCCAACTGCAGTGACCCCGAGTGGAATGAGACCTTCCACTACCAGATCCATGGTGCTGTGAAGGTGAGGGCCAGCCAGGGGCCAGGCTGCGGGAGGGGAACTCCTCAGGCAGCTACCCTCCTGTCCTACCTCATGCTCGGACCTCCTGCCTGCCTTGTCCCCAGAACGTCCTGGAGCTCACCCTCTATGACAAGGACATCCTGGGCAGCGACCAGCTCTCTCTGCTCCTGTTTGACCTGAGAAGCCTCAAGTGTGGCCAACCTCACAAACACACCTTCCCACTCAACCACCAGGTGAGCCCACCAGTGCTGGCGGAGAGCCCAGCTGGAGGAGGGGAGGCCCAGCACAGGGCCACCAAAGAGGGGGCTCTGGTCGGCACAGGCCAAGCCTCCAAGGCAGACCTTCCTCCACCCCGCAGCCCTGACCCTATAAAGGTCTCCCTCTAATACATCTTCCTTGCATGAAACCAAAATATGAGCTCCTTGAGGGCTGTGTGTTCCCTCAGTCACAGCTGAATTATCAATGTCTAGAACAGCACCTGACACATATTTTGGAATAAATGAGGTTCTCCATGGAGATACCACTGCCCCTCCTATGTCCATGACAAGCCACAATGCCAGTCTCCCCTTCTAGCCCCTGGAGCCAAGCAGGGCTGGCAGGCAGGAACAGCTCTGGAGGCTTTTGGAGCCTTGAAAAAATTGGTGCTCCCTCCCCCTCCATGTAGGATTCACAAGAGCTGCAGGTGGAATTTGTTCTGGAGAAGAGGTGAGTTCTGGTAGAGCCAACGCCCTCAGAGACTCAGAGATTTGAGTCAGGGCAGCTCCTAGGTGCCAGTCACCATGTCCTGCACTGGCCTTGGAGGCCTGGCCTGGAGGCAATGGCCTGGTCTTGACACCCATCTGCATGTTGGGCGGCAGGCTCGCCCCACTCCAAACCCTGCTGTGTTCCTCATGCTCTGCCCGCTGCTTCAGTCACATTATGATTGTAGAGGCCATCATGATGGGGCCAGATGTATTCTCCATGTATTCCTCATCCTTTGCAGCCAGGTGCCTGCATCTGAAGTCATCACCAACGGGGTTCTGGTGGTGAGTGGGGAAGGCAAGCTTGGCGCTGTTCTGGGCTGGGGGGCAGTGAGGAACCCGTGACAGGGCCCATCAGGCCCAGTTGCCTCTGAAGGACACCCAAGCCCTCCTCGGAGGGGAGATGTGCTAGGGAGGCACCTCCAGAGGGAAAGGACAAGAAGCTGCCAGGCACTTGGTGGACAGCCCAGGACCTCAGCCTCCTACTCCCACACAGCACGTTACTCACTTGGGCCTCTGGCTGCTGAGACCACCGGAGCAGCCACTGTCATGGCCCCTCAACTCCTCCCCCTTTCCCACCAGCACCCACTTCCTCTGAGTCTGGGGAGAGGGGCTAGGTATGACCTTGGGCTGCTGTAAAAGATTCTTACCCGTGAGGCCCAGGTCCTGGGAGGGCTGTTTCCTAGACCCTGCCCCAGGAACTCCTCCCTCCCTCCATCCTGGATGGGGCCATGGCTGTTTCCCAGACCCTGCCCTAGGCACTCCTCCCTCTCTCCATCCTGGCTGGGGCCGTGGGCTGTCTGGCTCCTACAGGCCTCTGCTTTCCTCAGGCTCACCCCTGTCTGAGAATCCAGGGCACGCTCCGGGGAGATGGGACAGCCCCACGGGAAGAGTACGGTGAGTCTGCTCAGCGGCCTTGGGTCTTTTGCCTTCTCTCCCGGGGTTGGAACTACTGATGTCAAGGAGGTGGGTCTGGGGCAGGAAGTTCTTAAAGTTTTCATTGCTCAAAGCCGACTAACGATGGGATGGATTGTTCACTGGAGGCAGTGAACAACCTGTCCCTGGAAGTGTTCGAGCAAAGAGGTTGTATCCGCCCAACTATTGCTCTACAACAAACACTCACATGATCTCAGTGGCATACAAGCAGCATTTATTTGGCTCACACAACTGGCAGTCAGCTGGGCTGGGCTTGGCGGGGGTGGCCCAGCCCTGTGCCATGCGTCTCTCCTCTGCCTCCTGTGACAAGCCCATTAGCCTGGGCATGTTCTCAAGGCATCAGCAGAGGAACAAGAGAGCAAGCCCAACTGAGTAAGCGCTTGTTAAGCCTGGTCACAGCCTGGCCACTACCTAACATGTTATTGGCCAAAACAGGGTTGAACTCAAAGCTGGAGGGCAGGGTATATAGTTGGCCTCTTTAGCGGGAGGAGCTGAAGTCACATGGCAGAATGAGAATACAGGGGAAATGAAGAACTGGGGTTGTCAAACCCAGTGCCACAGAGGACAGCCACCCAGGCAGGGAAGTCCAGATGTGGGATAGCAGCAGTGGCTGTGTGACAGCAAAGGCCCCTTCCAGTGCTGACAGCCTGAGCCTGCAGGATGAGTCCTGCCCAGGGAACCCTGAGTGCTCACTCTGAGGCAGGCCCTGGGCTAAGCATTTTAATGTGCCTTATAATCCTCCTAACAACCCTGTAAAGCAGGCACAATCAGTATCCTCTAATTCATGAGACTGAGGCCCAAAGAAAACACTTGCTCACGGGCACACAGCCAGTAAGTAGTAGAGCCAGGGTCAAACCCAGGTCGGTGACACTCCGCTTCTCTCAACCACGGATTATATGGTTTCTTCTTATGAATAGCACGTCTCCATCTCAGTCCATAGGCCTTGGCATGAATAAAATATCACTTTCCTTATTTTCTTGAATTCCCTCCCCACACTTGGTCATGTCGAGTCTCCGGGCCTCATCTAGTGCAAGGAGGGGCTGTAGGGCAGGGACTCCTCTGGACCTCTCATCCCTCAGTGTCTGCTGTCCTCGCATACTTTGGGTCTCTGTTGCTTCCATGTTGTGTTAGGGGCTGGGACTCCTGGGAGGCTGTCTGCGGCCCCCTCTGCCCGGATGTCATGTGCAGCCATTTCTCCCTGGGGTCTGGCCTCCTCCCCAGAAAGCTGCTGGGAAGCTGGGCAGGGAGCTCCGGAGCCCACAAGCCCACCCCCTCACTCCTCCCAGCCTGGGCCTCATCTTCCAGTCTGGGCTAGCCCTCCGCCGCTTCTCCAGGACGTGCATCTCTCTGTACCCACGCATCCCATTCTTCCTCCTCCCGCCTCTACAAACCTTCCTCTCCCAACGTTCTACACTTGGAAACAAAGGCCAGAACAACTTGCAGCCTACTGGTTTTCTCTTGGGCCACAAACCTCCAACACAATGAGTAAAGAGGCTGAAGTGGGGCAAGCGGGAAACCACTGCCTGAAAACTGCTCATTCTTATGATAAACATAGAATCATCTCAAATCATCAGCCCCACAGGCTCTGGGCAGGGCCCCTCTCCCTCCCCGCTCCCTGCCTTCCCCTCCAGGCATTTGTGTGCTTCCCACCCTTCCCGAGTCCCAGTTCTGACCAGGGCAGGCTAGAGGACCCAAGAGTCCTTCCAGAGGCTTTCTCTATGAGCAGTGCTCAAGAGAGAGCGGGCGATAAGAGCTGGCATTTCCTAGGGGAAGAGAAGGGAGGGGTTGCTGCTGGGGCGCTGCCAGCATAAGCCGCAGAGACACAGACCCACCCCCTCACCTGCGCACCCACCTGGGCCCTCTGCTCTCAGGCTCTAGGCAGCTCCAGCTGGCAGTGCCTGGAGCCTACGAGAAGCCACAGCTCTTGCCCCTGCAGCCTCCCACAGAGCCAGGCCTCCCACCCACCTTTACCTTCCACGTGAACCCAGTGCTGAGCTCCAGGCTACACGTGGAGCTGATGGAGCTGCTGGCAGCTGTGCAGGTGAGTGCGCCGCCAGGATGGTCGGTAGATCCAACTCAGCCCAGACTGGCGTTCCAGGGCCACGTTGGGGGAGACTTTTCTTCCCTGCTGGAGAGCTTCTTGGGTGTTTTCTTTTCCACAGAGTGGCCCCAGCGCAGAGTTGGAGGCTCAGACCAGCAAGCTGGGCGAGGGGGGCATCCTGCTCTCCTCTCTGCCCCTAGGCCAGGAGGAACAGTGTTCTGTGGCCCTGGGGGAGGTAAGGCTCTGTCTGGGTGCCAGAGGGACCCCTGCCTGCTCTCTGTGACCACCAAGAGAGGTCTGGAGGAGGGACCCAAGAGGGTGGCTGGATCAGGTCAGTCCAGAGGTCAGTTATGATGTCCACATCGGGCCAGAGATCGCAGGGCAGCAAGGGCTGCAGGTGGGGGAGCCATTTCCCTGGGAGAATCCTGCCCAGAGAACTCAGGGTTGGGGCTGCTGTGTCTTTCAGGGCCAGGAGGTGGCTCTGAGCATGAAGGTGGAAATGAGGTGAGTGGGACTCCAGGCAGAAGGCCTCTTGGGGCTGGGCTAGAAGTGCGGGGACATACCCCAACGTGCTCCATTCTCTTGCCCAAGAAGCTCAGGCCGTGGGGTGGGGATGACATTTTTCCCTCCCTGGTTCTGGTGCTGGTGGGCGGATCCCTTGGACCTGCTCCTGTGAAAGACCTGGGCTGGGCCCAAGGCTCTCCTCCACTGGACAGTCACCCAGAACCCCCCACCGCCACCCCACCCTACTTGAGGCAGCTCCGGGGACCTAGACCTACGCCTTGGCTTTGACCTCTCTGACGGGGAGCAGGAGTTTCTGGACAGGAGGAAGCAGGTCGTGTCCAAGGCCCTGCAGCAAGTGCTGGGATTGAGTGAGGCTCTGGACAGTGGCCAGGTACGTAATGGAGGAGGAGCTGGACCCCAGAGCCTCTAGGACTAAATCAAGTCTCTTCCCTTGAGAGGACCAGCATGGCTAAGAGGGGCCAGAGGAGGTTGGCCTGTTCACCTGAGCTGTGGGCACCATCGGCAGAGCTAGGACCCCATATGGGACCAGGGCCAAACGGCCCTGGCCAAAGCTGGATGTCTATGTGGGCCGCCGTAACAAAACCCCACAGACTAGGTGGCTTAAATGACAGAAATGACTTTTCTCTCAGTTCTAGGGGCTGGAAGTCCGAGATGAAGGTGTCATCATCAGGGTTGGTTTCTGCTGGGTTCCCTCTCCTCTTCCTGGTGGAGCTGTCTCGCCATGTCCTCATGTGGCCCTTCCTCTGTGCATGTGTGCAGAGCGTGCGCCTTGGGGTCTCCTCCTCCTCTTCTAAGGACCCCAGTCCTATCAGTTGAAGGCCCTACCCTTACTCACTTCACCTTTATTACCTCCTTGTAGGCCCTGTTTCCAAATACTGTCACATTGGGGGTTAGGGCTTCAACACAGGAATTTGGAGGGGGACAGTTGAGTCTGTAATGTGATCAAAGGGATGTGGAGGTTGGGGGGTCCCTGGGATCCTCTGGGTATAGAGACAGCCAGCCTGTGGCCAGGAGGCAGGAGGAAAGGCGTGCTGAGAGAGGGACTTACAGGGGATCAGGAATAGGCTGCCGGCTTCCTCCAGGCTGCCTGAGTCCTCAGGAGACGCTATCACTGTGGCCCAGCGCTGACAAGGCTAGATCGTTCATTGGGGCAATATGTATGCCCTCTCTGTGCTAGGTGTCTGCTCTGTCTCATCCAGCACTCTGAAGCGACAGCGCCTTCTGTGAGCAGTGGCCAGGGAGCATTTTTTCAAGACAGGAGACGAAAAGAGAACAGGGAAAAGAACAAAAATCCAGAGTGGAATGAGCCAAATCTTACTGGGAAAGCTAAGCAACCAAAAGCATGGACTCTGACCCCTCAGGCACCTCCGATCCTGAGACCTTAAAACCTCTGGGCACCTTTGGTGCCTGGGGGCAGGTCTAGGCTGCTTGCTGGCCTTTGTCACTTTAGCTCGGTGGTGCTCAACGGGGGACAATTTAGTTCCTCCCCACCGCACCCCTGGGGACATTCATCCATGTGTAGAGATCGATTTCATTGTTGCTGCTGGGGAAAGGGGAGGTGGAGGGAGGCTGCTGACTTCTACTGGGTAGAGGGGGCCAGAAATGCTGCTAAACATCCTACAACACACAGGACAGTCCCCACAGCGAAGAGCTACCTGGTCAAGAATATCGAGAGTGCCACGGTTGAGAGGAACCTGCTGTAGCTGATTTTGGGGAATCAGATATACCTTCCAGGTCTATATCTTCCAGGTCGAATGGTTAAGGGCTATCTCTGGAGCCATACTGCTTAGGTGTGAGAGCTCATCACTTAACTGTATGATCTTGGGCACATTATTTAACCTTCCCGTGCCTCAGTTTCAACATCTGGAAAATGGGGTTCTCTCTTTTTTTTTTTTTTTTTTGAGACGGAGTCTCGCTCTGTCGCCCAGGCTGGAGTGCAGTGGTGAAATTTCAGTTCACTGCAAGCTCCGCCTCCTGGGTTCACGCCATTCTCCTGCCTCAGCCTCCAGATAGCTGGGACTACAGGCAGGCGCCCACCACCATGCCCGGCTAATTTTTTTGTAGTTTTAGTAGAGACGGGGTTTCACCGTGGTCTCGATCTCCTGACCTCATGATCCGCCCGCCTCGGCCTCCCGAAGTGCTGGGATTACAGGCGTGAGCCACTGTGCCTGGCTGAAAATGGGGTTCTCATTGGGTTGCTGTGAGGATTCAATGAGATAATACGTGTAAGACTCTTAGAATAATGTCCTACATGTATAGGCAGTAATACGTCAATGACGGTGGTAGTCGGAGTCGTTATCCTTGTTATTATTGTACCCAGGTGCCTGTAGTGGCTGTGTTGGGTTCCGGGGGTGGAACCCGAGCCATGTCTTCTCTGTACGGCAGCCTGGCAGGGTTGCAGGAGCTCGGCCTTCTAGACACTGTGACCTACCTGAGTGGGGTCTCTGGGTCTACCTGGTAAGTGAGGTGGGGGCAGGGCACAGGGTAAAGGAGACCCCACAAAGTGTGGGGTTGTGACCTGGTGATCTTAAGGAGTCCCTGAGGGGCTGGGATCCTGCCTCCCAGGGTGTTAGGAGGGGCAGGAAGAGGCTGAGTCCCAAGCGCCCCTCTGAGTTGGGTTGTTTGCAGGGCAGCAGTGCAAGTGGTGGGGGTGGAGGGCCACTCACAGACTCTGCACCCCTCTCTCCCGTGGCTGTGCTCTCCTGCCCCTGACTCAGGCACACCTCCAATCCCCAGGTGCATCTCCACACTCTACAGGGACCCAGCCTGGTCCCAGGTGGCCTTGCAGGGCCCCATTGAGCGTGCCCAGGTTCACGTCTGCAGCAGTAAGATGGGAGCTTTGTCCACGGAGCGGCTACAGTACTACACTCAGGAACTGGGGGTCCGGGAGCGCAGTGGCCACAGCGTGTCCCTCATCGACCTCTGGGGCCTCCTTGTTGAGTATCTCCTGTACCAGGAGGTGAGAGAAGAGCCAGAAGGAAATACGTAGGCTCCTCTCCACTCCTTCCACCCGCCCCTTGCTTCTGCCTCATCCCTCAGGCTAAGATCTGATTTACAAAGCTGTTCCTGAGCTCTCGGCTCCCCTGGGGCCAGGAGTGTGACTCCAGGGTGGGCTGGTACCATTTTGCCTCCCTAGCTCCTAACCCCTGGGGAGGAGGAGCCTGGTCCGCAGCGCTCAGCTCTGGGTGCATATTAGAATCACCGGCGCAGCTTTTCAAACACACCCATGCCTCGGCCCCCCTTCCAGAGAGAGTGATTTTAGTTGTTCTCAGGATGTTTTGAAAGTGATTTCAGCCCACACCTGGAAGTGAGGCCCAGCGCCACACCCACTTCTCAGCCAATTCCGCCATAACTCACTCCGCCTGGCTGCTCCTGGAACTTCAGACCCAGCTGCAGTTCCAGGCGATAAGATTCGGAGCTGCTCCCCACCACCCCGTGTGTGGAGATCAGTTGTGGGTGGATATCACAAGTGATTTCTCATTTCTAAGTAAATAATCCACGTTTTCTAGTAATTTATTTTTTAAAGAAATTGGACTGGCTTTTCAAGGATTCCTTTAACCATGTCACCCTGACTCCCTGGTGTTCTGATACGCTGTTTTGAATAGTAAAGAAGGAGGGAGGGTGTTCCCATAGTCCCTGGAATTGTACAGACCCACTGTGGGCTCCCCTTGGCTGCGGCCTGAAGCCTGTCCCTCAGAGGGCTGTCCTTACAGCACTGGCCTTGGCGACCCAAAGCCTCTCTTGTGGGCACACCACGCCTTGCAGGGTGCCGGCCCCAGGCCACGGGGATGGGGAATGGAACTCCTGAAAGGCCAAGCTGCCTCCCTTCTTTCCTGCCCAGGAGAACCCTGCCAAGCTGTCTGACCAACAGGAGGCGGTCCGCCAGGGTCAGAACCCTTACCCCATTTACACCAGTGTCAACGTCCGCACCAACTTGAGTGGGGAAGATTTTGCAGGTGCCTGGGTGTGGAGACGAAGGAAGGAGGTAGAGGAGGTGGGGAGGAGGAGGTGAGAGGCCAGGGTGATCAGGGTACCCAGAGGAGGTGGTTGCACACAGGCACCTTGGAGCACAGCGGGGCTGCTGCTTCTTCCTGTCATTGTCAAGGCTAAGATTCCTGCTTGGGCACAAGCACCGTGGTGGGAAGCCCCTGGTGACTTTCCCTTCACTCGGGCCCCTAGAGTGGTGCGAGTTCACGCCCTATGAGGTTGGCTTCCCCAAGTACGGGGCTTATGTTCCCACCGAGCTCTTCGGCTCAGAACTCTTCATGGGACGATTGCTGCAGCTCCAGCCTGAACCCCGGATCTGTTACCTGCAAGGTGAGTCGAGGCTGGAGGGCTGGGGACAGGCAGGTGCCGGGGCCAGGCCCTGACGTGGGGTGGGGGCCTGCCTGTCTCCTTAGGTATGTGGGGCAGCGCCTTTGCCACCAGCCTGGATGAGATCTTCCTAAAGACCGCCGGCTCGGGCCTCAGCTTCCTGGAGTGGTACAGAGGCAGTGTGAATATCACAGGTGAGGGTAGCGACCCCGAGCCCCTCCCACACCACATTCCAGCAACAGGGCCCTGGCAGAGACAAGAAGAATGAGGGAGGGGACAGAGAAGGACTTGGCTGTCCCACTGGATTCGGGGAAGTCCTGAGGAAATGACTTCTAGCTTAGGGTGTCTAGATGCCCAGAGGTATGATCAAGCCACACCTCTGAGTTCTCTGTTCTGGGATCCAATTAGGTCCACTCGGTGCAGGACTACTGGGTATTGGGTTGATACTCTGTCTGCCCCTCTTCAGCCTGGTCCTTAAATGGCTCATGGGGGCCCCACGGTGCAGAGCACCCTTCCCGCTTTTCTCCCCTGGATCACTTTTGCTCTGTTCTTCAGTTCAGCTCAGATGTCATTTTCTCAGACATCCCTTTTCCACTCCATCCCTCCAGGATGCCTGAGAATCTTACCACCATGGTCCCCTAGGACCATGTGCACATCCCTGTCGTCGTCCTTACCCCGGAGCATTGTCATCATTTATTCTCTCTTTATGTGACTTTCCCCCACAAGTAGGCCGTGCACCTGGGAGGGCCAGGGCAGGTCCCGTTCACCTTCACAGCCCTCATGCCTAGTGCAGTGCTGGGCATAGTAATTGCTCAGTCAGTGTTTAATGGACGAAGTTCTGATTGGAAGCTGTAGACTCAAACTTTATTTTAGGAAGGGTGAAAGATAAATTATTATTTAGTAAATGCTGTAGGCAGTTTTCAAAACATAGAGGATACAAAAGAAAAAGTCGTTTCAAAGTGGTTCAATGAAGCATTGGTCAGAGGCTTGGGAGGTGGGGTCAGGGAGGAGGAGGGATGTGGGGAGGGCTCACTGTTGGGGAGGGGCACCCCTGAACTATAAGGACCACTGGGCAAAGGAGGATGCCACTTTCCCCTCTATTTCACTGTCCCGCCCCTGTCTAGACGACTGCCAGAAGCCTCAGCTGCACAACCCCTCGAGGCTGCGAACGAGGCTCCTCACCCCACAGGGGCCCTTCTCCCAGGCTGTGCTGGACATATTCACCTCCCGCTTCACTTCCGCCCAGAGCTTTAACTTCACCCGGGGTCTCTGCTTGCACAAGGACTATGTGGCTGGCAGGGAGTTCGTGGCCTGGAAAGGTGGGTGCTGCCTTGGGTGGGAGATGGGGGGCTTCCCTTCCTGCCTGCACCTCTGGCTCACTGGAGCCAGTGCTGGCTTTGGGCTGGGGGTTGAGGTGTGGTCTCCTGCTGCCTATGGGCTGATGCGGAGCGACTCTAAATACTGCTGGAAGCTGGAAGGCAGGGCCAAGGGCTTGGGGCAGGAGTCTCCATGGCTGTCAGAGAGAACTCTACAGAGAGAAGGCAAACGTGAATGCAAATACAGAAGCGGTTGCTAGCAAGAGTAACTGCATTCGTCCCTGTGCGTACACATGGGTTCCTTGCAGACACACACCCGGACGCCTTCCCCAACCAGCTCACCCCCATGCGGGACTGCCTGTACCTGGTGGACGGAGGCTTTGCCATCAACTCTCCGTTCCCACTGGCTCTGCTGCCTCAGAGAGCAGTGGACCTCATTCTGTCCTTTGACTATTCCTTGGAAGCCCCTTTTGAGGTGAGCTGGGAGGCAGGGATGTGGGGAGCACCTGCAGTGAGTGGACAGAAAGGGTGAGGGAGGAGAGGAGGGGAAAGAAGGCTCTGGTGAGGGGGACTGGCTGGGTGTGTGGGGATTGCCCTTTGTGGACGGCCTGGGTTCCACTCTGTGTGTGAGGGAGCTGCCTTCTGAACGCTGTTGGCAGCACAGGTCTCCCAGTTGCAGGAGAGTTGCTGAGATTATGGTGGGCGTGGGAAGAGGAGGCCAAAGAGGGTCCCCAGGAATCTTCTAGCCTCATCCATAGAAGATCCCCCAGTTCTAGACTCTGCCCATTCATGACAGATTTCCCCACTCCAGCTTGGACCTGAGTCTGTGGCCCCTTTGTTACCATGGTAACAACAGAGCCATGAGGGTCCCCTCTGATGCAGAAGCCCTGCAGCAAGTCCCTCCATCTCTGCTGGGTGGTGGACGGATGCCCCCATTCCCATGTGGGTGCTGGTGGTGCTGCTGGAGCAGCCCTTCCTTTGGTCTCCTCTTTGTCCTGGGTCCAGTGAGAGCCTGGGATTGACTGGGGATTGATGAAGCCTCTTCTGACGTGGACCTTCTGTGATTGTCGCATGTCAACCTTGTGAAACTGACATCAGCTTCTAATAGGGAGCAGAGAGGGGTGAGAGAAGGGAAGACCATGGTGGTTCCTGGAGGACCATGGCGGAATGCTGTTGAGGCAGTGGATGATTGATTGTTGATCATTACTGATTATTGTTAATCTTCACAACACCACTGGATGGGGAGCTTTTTTTTTTTTTTTTTTTTTTTTTTTTTAGATGGAGTCTCACTCTGTCACCAGGCTGGAGTGCAGTGGTGCAATCTTGGCTCGCTGCAACCTCTGCCTCCTAGGTTCAAATGATTCTCCTGCCTCAGCCTCCCGAGTAGCTGGGACTATAGGCACACACCACCATGCCCAGCTAATTTTTGTAATTTTAGTAGAGACGGGGTTTCACCATGTTGGCCAGGGTGGTCTTGATCTCTTGACCTCATGATCTGCCAGCCTCGGCCTCCCAAAGTGCTGGGATTACAGGCATGAGCCACCATGCCCGGCCGGAAGTTTAAAAATTTTTTATTTTACACATGAGAAACCAGCTCAGAAAGGAGCTGTCACCTGCCTGAAGTCACTCAGCTAGTCAGAAACAGAGCTGGCATTGAAGCCTGGGCGTGTGTGAGTCCAGGGCGGCGGGAGTGGCCAGGGTGGAGGAAAGGCAGAGTCAGAGGCTTGCTCCTGCTCAGGTCTTGAAGATGACAGAGAAGTACTGCCTGGACCGAGGAATCCCCTTCCCTAGCATCGAGGTGGGCCCTGAGGACATGGAGGAGGCCCGTGAGTGCTATCTGTTTGCCAAGGCTGAGGACCCCCGCTCCCCCATTGTGCTGCACTTCCCCCTGGTTAACCGTACCTTCCGCACACACCTGGCCCCAGGTAAGGGAAGCTCCAGGCCTGGGACTGACCCACAGAGCCCTGGGATGGTGATGGGACGCTGTTCTGAGGGTGGGTTCCCTGGAGAATGTCACTAAGCACGCCTCCTGGTGGGCCTGAGCTGGCCCCTGTGGCCCTCTGCTCCCTGGGTCTCAGCGTTCAGATGGGGCCAGCCCCTCCTGGGGGGTCTGAGAGCTGAGATGTGGCCCAAGCAGGGCCCGCAGGGAGCCAGCCAGGTGTCCTGCACAAGGAAGACTTCTGGGCTGTTCCAGCCAGTTCCACAGAGGGCTCCATCCTGGCCTCTCCTCTGCTTCCCCCACCCACAGGTGTGGAGCGACAAACAGCTGAGGAGAAGGCCTTTGGGGACTTTGTCATCAACAGGCCAGACACCCCCTATGGCATGATGAACTTCACCTATGAGCCCCAGGACTTTTATCGGCTGGTGGCCCTCAGTCGATACAACGTCCTGAACAACGTGGAGACCTTGAAGTGCGCCCTCCAGCTGGCTCTGGACCGGCACCAGGCTCGGGAGAGGGCAGGGGCCTGACCAAGGCAGGAAGCGGAGGACTGTGACAGAGAGGAGACACACTGCTCATGGTCAGGGCTTGTAGAGGGAGGAGCGATGGGGACTCTGTGCAGGATCTGCTTCCCTTCTCTCCAGGACCTGCCTCGAGGTGCCCCAGGCCCCGGAAAGCTCTTGCAGAATTGCAGCTTGGACTGGGGCAGGGCTCTCCTTGTGTGTTTTTGGAGAAGATGGGCAGTAGATCGCTCCAGGGACTCTTGGGGATGTAGGGCAGAAGAGAACAGCACTCATTTCACAGCGGGGTGTGGAGAGAATCAGGTGAGCCACAGAGCCCACCCCAGACACAGAAGGACCTCAGAGGGCCCAAGTCCTCAGACCCACACAGAACAGGGGCTGAGGGCACTGAGAAGCCAGCTGTCCTCCTTACACTGAGATGGAAAGCAGAGATGCATCCATCCACACTTCCTGCAGAGCGGCCCAAGCCCCAACCCCACCTCGAGCTCCTGGATGCACTGCTATCAAGAACAATGAGGGGCTGAGGGGATGGCCAGCCTATGTTGCTGACTCCATCATCCTAACCCTCCTTCTGCCTTCTGGTCTCCTCGTGCCTCCTCCCAGATCACCCTTCTCTTCCCAGCGCCCTAAAGCCTGTGGGGTGATGTCCCATTCTGGCTGCTCCAGGTGGGAGATGTGCGCGTGTCTCCCTGCCAGTTACCCAGGCTTCACTCTTCGAACCTGGACCACAGTCTCTGGTGATGTGTGTAGTGGCCACATCATGCAAATATAGTCTCACCATTCCTAGGAGCTAAATGGGTGTGTCTAGTAGGGGCATCAGTTCATCGGGGGAGAGGTGTGCACCTGTATGTGGGGCAGGAGGGTGTGCAAGTTCCTGGAGGTGGGTTACTCCAAGGCATGGGCAGTGCAGAGGGAGCCTCGCCTGGGCTCTTGCCTCTTTCCCAGATGCATCCAATGGGTCTTGGCAAGTTTTGTTTCTCACTCTCCCTCTTCTCCATTTCCCCTGACCCGCCAGGGACTCTCCAAATACCTAGAACCTCTCTAGTGTGGGCAGCCCTCAGATTCGTGAAGAGGAGATCCCGTTCTGGCCAGGCCCTCTCCATCTGGCCACGGCCTCTGCAGCATATGCCTCCAGTGCTGAGCTGCCTAGGAGCCTGCAGCAGCACTTGAGACCTTGTTCCTTCTGCCCCCTGTCCCAGGGGCTCCCTCTTGGCTGCACCCCCTGCTCCATGCTCTCTCACACAGACACGCTGTCAGGAACACCTGTGCTGGGAAGCCTTACCTGTCCTGAGTCTGGAAAGAAGACTAGTTCTGGTTTCCAGGTTGGGGAAGGGTGACTGGAGCCCAGCCTGTGTCTTGGCCTGGCCTGGGATCTGCAGCCCTCCAGCTGGCATGAGTTGCGAGGGCTGGGGGAGCCAGTTATTTGGGCTGGCATGGGGTGGGGACACCTCAGTTCTCCTCTGCCTCCTCACCATGGCTGCCTGTCACAGGCCACGGCCCCTCCCCTTGGTTCAGCAGTGAGAGGTTTATCTGGGAGTTTATCTGGCTCCTGCTGTGGCCATTGTCATCAACACTGCTGTGCCTGCCGTCATCAATAACTTGTTAGTAAAACCTTCATAGGGTTCACAGCTCAGAACTGCACAGCGTTCACAACTTAGAATCTGTGGTGTTTCTTCAGTGCCCATTAGAGCCTCAGGCTGTCTCTGGCTCCTAGAAAGTCATTCTACCATCTGTTTTGTTCACTGCTGTATCCTCAGTGCCTAGAGCAGCAGTTGATACATGGTAGGTGCTCAGTAAATATTTGATAAATGAATGGGAACCTACATTCTAAGAAATGGATCGTCACCCACCAACCACAAAAAAGCATGCAATGCTTTCATGATTCCTAACCCATGTGGACTTTTTGAAGAGCTGATATAAACCACAGACCCTCTCCCAAGAAAAAGGCATACACACACACATGAAAAGTTGCTTACAATAAGGTCTCTGCTTCAGCTATGTGATCAGCAGCCCCAGGGTTGCAGAGGCCAGCGTCTGTCCCCGCAGGCCAGCAAGGCTTGTGAAGGAGGCAAACGTGGGCTTGTGCAGAGTGGGCGGGGACCTTCTCACACAGAAGTGTAGGCAATGCCACTTGTGCTCAGATAAGGTTTGGGAGGAGACTGGGACAAGATCAAGGGCAGGGGGCAGGGGGCAGGAGGCTGGGCTAGTGCTGTGGCCCAGATATTGGCCAGAAGTACAGGGAGGATCTCAGCCAGGGATGGGGAGGCTCCAACAAGACTGAATCTGGGAGCCACGCAGAGCAAGAAGCCAGGGGAGGGGCCGAAGGTAACCCAGCCAGTTTAATGTCTGCTCCTCAGGAGAGATCTGAGTCTTTACCTCATTCCCAACCCTTATCTGAGATGGCTGGAAATAAGCTTCAGGGTCCTGAAGGTGACAGAGTTGGAGGGATTTGTCTAGAAGAGCAAGCATGGTTTCCCTTGAAGCTGGGTAGAAACACAGGAGCAGGGACATCATTCATCAACTTGTCAGAGCTCCTCATGAGGCAAGGGAAGAAAAAGGGGGCCACAAGTGTAGGAGATTGGTCAGAGTGGTGGGAGAAGCTATAGGGAAAGGAGCAGGCCTTCTGAAAGGTTGGAAGGCTCTGCATAGCTTTGGAGGAGAATAGCTAAAGACAGCTGTTCTATAACCCTGAGGCAGAGGGCAAGGAGTAGGTACGAGGGAGTGTGGGGGAATTTATCTTAAACAGGCTTGTTTACTTCTGTTGACCAGGAACTGACCTTTGATCATCTACGCCCATGACCTTCCCTGAAAGGGGAACAATAAATGTTAATTACCTCCAGTGTTTGCTCCAGGCTTTTGGCATTGTGCCTGCACTGAATAAAAGCAAGCAGCTCCAGCTTCTCAGGGCTGCACTTTGGCCACTTGAGCTGGGCAGTCCCCTAGCTGCTCTTACACTGCATACCTGTGTCTGAGTACACATTTCATCCACTGCTCAGCCAGGGTCGCTCCTCAGTGAGGAGGTATCTGAGTCCTTACCTCATTTCCAACTCTTGTCTGAGATGGCTGGAAATAAGCTTCAAGGTCCTGAAGGTGACAGAGTTGGAGGGATTTGTCCAGAAGAACAAGCATGGTTTCCCTTGAAGCTGGGTAGAAACACAGGAGCAGGGGCATCATTCATCAGCTTGTCAGAGCCCCTCATGAGAGAAAAAGGGGGCCACAAGCCTGTCACATAGGGCTGCACAGGTTGTGCACTGCACAACTTCAGGGGATCCTGTTCACATGAACTGATGGTGTGAATTTGTCTCTTGGAGTTGTGTGACCTAGCAGCCCTGGGAGCACAGCCTCAACTGAGTATGAGGACAGAGGCTGGTTCAAATATCAGGCCCCCTGGTTCCTTCGATGCAGCTCGGCATTCACAAGAATCTCCTGCAGAAAATCGAAGAGCAAGTATCCTTTCCATTCCTTGGATGGTGCAGCACTGGGAGAAGGGCCTCAGGTACTGGCAGGTGGCTGGTGGGCATGGGTAACCCCCGCCTTCTCTGAGCCCAGGCCATGCAGCTAACATTGCTCAGTTGGTGGTGGTAATCAGCTGAGGCTTTAAATGAAATTTCCTTCATTTCAGATGAAACCATTCTTGCAGAGGAGAAAAGCAGGGCACACTGCATACCCTGCAGGAATCTATCTTTCCCTAGCACCTCTGTCCTGTAAAACTCCACAGGGACACCCAACAAACGGGGCAAGGAGTCCTGGAATTTTCTCCATGAAGGACAGGGGTCTGTAGGGGGCTGTCCTGGGAGTCAGGGAGGCTGTTAACCACTAGAGGTCAGGGCTGGGGACTGATTTTTTTTTCCTATTAGGAAAGCTGAGGCACAGGAAATATTAAGCGGTGAATGACTCACTATGTTAAAAAGCCAGTTACTTTAGTAAGATTTAGGTCTTGGTTTTGAAAAAGATGTACAGTTGCTTTTCGACTTACAATGAGGTTACATCTCAACCCATTGGAAAGTCAAAAAACTGTAAGTCAAACCATTCAGTTGGGGACCATCTGGATAAATATGTAATAAAGGCCACTGTTTTAAAAGTCTACCAACACTAGGTGGCGAGCTTTGGCAAAGTAAGTGGTAAAAGGAGGCGAAGTTGGAGAAAGAGGAAAAGACAAAGGGGAGGAAAATATGAGTAAGGAAGAGAAGGGATGGGGAGCTACCCAGAAGGGGGGCCACCCGGGTGGGGAGAGGCAGGCAGGTGCTCTTGAGAGAGGCTCTGGCTGATTTGCTGGCATTCACAAGTCCTCGTGGCTCTTTATCCTTTGACCCCAGAGTGATGGATCTCACCTGGGTTGCACCTTGAATTCACCTGGGGAGCTTTAAATGCCTGATGCCTGCCCTGGCTCTGCTTGGTCTACTGCGGGGCATCTTTGTCATCCCACCACCCCCACTGGGCTCCTCTGGACCATGGTGGCTGAGGCTTCCACAGGAGGGTCCAGGTGGCCCTTGCTTGTGCATCGTCTAGTTCGGGTTGGTACCGTTGAAGCCCCTTCTTGCTTTTCCTTCCTCCCTCTGGCCTCAGCGCTTCTGCTGTCCTTGTCCTCCTGTCCTCTCTTCGGGTCCCTGAACACTGCCAGAATTTCCTGGAGGCACCTTAAGTCCTCTAAGGGCCTATAGATTTTCAGTTCCATCTTGGGTACCAGGAAACACTGTGCCATGCCCCAGGTCTCCTTTCACTCCCCACCCCAACCTCTCCATTTATTTTACCATCGCTGGGTTTCAAAGCAAGTCCTGGGGCTTGAGACACACTTGTTTTCTGTTTGCCATGCTTCGTCTTTCTCCCCCGCCTTCCTGCTTTCTGGTTTGATTTTTTTCTTTTCCCCTCTGCTGGTTTGAATGTTATGCATCCTATTTCCACCATTCTGGTGGTTCCTCTTGTCAATTTCATTGACGTATCATTTATATGCAATAGCACACATTCTAAGTGTACAGTAAGTGTACAAGAGAGTAAGTGCACAGTTCAATGAATTCTGATTTATATACATGTGTAACTACCACCACAGTCACGATATGGAACATTTCCATCACCCAAAATGTTATCTTGCGTTCCGTCCCAGTCAGTTTCCCCACTCCTGGCCCCAGGTGACTACTGATCGGCTTTCTCCCACAATGGATTTGTCTTTTCCAGAGTTTCATACAAATGGAATGGTATAGTCGAAAAATTATTACCTTGAACCACTTAAAATTTTTTTGACTTACAATTCGTTGACTTTTTGACTCATTGTGTCCAGCTTCTCTCACTCAACACGTTTTGCGTTTGCGAGTCATCCCTGTTGCTGTGTCTGTAGTTCTTTCCTTAGTATAACTCACTAGGATGTATGTAGATATCCCACAATGTTTATCCATTCCCCTGCTGATGGAAATTTGGTTTATTTCCAAATTTAGCTTCATTAAAAGTCTTCTTACGGCCAGGTGCGGTGGCTCACGCCTGTAATCCCAGCACTTTGGGAGGCCGAGGCGGGTGGATCACGAGGTCAGGAGATCGAGACCACCCTGGCTAACACACTGAAACCCCGTCTCTACTAAAAATACAAAAAATTAGCCAGGCGTGGTCGTGGGCGCCTGTAGTCCCAGCTACTCAGGAGGCTGAGCCAGGAGAATGGCGTGAACCATGGAGACAGATCTTGCGGTGAGCTGAGATCGCGCCACTGCACTCCAGCCTGGGTGACAGAGCGAGACTCTGTCTCCGAAAAAAAAAAAGTCTTCTTACTTAAACATTCATTCATTCATGCATTCATTCAGAGACAGTCTCACTCTGTCGCCCAGGCTGGAATGCAGTGGCATGATCTTTCCTCACTGCAACCTCTGCCTCCCGCATTCAAGCGATTCTTCTGCCTCAGCCTCCCGAGTAGCTGGGACTACAGGTGTGTACCACCATGCCTGGCTAATTTTCGTATTTTTAATAGAGACAGGTTTCACCATGTTGGCCAGGCTGGTCTTGAACTCCTGACCTCAAGTGATGCACCCACCTCTGCCTCCCAAAGTGCTGGGATTACAGGCATGAGCCACCACACCCAGCCTAAACTTTTATTTTTTTAAAGTCCCATTAAAAAGTCCACCAGTCTCTATTGTCTCTCCCCAAACAAGACAAGCATCCTGGCATGCTTGTAGCTTCCTGTTTCCTGCCCTATGTGCCGCTCCCCAACCACCCAAACATTCTACTAATCACCTGGAATCTTATTTCCAGTGTATTAAAAACTGCAAAATAGAAATTTTTATTTCCACTTTACAATATAGTTTCTTGATTTAGTTGCTTGTCATTGCTTCTTGTAACTCCTTTCTTTCTTTTGCGTTTGCTTTTCTTTTTAGTGGAGTGCAAAATTGAATATTTAATGAAGGGTGTGTGGATGGTAAATATTCTGACTGCTTATATGTCTAGAATTCTCTTTTCTTGCCCTGACTTATGAGTAATAGCCTGGAAGAGTATAGAATTCTTGGTTCATGCTTGCATATGCTCAGATGTTAATGCCTTCTTGCATTTGATATTGCTGATATGCAATCTGATGGCAGCTGGAGTCCCCATTGCAGGTCATTTGTCTGTAACTTTTAGGACTTTGTCTTTTATTTTATTTATTTATTGTTTTCTGAAATGAGGTCTCACTCTGTCACCCAGGCTGGAGTACAGTGGCAGATGATGGCTCACTGCAGCCTCAACCTCCTAAGCTCAAGCGATCCTCCCACCTCAGCCTCCCAAGAAGCTGGGCCCACAGGCATGTGCCACCATTCCTGGCTATTTTTATTTTTATTTTTAATTTTGTAGAGACGGGGTCTCCCTATGTTGCTCAGGCTGGTGTCCAACTCCTGGGCTCAAACAATCCTCTGACCTCGGCCTTACAAAGTGATAGGATTACAGGTGTGAGTCACCATACCCGGCCTGTCTTTGATTTTTAAAGTTTAACTTTGGCCAGGCTCTATGGCTCGCATCTGTAATCCCAACACTTTGGGAAGCCAGGCAGGAGGATCACTTGAAGCCAGGAGTTAAAGACAAACCTGGTCAACAAAGCAAGACTTCATCTCTATAAAAAATTAGCTAAGCATGATGGTGCACACCTTAGTTCCAGCTATTTGGGAGGCTGAGGCAAGAGAACTGCTTGAGCCCAGAAGGAGTTCGAGGCTGCAGTGAGCCACGATTGCATCACTGCACTCCAGCCTGGGTGACAGAGCAAAACTCTGTCTCAAAAAAAAATAATAAAATCAAAAAGTTTAATTTTGATTTTTCTAAAGTGTAAAGGTAAAAAATTATCAGTGAGCTCTTTCAACTTCTGGATGTATGTCTTTTTGAAGCTCTAAGAAATTACCTGTCAATTTTATCACAACTGCTGTTCATCCTCCCTTTCTGGAATTCATATTAACTGGATGTAGGAATATCTGAATCAACGCTGTGTATCCCTAAACTTTCCTCTTATGCATTCTATCTTTTCATTGTGCTGTATTCCGGGGGATTTTCTTAGCATGATTTTCCAGATCATGAACACAATCTTCTGTGTCCAGTCCGCTCCTGGATTCATCTTTTGGGGTTTCTGTTTAACTTGACTATCACATTTTTCATTTTAAGTTCTCTAAGCGGATCTTTTCCAAAACTACGTGTTTTCATTTCCTGAATAGGCTTCACTCCTTTCACTGTGATGATGTTAGCGTATGTATTTTAACACGTTTTTCTGATTGTTCTGTGACTGGATTCCTTGGGGGTAGGTTCTTTGTTGCCTCTCTTTCATGGATGCTGCCTTCTTTATGTATTTGGTGACTGTTGGTTGTAACCTCATCTCTGAGAGAGTTCCTTGCATGCCCTGGGCTGTGATGGCTCCTGGCTGCGTGTCCTTGGCCATGCCGTGGTAATGATGGCTGGCCTGCAGGTGGCAGTGTGGGACTTGGGGCTGGGGAGGCTGAAGCTATGCTGCTGGGGGACTCACACAGCCTTGAAGGGATGCTGCAGCCCCTGGGTAACAGTAGCAGCCTTGGCATGGAGGGCCGGGTAGCGTGCCAGTGTGTTCCATTGGGCTGCCCGTTTACCTCCTTCATTCAGGGCTGCCTCTGCGTTTCTGACTCATGAAGAGTTCTCTTTCTTGCTTTGAATCATGGGTTATTAATTTATTAACCTATGTTTTTATCTTTTCTATTATTAATATGACGGGCTTGGTATAGGGGGTCCTCCAAACCTCATATTGAAATTTAATCCCCAGTGTTGAAGATGGGTCCTAATGGGAAGTGTTCGGTTATGGGACCAGATCCCTCAAGAATAGGTTATTGCCCTCTTTCTTGGGGGCTGGGTGAGTTCCCACTCTATTAGTTCCTCCAAGAGCTGGTTGTTAAAAAGAGCCTGGCACCTCCCCCATCTCTTGCTTTCTCTCTCACTCTGTGATCTCTGCACACAAAGGCTCCCCTTGCCCTCTGCCACGAGTGGAAGCCGTCTGAGGCCCTCACCAGAAGCAGACGCAGATGCTGGCACCATGCTCTTTGAACAGCCTGCCTTGAAGAGCCATGAGCCAAATGAACCTGTTTTCTTTATAAATTACCCAACTTCAGGTATCCTTTCATAGCAACACAAACTAACTAAGATGGGGATGAGTAAAATGTTACAAAGGAAAAGTTGTGTTTCAAGATGAAAGACAGAGAACAGGCTAAGATCACCCTCAACATTTTAAAAAAATTATTTTCAATTACACAGTAAATTTTCTGAATTTGTCTTTTTAAGAAATGATTTAAGTTAAATTAACTATTCTACATCTGAAACAATGAAGAAATTTTAGGCATGAATTGTTTTATACATTTTATTCTATTAATATTTGAGTTTTTTGATTACTCATGTATTTTTTTTCTTTTTTTGAGACGGAGTCTCACTCTGTTACCCAGGCTGGAGTGCAGTGGTGCGATCTCCGCTCACTGCAAGCTCTGCCCCCCTGGGTTCAAGTGATTTCTCCTGCCTCAGTCTCCCAAGTAGCCAGGATTACACGCACATGCCACCACACCCTGCTAATTTTTGTATTTTTAGTAGAGACGGGGTTTCACCATGTTGGCCAGGCTGGTCTTGAACTCCTGACCTCAGGTGATCCGGCCACCTTGGCCCCCCAAAGTGCTGGGATTACAGGCGTGAGCCACTGCACCTAGCCGATTACTCAGGTATTTTTCAATCCCCAAATGCACCATCAATCTGTGCTGACATCCACTCTTCCTCTTCACCAGCTGAATCAGAGGGTGGACTAATTGGACCTGACATGTGCAAGGATAAGGAGCTTTGTAACCTGAGAGCTGCCAGGGCTCCCTAAGTCTCTCAGGGACCTGCTCACGGGTTGCCGTGAAGGTGAACTGAAATAAGATGTGGAGCGTGGTAAGCACAGTGGCCGGCACACTGGGAGTCCTCAGTAGAAGTGGTTATTATTTCACACAGGGTGCTGATTGCGCTAAGCTGCCCAGGAGTGGCCTCTTGGCTGTTCCTAAGTGACTCAGTCCTCATTACTCCCCACTTTCTGCCAGGTGTATTCAGAGCAGCTTGGCTCAGACCTGGCCTTATTGCTGCCACACTGGTGGGGGTTGGGGTGGTGGTGGCCAGAGTGACCAGTCCTCTGGTCTTAACCCTCACCTAGGCCAGGGGTAGGACCCGGCCTTCTGGGACATTTCACAGGACTGGCTCCTCATCTTTGCCCATGGATCTGCCTCATCTCCCTCCCTCATCTGCTGGCCTGGGGGGAGGTGTCTACTTTTGTGTTTCCCCGTGTGCATGCCTGGCCTTTGCTTTTTCTTTTGTGAGCTGTGCCAGGGGCTCCTGGTGGTGCTGGCTGGCCTCAAAGAGCTGAGGGAAAAGCACTCGGTGTGGAGCCACCCAGAGGGTAGAGCCTGGATGCCTTCATAGATCCCTGCCTTGCTGAGATCGGGAGATTCAAGCTCCCATCCTGTGTGACTGCTGCTGCCACCACCCAGGGAGTAGGTATCTTTGTTAAGAGCTGGGCTTGGAGTAGAGCCAGAGTCAGGGTAGGAGGGGCCTGAAGCCCAGAGCTGTACTCTCATATTCCTGAATGGGAGATGCCAAGCTCCTCAGCCCCCAAGGTGGCTGGAAGGGCCTGGGCTGTTAGAATCTGCTGTGATTTGAAACATGATGTCCCCTCCAAAATTCATGTTGAAAGTTAGTTCCCAGTGCAACAGTATTAACAGATGGGGACTTTGAGAGGTGATTAGACCATGAGGCCTCCACCCTCATGAATGGGGATTAGTGATCTTACAGAAGGGATTCAGGAGGCAAGTTTGCCCTTTCTGACCCATCTGCCAAGTGAGGACACAGTGTTCTTCCTTCTGGAGGATAAAGCCATAGGATGCCACATGGGAAGCAGACAGCAGCCCTCACCACGCAACCCACTGACACCTTGAGAAATACATTTCTGTTCTGTATAAATCACCCAGGCTACAGTGTTCTATTAGAGCAGCACAAACCGAAGACAGGAGCCTTGCTGTCATTCTCCAACCACCTGCAGACTTGTATGTTTACCCCAGTGTACCACATCGATGCCTTCACTTTCCAGGAGTGCCTTCACATGGAAACAGGTGGGAAGTACAGGCTTAAGGGACTGCCAGCCCATCCTCAGCCATACATTTTTGGATCACTTGCTATGATCAACAGCTACAAGGCTACACACTTCATACAAACCCCCTTCTCTGTCCTCACCACACTGACAAGAGGCTCCCCAGATGCACCTGCAGGGTTCACACTTAGTAGAAGCCCGCTGTTGATCCAGGCTTTGGTGCCTCCTCATTGCCCCTGCTCCTGATCTGTGTCTTCCTCTGAGTGAGAGCTGTTGCAGGCAGGCTGCCTTCTCAAGTCTCCCTTGGGGTCCCATATCCTGGCTACAGAGGGGGCCTACATGTCACCAGGGTCACTATCCTGGGTTTCTCATCTTATTTCCCAGACTGAACCTGGCTACTGAAGTCTTGACCTTGGGCATCTAGACCTGAGCTGGGTCTAGACAAGCAGTTCCCGACTGGAGCTCTCAGAGGAGGCTTGCTGTGGGAACCAGCTGACCCTGGGGAATTGGAAATGAGAGGCATTTGGGGCCCCAGGGGTAGAGATTGCCTTTCATTGAGTGCCGTTACAGCCAGGGATTTGCCACCACAGCCTGTGTCATCCTGAGCTTCTAGTGTTTCCTGCTAGGTGTCCCAGAGGACTTTATCCATTAGCAGATGGAAGTGCCCTACTATAGGCTGGAGGAGCTCAAGGCTGCAGGAATGGGGTAGGTGGGCAAAAGAGCAGCTAGGGAGCAGCCTGGGCGTCCAGGACTGTTCTGGAACCTGCTCACTGGGGGGTCTGAGGCATGGAGGAAGCTACTTCCTTATGGTGCAGGGCTCTCAGCTCTGTCTGTAGTTCCACGGCCCTTCTCCGATGCTCCCCATCCCAAACCTTCTTACTACCAATGGGTCCTAGTTTACCAACCAGAGAGGGGGTCAGCAATCTGAGGCTGCTCTTCCTGCAGAGGATCCCAAGTCACAGTCATCCTAGAGGCTCCTTCCCTGGCGCCCTTTATCACAAGCCTAGTGAGTGGCTTCTGCAGAGCTGGTGAAGCCACTGGGGGATTCCTTCCTGGTGAGTTCAGCACGAGTGGAAATAGAGTTGCAGGGAGCCCTGGGAGAAGGTTGAGCTAAGCTGGAAGGGACGTCAGAGGCTAGCTAGGTCAAGTCTCTCATTTTAGGATGAAGAGTAATGTCCCCTTTCATTTCTGATGTTGCTCGCTTGTGTTTTCTCTCTGCTTGATCAGTCTAGCGAAGAGATTTCTCAATTTTATTAAATATTCAAGAAGAGCTAACTTTTGCTTTTGTTTATTCATTATTTTCCCATTTTCTATTTAAATAAATTTTGTTCTTTTTTACTTCCTTCTAATTACTTTGAGTTTAATTTGCTCTTTGTCTAGCTTCTTAAGACAGAAGCTGACCATTTCAACTCAGTGGTTTCCTTTCTTAAAAAGCAGCTTTATTGATGTATAATTGACGTACAAAGAACTGCACATGTTTAATATGTAAAATTTGATGAGTTTGGACGTAGGCAAACACCTGTGATACTATCACCACAATCAAGTCAACACAGTCAACACCTAAAAAAGTTCCTGGTGTTCTTTTGTTTTTGTTTCTGCTTTGTTTTGTTTTTGTTTCCGCTTTGTTTTATTTTTGTTTCTGCTTTGTTTTGTCTTTGTGGTAAGAACACTTAAGGTGAGATCTGCCCTCTAACAAATTCTGAATTCTACAATACCATGTTGTTAACTGTAATACTATGTTGTACAGCAGATCTCCAGAACTTAATTGTCTAGCAAAAGTGAAACTTTATACCCATTGAACAACAATTCCTCATTTCTCTCACACCTAAACTCTGGCAACTACTATGGTACTCTCTGCTTCTATGAGTCTGACTCTTAAAAAATAAATTCCATGAGTCTGACTCTAAAAAATACTGTCATAAAGACAGGCGTATAGACCAATGGAACAAAATAGAGAGCCCAGAAGTAAACATATGTATATGTGGTCAATTGATCTTTGACGAAGGTACCAAGAATATGCAATGAGACAGAGAGGAAATATAGTCTCTTCAAACAAATGTGCTGGGAAAATTGGATATCCACATGCCAAAAAAAGAGAAAATGAAAATGAAGTTAGAACACTACTTTACGCTGTACACAAAAATTAAATGAATTGAAGACTTAAATGTTAGACATGAAACTGTAAAACTCCTAAAAGAAACTATAGGGGAAATTTTCTTGACATTGGCATTGGTAATAATTTATTGGATATGACTCTAAAAGCACAGGGAACAAACCTGAAAATAGATAAATAGGACTACATCAAACCAAAAAACTTCTGCATACCAAGGAAGCAATTAACAGAATGTAAAGGCAACCTACAGAATGGGAGAAAGCATTTGTAAATCATATATCTGATAAGGGTTAATTTCTAAAATATATAAGGAAATCCTGCAACTCAATAGCAAAAAACAAAAACAACAAAAATAACCTGATTTTAAACTGAGTAAAGGACTTGAACGAAATCTCTGCAAAGAAGACATGTGAAATGGCTAACAGATATATGAAAATATGCTCAACATCATTAATTATCAGCCTGTCCCCTCCCCTCCCCTCTTCTCCCCTCCTATCTCTCCCTCTCTTCCTCTCTTCCTCCCTCCCTCCCTCCCTCTCTCTCTCCCTCCCTCTCTCTCTCCCTCTCTCCCCCCGCCGCCCCTCGACAGGGTCTTGCTCTGTCGTTCAGGCTAGAGTGCAGTGGCATGATCTTGGCTTACTGCAGCCTTGACTTCCTGAGCTAAAGTGATCCACCTCAGCCTCCTGGGTAGCTGGGACTAGAGGTGTGCGCCACCACGCCCAGCTAAATTTTTATATATATATAGAGAGAGAGAGATATAGATATTTGTGTGTGTGTGTGTGGAGATAGGGTTTCACCATGTTGTCCTGGATGGTCTCAGACTCCTGGGCTCAAGCTATCTGATGACCTTGGCCTCCCAAAATGCTAGGATTACAGGCATGAGCCACCACACCCAGCCCAGGTTATTTTCTAACATATGCATTTAGAGCTATACACTTCCTTCAAGCACTGTTTAATCTTACACCAGTCAACATGGCTATTCTTAAAAACTCAAAAAATAACAGATGATGGTGAGGTTGTGGAGAAAAGGGAATGCTTATACACTGTTGGTGGGAGTGCAAATTTATTCAGCCCCGGTGGAAAGCAGTTTGGAGATTTCTCAAAGGAGTAAAAATAGAATTACCATTTAACCCAGCAATCCTATTACTGGATATATACCTGAAGGAAAATAAATTGTTCTGCCAAAAAGACACCTGCACTTTTATGTTTATCACAGCACTATTCACAATAGCAAAGACATGGAATCAACCCAGGTGCCCATCAATGGTGGATTGGGTAAAGAAAAATGTGGCACATATACGCTATGGAATACTACACAGCAATAAAAAAGAATGAAATCATGTCCTTTGCAGCAACTTGGATGCAGCTGGAGGCCATTATCCTTAGCAAATTAACACAAACGGAAAGCCAAACACTGCATGTTCTTACTCATAAGTGGGAGCTAAACATTAGATATGCATGAACACAAAGACAGGAACAATAAACACTAGGAATTCCAAAAGCAGGGAGAAAGGAAGGGGGCAAGGGTTGAACAACTACCTATTCAATACTTGTGAAATGGGAAAAGTTCCCTTATCCCCCTGCAGGGCGTGCGATGGGGGTGTGGCTCGCTGCTCAAATCTCTAGGGGAGCATACAGACAGGTTGTGGGGTTCCGACCACATGGCAGTGTCTAGGGGGTGAATGTTTACAGCTGAAGCCCCAGTGGGCGTGTGTTATGGTGTGCTCTTTCAGTTTTGCCATCTTTAGGTGGCTTGTGTCTTCTTCCATGGCTGAGTTCCTCTCAACATCCAGCTGCTTGGCCCGCTAGTGTCTCAGGGTATTTATAGGCACAGGATGGGAGTGTGGCAGGCCAGGGTGGTCTTGGGAAACACAACATTTGAGCACAAAATGGGGATGGAGCCCTCGCCAGGGACCCCGCCCTTCTCTAACCAGAACTTCCCTGTCCCATCCCATATCATTTGGGCGAAGTACTTGGGTTAGAAGCCCAAACCTCAGCATCATGCAATATACCCATGTAACAAACCTATACGTATACCTCCTGAATCTAAAATAAATAAATGGGCTGGATGCAGTGGTTCATGCCTGTAATCCCAGCACTTAGGGAGGCTGACACACAAGAATTGCTTGAACCCGGGAGGCGCAGGTTAGGAGTTCAAGACCAGCCTGGCCAACATGGTGAAACCCGGTCTTACTAAAAATACAAAAAATTAGCTGGGCATGGTGGCACGTGCTTGTAATCCCAGTTACTCAGGAGGCTGAGGCAGGAGAATAACTTGAACCCAGGAGGCAGAAGTTGCAGTGAGTCAAGATTGCACCACTGCACTCCAGCCTGGGTGACAGAGCGAGACTCCATCTCAAAATAAATAAATAAATAAATATAATAAAATAAGTAAGTAGAGGCCGGGTGTGGTGGCTCGTGCCTGTAATCCCAGAACTTTGGGAGGCTGAGCTGGGCTGATGGCCTGAGCTTAGGAGTTCAAGACCAGGCTGGCCACCATGGCGAAACCCCGTCTCTACTAAAATACAAAAAATCAGCTGGGTGTGGTCGCAGGTGCCTGATGGCCAGCTACTCAGGAGGCTGAGGCACAAGAATTGCTTGAACCTGGGGAGGCAGAGGTTTCAGTGAGCCGAGATTGTGCCACTGCACTCTAGCCTGGGTGACAAAGCAAAACTCTGTCTCAAAAAATAATAATAATAAAAATAAGTATATATTTATTACATTGGGGGAAATTGATGTCATAAAGTCATCAATTTCCCCCAATGTAATTCAATTAAAAATAACTATTTTTTTAAGCTAGGGAAGTTAATTGTAAAGTTTATATGAACAGATAAACTTGCAGGAGCCAGGCACGGTGGCTCACACCTATAATCCTAGTACTTTGGGAGGCTGGGGCAGGAGGATCGCTTGAGGCCAGGAGTTTGAGATCAGCCTGGGCAATATAGTGAGACCCCATCTCTTGAAAAAGCAATAATTATGGTGTGAATGGGGGGCAGGGGATGAGCCTTATCAAACATTAAAACATGATAAAGGCCTTATAATTAAAATTATATGCTGCTGACACATAACCAACAGAACAGAATACACAGTATAAAAATAGATGGCAATACATATGAACATTTAGTGTAAACTATACATGATAAGTCACTGAAGAAGAAAATGACTTTTAAATAAGGACATTGTGATAACCAGATAGTTATTTGTAAAATAAAATAAAATTGGATTCACATGCTCCATACCATGTACTAGAAAAACTCCAAGTGAACAAGCAATTATGGCAAGGTTGCAGGACACAAGTTTAATATCTAAAAGTCTATCACTTTCCTATATACCAGCAATGAATGAGTGGAATTTGAAATTAAAAAACACAATACTATTTAGCATCCCCACAAATGAATACTTAGGTATAAAGCTAAAAAATATGCACAACATCTATATGAGGAAAACTATAAAACCACAATGAAAGAAATTTAAAGAACTAAGTAAATGGAGAGATATTCCATATTCATAGTTAGGAAGATGCAATATTGTCAAGATGTCAGTTCTCCACAACTTGATCTATAGTTTTAATGCACTTCCAATCAAAATCCCAGCAAGCTATTTTGTGGATACTGACAAACTGATTCGAAAGTTTGTATGGGGAGGCAAGAAACCCCGAGTAGCCAAAACTACATTAAAGAAGAACAAAGTTGGTAGACTGACACTATCTAACTTAAAGACTAACTATAAAGCTATGATAATCAAGACAATGTGATATTGGTGACAGAAGTTAAGGGGGAGGAAGGGATGAAGACACAGCACAGAGACAAATAGATCAATGGAACAGAATGACAGCCCAGAAATAGACTTACATAAATATACGATCTTTGACAATGGAGCAAAGGCAATACAATAAAGCCGAGTCTTTTCAACAAATGATGCTGGGGCAGCTGGACATCCACATGCAAAAAAAAAAAAAAAATAATGGCTAGACACAGACCTTATACTCTTCACAAAAATTATCTCAAAATGGATAAGAGACTTAAATGTAAAATGTAAAACTATAGAACTCTTAGAAGATAACGGGAGAAAATCTAGATGACTTAGGGTTTTGCAATGACTTTTTGGATACAATACCAAAGGCAACATCCATGAAAGAAATAATTGATAAGCTGGATTTTATTAAAATAAAACATTTCTTGGCCAGGCGTGGTGGTGCACACCTGTAATTCTAGCACTTTGGGAGGCTGAGGCGGGTGGATCACCTGAGGTCAGGAGTTTGAGACCAGCCTGGCCAACATGGTGAAACCGCATCTCTACTAAAAATACAAAATTAGCTGGGCATGGTGGCGCATGCCTCTGATCCCAGCTACTTGGGAGGCTGAGGCAGGAGAATTGCTTGAACCCGGGAGGCAGAGGTTGCAGTGGGCCGAGATTGTGCCACTGCACTCCAGCCTGGGCAATAGAGTGAGACTTTGTCTCAAAAAACAAAAAACAAAAAAAACATTTCTGCTCCTCAAATGACACTGCCAAGAGAATGAGAAGAGAAGCCACAGACTGGAAGAAAATATTTGCAAAAGACATATCTAATAAAGGACTGTTATCCAAAATACAAAGTACTCTTAACACTTGATAAAAAGAAAACAACCCTATTAAAAAATGGGCCAAAGACCTTAACAGACACCTCACCAAAGAAGAAATACAGATGACAGGTACGCATATGAAAAGATGCTCCGTATCATACATCATCAGGGAAATGCAAATTAAAGGAACAATGAAATAGTACTACACATCTATGAGAATGACTAGATCCAGAACACTAACGACACCAAATGCTGGCGAAGACATGGAGCAACAGGAACTTCCACTCATTAATGGTGGGAATGCAAAATGATTCAGTCACTTTGGATACAAATCTGAAGGTTTCTTAAAAAACGAAACATATTCTCCATTTCATTTTGGAATATTTACCCAAAAGAGTTGAAAACTTATCTCTTTACAAAGACTGCACATGAATGTCTATAGCAGCTTTAGCTATAATTGCTAAACCTTAGAAGACACCAAGCTGTCCTTCAGTGAGTGAATTGATGAGCAAGCTGGGGTACATCCAGACAATGGAATATGATTCAGCACTAAAAAGAAATAAGCATTCAAGCCTTGAAAAGACATGGAGGAAACTTAATGTGTATTACTACGTGAAAGAAGCCAGTCTGAAAAGAGTACAGAGTATGATTTCAATTGTATGACATTCTGAAAAAGGAAAAACTAAACGACAGTAAAAAAAAAAATCAGTGATTGCCAAGCGTTAGGTGGGAGGGAGGGATGAAGAGGCAGAGCACAGAAGCTTTTGAGGGTAGTGAATCTACTCTATATGACACTGTAGTGCTGGTTACATGTGGTTACATGTGTCTGAATCCAGAAAATGCAACATTTCTATGTTTCCAAGCATGAAGCCTGGCTTGTTCCCAACCTTGAGACCTCAGCTTACTAGATGGGTGGAAGCCTTCTGTGACCTGCTCTTAATCTCCTCTCTCCTTGGAGGCAGGGAAGCCAATTACACCTTTGTGACTTTTCCTCACCCTATTCTCTGTACTACATGATGTTCAAGGTGAAAGACTTTTACGACCACTTGTTGCACCTGTGCGGCCACAGCGCCATGCTGCAGACCTTGAGGACTTCCCTGATGCACTGGGTCCTGGGATGAGGGGTGGAGGGAAGTCTCCAGAGACCCTTATCTGACCCAGAACCCCCAGGACCCTGAGGGCTACACTCTGTCCCTGCAAAGGCTGGGGATTTAACCCAACCTGCAAGTGGGCATAGCCACAGCCCTCCCTGGGCTGGAGTTTCCCAGCTCTCCTAGGCTTGGGCCACGTCTGCAGCTTGTCTCCCTGCCCAGGGAGCCACATCCCACCTAAAGCTCTCCTTTACATTTATGGCTTCAGAGAAGCCAACAATAAACTCCTCCCCAGACCTATATAGAATACTGGTTCAACCAAACAAAGCATTCACACTAATTATGTTTATGCACAAGCAGGATGAATTTGAAGTGCAGGCCAGAGGAGCCAGCCTAGGGAGTGGGGGCAGGAAGAGGCAGGGATTGCTTAATCTGAGGGGCGACTTCAGGTACAGAGAGGAACATGAACCATCAGGCATCATAGCATGTCCCAAGGACACTCACTTCCTGTTTCCCATTCAAGCTCCATGATCTAAGAATTTCATGTCAACCTGGAACTGCGGCTGCCCTCACCCAGGTGGTGCACAACACAGATTTGGGACAGATCCTCTCAGGACCCTCCCTCTAAGAAAGCCCAGCATTAGGGAAGGGGCCTGTGTTAGTTCAGGTGCTCTAAAGTGGCCAAGATGGGATTATTTGTGCCAGAGACTTGTTAAAGTAAACACCTGTGAATGAGGAAGGAAAGGGGCAGGAGAGCCTTCAGATTGTAATACCATTTGGACACCTATGAAAGGAGACAGGGAAGGAAGGGGCGATGGAAGGAAGGGCCTCAGACTCAGTTCTAAGAAAATTCCAGCCCGGCTGATGGGAGTCCTGGAGCCATAGTTGCCCATTAGAGGGGTCCCATATCCCACAGGAATGGGCAGACACTAGTGCCCCACCACGTTCTGTCTTTGGCTAGGAGTAACTCAAGAAAGCGTGGCCTTGGTGTGAACGCAGTGATAGCTCCAGAGGGTGGCCAGGGACTGGTGGTCACTATAAGCCTGCAGCAGGTTCTTTTGAAGGAGGTCTGATTTTCATGCTTGCCACAGGGTCTTCGGTGTTTCCCATTTCTTTCTGTCTTCTGCATTTATTTTGGGTTTTCTCTCTGTGTTCCCTATTTTATCACAAACTCTTGTTTTTAATAATATTGTTATATAGCCTCTGTTGAATACTTGTTTTGTGTCAAACATTTTACATATGTGTTTTCCTTTATCCTCACAATTCTGTGAGGGAGGTAATATTATTCATGTTTTATAGATGTAGAGACTGAGGCTCAGAGAATTGTTATTTATCCAAGAACATTAAAGTCAAAAGTGACAAAGCCATACCTTGAACTCAAACTCAGGGCTTTTTTTTTTTTTTTAATTCCAACACCCAAAGAATTAGCCACCATACTACCGTATGCCTTTGAGCACTTGGCTTTTTTTTTTCGCATCTTGTGTTTTAGGCATGAATGTGGAGAAAGTAAGGGGCCTGAGTTCAACAACAACAACAAAAAGTCTTTGCATTTGGGAAACTTCCAATGAAGCCAGATACAGGGCTGACAGGAGTGCCTTCAGCCTCCAGAGTGAGCTGGGCTGAGCCCCAGGGATAATATGTGTGTGTGTGTGTGTGTGTGTGTGTGTGTATCTGTGTGTATCTACCCTGATCTGACTGGCTGCTGTTACACCCAGGCCCTGAAACCCTGAGGGCCCCCTCAGCTCCACCCTGATCTGGGTGAGGACAGGCTTCCAGTGTGGATTGCACAAGGTACTTCTTGCAACCTGTGGACCCCTCCAGGGCCAGGCCCAGAGCCAGCCGGCAGAGCTCAAGCTCAGGACTAGGGCAGGGAGGTCCAGCAGGCTGTTAGTCACCAGTACCAGGGCTGGCCTGTCACTTGGCCTATTCTGCCCAGTCTGCAGTGCAGCTGAGCCCTTTCGGGAGTAGGCACAAAGGGTGAGCATCTTTATGCTAATGACAGTGCTGACCACTCGCAGAAGGACTGAACAACCAGATGAGTGGGATGGATCGTCCAGTGGTTGTCAATCAGCCCTGTCCTCAGCCATCTTAATGTTTGTGCTCCCAAATGGAGCAGAGATGGAGGCAGTACAGGGGTCCAATAGCATAGGATCCCCATTCCAAGACTGACCTAGCTACTGACACTGCTGATTGTCGAACCTGCCAGCTGCAAAGACTGACACCGAGTCTGCAATAAGGCACCCAGGAGCTCAACTGACCGCTGATGGCAAGCTGATTATACAGGACCCCTTCTGTCCTGAAAAGGACAATTCATACTTACTGAAATGGACACACATTCTGTATGTGGATTACCTTTCCGGCTTCCTGCACCTCAGCAAGCACGACAATCCAACGACTTACACAATGTCTAATCTACATATGACTGTGCATAACAGCAACTTAGAGTAAGGGAGGCAGTGTGGTGCATATCACATCAACCACCAACTATTGCCCAATAGAGTGGCGAGATGGCCTCCTGAAGATGCATGGAGGAGCTAGTTTGGGGATAGTGTGCTATCTTCAGGATGCAATACACATCTGAAGCCAATGGCCATTGCATGTGCATTTGTCCCCACTAGGTAGAATGGATGGTCCAGGGTCCAAGCGGTAGAAGTAGGAGTGGCTCTGCTCATCACTATTCTAAGTGACCCACCTGGGGAATTTATGCTTCTCTTCACAGAAACTTTAGACTCTGTGGGTCTAGAGCTCCTGGTTCCTGGGGGCAGGAGCGGGAAATGCTTCTATTGGAGGACGCCATAGGAGTCCCAATAATCTTACAGCTATGGCTGCAGCCTGGCCACTTTGGCCTCCTCATGCTGGTAGATCAGCAGGCAAAGGAAGGGGTTACAGCTCCAGCAGGGGTAATTGATCTGATCATCAGGAAGACACAGAGCTGCTGCTATACAGTGGGATGATGGGGGCAGGGAGGAATATGTTTGGCACTCAGGTGATCCTGGGTTTGCTTTTTTCTATGTGAAATTTTGCATGTAAAAATGGGTAAATATAGCAACCATGGTCTGAGTAAAGCATAACTTGAGCTTCAGACTCCTCTGAGATAAAGGTCTGGAACACCCCTCCTGAGAGCCACAGAGAGCAGCAGGAGTGCTCGCTGAGAGGCAAGAGAACCTAGAGTGGGTGGTGGAGGAGGAAGATGATGAGTATCAGTGACAGATTGAGACAAACTGTGGTGGTGTGGGCTGTAGTTCATTCCACTAACTCTTCTCCTGTAAATGTTCCCACAAATTGTGACCAGCCAGAATCCTGGAAAAGCTGTGCCTAGATTGAATGAAGTTAATATGGGAAGCAATTGGATCTCAGTGGTTTGGGAGGTGGACTGTAGTATATGCTGTTGGTGGCCTGCACAGCTTCCTTTGACCAGCCTGGCTGCTGAGAGGGTTGGTTGCTAATGGCCCTCAGCTAACCCCTTCTCCAAAGATCTGTGCTTGGCTGAATGAGAGTCCCACACCTGCTTTATCACTCAGGGTTCTTCAGAGAGACAATATCAATGAGAGAGGGAGAGAATTGGCTCATGCAACTGTGGGCTCTGACAAGTCTGCAATTTGTAGGGCAGGCTGGCAGGCTGGAAACCCAGGCAAGAGTTGCAGTCTTTAAGGCAGAATTCCTCCTTTTCTGAGAAACCTCAGTTTTTGCTCCTAATGCTTTTCAACTGATTAAACGAGGCCGACCCACATTACTGAGGGTAATGCCCTTTACTTAAAGTCAACTTATTGTAAATTAGTCACATCTACAAAATACCTTCATAGCAATATCTATGCTAGTGTTTGACTGAACTGCTGGGCATCATAGCCTAGCCAAGGAAGCACATGCAATGAACCATCGCACCTGAGAGGTTAAGTTCTCACTCATACCCGTAACCCTGAGGCCGTCAGCAGTCAATCCCCGACAGACAGAGGGGCTCAGAAGGCCAGGCCCCTTGCTCCAAAGTGGGACCACCTCTTGCAATTTGTGCTGCAGAGGTCCCCGTGGGACCAGACTGAAGCGAGGCTGCAGCTGAGACCACGTGTTTGTTTAGCTATTTTTCCTCCCTGCTTCCCTCTCTCCCTGTCTCCTGGGAGTATTCTCCCTGTACAACAAGTGTCCCCAGTCCCTGCCTCAGGCTCTGCTTCTAAGGAACCAGACCTAAGACACTGTAATGGGTAATGTTATGTGTCAATTTGGAGGGTGTTTTGGGATGAGATTAACATTTAAATTGGTGAACTCTGAGTAAAGCAGACTGCTCTGCCTAATGTAGGTGCGCCTCATCCAATCAGTTAAAGGCCTGAACTGAGCAAAAAGACTGACCTCCCCGAGCAAGAGCCCGTTCTGCAGCAGACTCTGCCTTTAGACCTCACCTGCACCATTAGCTCTCCTGCGTCTTCAGCCTGCTGGCCCACGCTGCAGATTCTGGATTTGCCAGCCTCCATAATTGTGAGCTGCTTCCTTATGATAAATCTCTTTCTCTCTATGTACACATCCTATTTGTTTCTGTGAAGAACCCTGCTACAGACACCAGCTATTTCAGAATAAGAGTCTCAGGGAGGGGCATAGGCTGCTTGTGCTGCGGCAGGAACTGTCCTTTCAGGGTGCATGAGTTCCTTTAGCTTTATCGTTGCTCAGCCGAATGAGATAGGCAGCTGTTGGAATACACAGCTTCTCCTTAAAGAGTCTTGCTTCTGGGATTTGTCAGTCAGCCCCGCCCCCAATATTTTCCATAACTAAATCCATTCCAGAGAAGTTCCTGCCACAAGTCCATGCACCCCATCCATTATTTTGGCTTTGCAGTTTAAGGTGTGTTCCTCCCCTTGGCATGGGCACCCTGTAGGTGTCTGTGAGCTCAGAAGTTGTAGGCATTCTTGATCCCTTTCCCTCCACACCCCTGTTTGATCTTCATTGCTTTTAGTAGTCCACATATATTTGTGGATTGGGATTCAAATGTTTTTTTAAATTTCATCAAACGTAGAGTTTGTGTTTCTGTTGTTATTTTCTCCTGTTGCCTTTGAATGACTTAAGAGAAGGGAAAATGCTGAGTTCAGGGAGCTTGTAAGGCTTTTGAGTTTTTGCAAATCTGATGTGTTCGAGATAGTATCCCACTGTGGATTTAATTTGCATTTCCTCATATATTAGTGAGGTGCAGCATATTTTTGGTGTGTTTTTGTCTGTGCTGGTTTGCTCATC
This sequence comes from Homo sapiens, assembly GCF_000001405.40. NCBI lineage: Eukaryota > Metazoa > Chordata > Mammalia > Primates > Hominidae > Homo > Homo sapiens. Next base: position 42,118,457 of record NC_000015.10, on the reverse strand, counting down.
TGTGATATGCTGGTTTGTATATTCTGCCCATTTTTCTATTCAGTTCTTTGTCTTTTTCTGATTTGTAAACATATAAATATGTTTTTTTATTCTAATACATTTTTGGTTAAATATATTGCAAATATCTTCCCTCAGTCTGTGAATTATTTTTTCCACACTGGAAGGTGTCTTTTATTTTAAAGTTTTATATTTTAATATAATTGAATAAACAATAGTTATCCTTTGTGATTTATGGGTTTTGTTTCTTTTTTAAAAAATCCTTCCTTATCTTGATGTTCTAAATATCATATATTTTATTCTAAGAGTTTTAATCTTTACTTTTTAAATATAGGGCCTGGCCGGGCACGGTGGCTCACGCCTGCAATCCCAGCACTTTGGGAGACTGAGGCGGGAGGATTGCTTGAGCTCAGGAGTTCAAGCCTAGCCTGGGAAATGTGGCAAAACTTCGTATCTACAAAACATATAAAAATTAGCCAGGTGTGGTGGCTTGCACCTGTAGTCCCAGCTACTCAGGAGGCTGAAGTGGAAGGATCACTTGAGCCTGGGAGGTGGAGGTTGCAGTGAGCTAAGATTGCACCACTGTACTCCAGCCTTATGACAGAGCCAGACCCAGTCTCAAAAAATAAAATATAGGGCCTGAATTGATTTTATGTTTTCCCTAGCACCATTCAATAGCTAGTATGTTTTCTGCCCTGATCGACACTGCCACTTTTATCATATAACAAGTTTCCAGCTGTGTGTAGGTATTGTTTCTGGGCTCTATATTCTGTTATATTTGTGTGTCTGTTCTTGCTCCAAGACTCAGCTGCTGTAATTAATTTACAGTAAGGCAAGCCTCCTTCCTGTTCTTTTAGTATTGTCTTGGCTATTACTATTTTTTTGATCTTCCATATAAATTTTTGATTCAGCTCATCAAGTTTCATGAAAAACCCTTTTGGGATTCTATTTAAAGTTGCATTAAATATAGAGATTGTTTTTGGAGAGAATTGATATCTTTAGATAAAGATTCTATCTAAGGAACATGGCATATTTTTTCCATTTGTTGAGGTCTTGATGTTTTTCAAATGCACATTTAAAATGGTGTCTAGTCTTTACCTGGTAACACTTGCCTATAAAGTAATCTGGGTCTTGAGTTTATTTTTTATTGTTGTTAGATTTTGAATTACTAATTCAGTTTTTCTTTTTTTCTTTTTCTTTTTTTTTTTTTTTGAGATGGAGTCTTGCTCTATCACCCAGGCTGGAGTGCAGTGGCACAATCTCAGCTCACTGCAACCTCCACCTCCTGGGTTCAAGCAATTCTCCTGTCTCAGCCTCCTATGTAGATGGGACTACAAGCGTGTGCCACCATGCGTGGCTGTTTTTTTTGTGTGTGTATTTTTAGTAGATACAGGGTTTCACGATGTTAGTCAGGCTGGTCTCGAACTCCTGACCTCAGGCAATCCACCCACCTCGGCCTCCCAAAGTGCTGGGATTACAGGCATGAGCCATCACACCCAGCCAGTAATTCAGTTTTTCAAAAGGCTTTTGGATTACTAGAATGAACAATGTGGTGCTAGATTAGAGTCAGAGATACCATGTTTAGTTTAGATATTGATGGATAGATATAAAAATAATTATATATATGTGTGTATACACAGATCAGTATATGTCATATACATACATATATATAAACATATATAATATATTAAATATGTGTTACACACACACACACACAATAGCCTAGCTCTGTTTGCTGAGAGAACCTAGAAGTAATGACACCCCAGTAGCAATGAGCACACACAGTGCCCAGATCTTGGCTTCTAATAGCATTCTTCAACAAGAAAGAACCAGGGTTTCTTGGAGAAATGGTTCATTCTAGAGTGGAAACAGTCAGTATACAAGATGATCCTAAAGCATCTTGTAGTGCCAGAAAGTAAGGAAGTGATCAAAAAGCAAGGAGGTGCTCAAAAAGCAAAACAATACATACGTGTCAAAAGAGACACAGGAGGCAACAACAAATTCTCCCCAATGGCCAATGGTGGAACAATTTGAGCAACAAAAGAAAACAAAGTTGACTGGGCACTATGGCTCATGCCTGTAATCCCAGCACTTTGGGAGGTCGAGGCGGGTGGATCACTTGAGGTCAGGAGTTCAAGACCAGCCTGGCCAACATGGTAAAACCCCATCTCTACTAAAAATACAAAAAAAAAATTAGCTGGGTGTGGTGGCACCCACCTGTAATCCCAGCTATTTGGGAGGCTGAGGCGGGAGAATCACTTGAACCTGGGAGGCGGAGGTTGCAGTGAGCCGAGATCATGCCACTGCACTCCAGCCTGGGTGACAGAGCAAGACCCCTGTCTCAAAAAAAAAATTAATAATAGTTTAAAATTTTTTTTAATTAAATAATTAAATAAAATAAAAAATTTTTAAAAATTAAAAGAAATAAAGTAGCATTGGATTACAACCTAAAGCATAAAATATCCATGAGTCCATACTAATATAAATAAACTAATATAAATAAATACTAATAAAATAAATCAATGGGAAAGAAGAGACAAATCTTTCATGCAGAATAATTCCAAATAATTTATGTAGATACTCCTCAATAAAGGAGGTAGAATATGACTCCCCACCCCTTAAGTATGAGCTCCACTTAGTGACTTGCTTCCAAAGAGTACAGAATGGAAAGGAGGAAGTAACTTTACAGTAGAGAAAATTGGCAAATATTACCTCATCCAGATGATCAGGTCAACAGCAACATTGATAAGGCACATTGATAGCATGTACCCTTGATGTGATGTGAGGAAAATGGCCCTTTACCTCTGTGGTCTTCCTCCCTCAAAACCATGATTCTAGTCTAATAATGAGGAAAACATCAGACACATCTCAATCAAAGGACATTTTACAAAATACCTGACCAGTACTTCTCAAGACTGTCAAAGTCATCAAAAACAAGGGAAGTCTGAGAAACCATCACAGCCAAGAGGAGCCTAAGACGTGACTACTAAATGTCATATCCTAGATGGAATCTTGGAAAAGAAAAGGACATTAGGTAAAAACTAAGGAAATCTGAATAAGGGATGGATTTAGTTAATAATAACATATCAATATTGGTTAATTGTAGCAAATATACTCATGTTTGATGTTAATAATAGGAAAACTGGCCACAGGGTCTGTGGGAACACTGTACTATCTTCACAGTTTTTCTGTTCTGAAAAAAAAGGCTAATTTTTTTAAAAAAGTAAGTTTATTCTGTTTCCATTTGGTAATGTGTATCATAATTCTCAAATCATGGATTTTGTAAGGCATATTTTTGTGATTGATTTCTACCTTATTTGCACCTTGGTAAAAGAAATGTTATCTGTATGGTACCTTTTTCAGATTTTTGAGACTTATCATAAAACCCTGTTCATGACCAATGTTTGTAAAAAATGTTCCATTGTGTTTGAGAAGAAGGTGTATTCCCTAAATGTTGTGGCTGTATATGTCCTGTATATGTATTTGTAGGGGTCTGTATATGTCCTGTAGATTAAGCTTGTTCGCTGTGTTGTTCAAATCTTCTATATTCTCAATAATATTTTATATGTTTTATTTATCCATTGATGAGAGAGGTAGAATTGTAGATTTGTCAAGTTTTGCTTAGGACATTTTAATTTTGTCAAGTTTTAATTAGAGCATAGCATTTTAAGGCTATGTTATTTAGATACATGCAAGTAGATAACTGTTATATCTTCCTGGCGAATTATTCCATTGATCTTTACACAGCAATCCTCCTTATTCCTAATGATGTTTACATTAGAGTCTCTTTTATCTATATGTACACCAATTTTCTCATGATCAGTGTTTCCCTGGTGTATCTTTATCAGGCTCTTATTTTCAACTTTTTTGTGTGTTCTTATGTTTTCAGTGTGCTCTTACAAACAGCCACAGGTGGAGTTTAAAAAAAACACTAGATTGACAATCTCTCTTTAAAATTTTTTTTATTAGGAGAAATTCAAGCATACAGAAAATTAAATTTATAGTTTTTAATGGATTAGTTTAGTCCATTAGCATTTATTACGATTATTGATATATTTGGATTTATTACTGTTATCTTTTTTTTTTTTTTTGGAGATGGAGTCTCACTCTGTCACCCAGGCTGGAGTGCAGTGGTGCGATCTCAGCTCACAGCAGCCTCTGCCTCCTGAGTTCAAGCAATTTGCCTGCCTCAGCCTCCTGAATAGCTGGGATTACAGGTGCCTGCCACGATGGCTGGCTAATTTTTGTAGTTTCAGTATAGATGGGGTTTTACCACGTTGGCCAGGCTGGTCTTGAACTACCGACCTCAGGTGATCCGCCTGCCTTGGGCTCCCAAAGTGCTGGGATTACAGGTGTGAGCCACTGCGCCTGGCCTGCTATCTTATTTTGTGCTTTCTATTCACTCTTTTTTTCTGAGGTTTTCTTTTTTTTCCCCCTGAAAACTTTTGGATTCCTTTTCTTTTCCCTCCTTCTTTATTACCTTGGAATTTACATACTCTAATTTTATTCTTTTTGTAAGTACCTCTACATTTTAACCTGTTTATTATCTTGGAATTTACATGTTCTAATTTTATTCTTTTTGTAAGTATCTCTAAATTTTAACCTGTTTACTTGAATTAGCAAAGTTTAAAGTTAACCCACTTCTTTACCCTATTCCAGAACAAGGCCAGGTGCTTTAAAATCTTCGCTCTATCATATCTTCCCATTTCATTTGTCACTGTTTGGTGTTCTACTTCCCTCCTTCATTTTTTATTCCCCATATTAGTCATCATTATGATTATTATCTGTATAGTCAATATTTTGGTTTACCATATGTTTAATAACCTATTCTATTTCCTTCTTCCTGGAGTAAATCTATAGAAGAGCTTGGTGAGGTTTCTTAGTGGTAAACCTTCCATTTTTGTTGATCCAATAAATTATTCATGTAATGCTCATTCTTAAATAATAGCTTGGCTGAGTATAAAATTCTCAGTTGGCAGGTTCTTTTCTCCCAGCATTTTGAAGATATTTTACTTTCTTCTGGCTTTAGTTACTGCTGTTGAGAAGCCTGCTCCAGCCTGTCTATCCTTCATAGGGCAACTTATGTCTTTTTTTCTGAGGACTTTTAGTATTTTTTCTTTATCTTTGGTATTCTGCAGTTACATTACAATGTGTCCAGGATGAACTTTTTAATTTATTCTCCAGATTTGCTGTGATTCCTGAATAGTAGCTTATAATAATAATGTTCTTTTTTTGTTTTGTTTTTTTTGAGATGGAGTCTCGCTCTGACGCCCAGGCTGGAGTGCAGTGACATGATCTCTGCTCACTGCAAGCTCTGCTTCCCGGGTTCATGTCATTCTCCTGCCTCAGCCTCCCAAGTAGCTGGGACCACAGGCGCCTGCCACCACGCCCAGCTGATTTTTTTTGTATTTTTAGTAGAGATGGGGTTTCACCGCGTTAGCCAGGATGGTCTTGATCTCCTGACCTCATGATCCGCCCGCTTCGGCCTCCCAAAGTGCTGGGACTACAGGCATGAGCCACCGCGCCCGGCAATAATAATGTTATAATATGTGTTAAGTGTTAGCTCTGTGATATGGTCTAGATTTGTGTCCTCACTCAAACCTCATGTCCAGTTATAATCCCAGTGTTGGAAGAGGGGCCTTGTGAAAGTTGATTGGATCATGGGGGCAGATTTCCTCCTTGTTGTTCTCATGATAATAAGTGAGTTCTCAGGAGATCTGGCTATTTAAAAATGTGTAGCACGTCTCCCTTCTCTCTCTTCCTCCTGGTCTGGCCATGTGAAGGTGTGCCTGTTTCCTCTTTGCCTTCTGCCATTATTGTAAGTTTCCTGATGCCTTCCCAGCCATGCTTCTTGTACAGTCTGTGGAATCTTGAGCCAATTAAATTTCTTTTCTTTATAAATTACCCAGGCTCGGGTATTTCCTTATAGCAGTGGGAGAACTAATACACTATGCACCAGGCACTAAGTAAATGTTAACTCATTTCATATCCACAATGATACTATTATCGTATTCATTTTATAGGCAATTAAGTCACACAGTGGTAAATACTGAAGGTAGGATTTGAAGGTAGGATTTGAACCTAGGTTTTTCCCAGGGCTTCCCATGGGCTTTATGGGACTCTATGAATTGCTTTTCTGCTTAAGCCATTTCGAATTTGGTTTCTGGTACTTGCAACTGAAAAAATCCTGACTAGTCCATTGGCTAACTGGGTGGATATAGCTGGGAGGGAAAAGTTCTTCTTTTGAAAAAAGTAGATACAGCATGATCTTGTCTCATCTAGAAACCTGATGAATGTCAGGAAGTTTCACAAGCATCTCTTGAACTTGCCGTTGCTGTACTCCACGTGTTTCCTGCCCATATGGCTTCTCCTAGAATTGAGCATCTAAAGGGAATGAACTGCCTCTGAGCTGTGGTTTGCAGGCCCCAAACACTGGGGAGTGGCAACTAGTTGTGATACGTGTTGTAAGTCAGTTTATTATTAATGACAAAACATCCACATTTTCAAATAATTTTCATTTAATTTGAAATGTATATTTTGATCAAGTAATTTTTTTTTTTTAGGCGAAGTTTCATTCTTGTTGCCCAGGCTGGAGTGCAATGGCATGATCTCAGCTCACTGCAACCTCCGCCTCCTGGGTTCAAGTGATTCTCCTGCCTCAACCTCCCAAGTAGCTGGGGTTACAGGCATGTGCCACCACACCTGGCTAATTTTTGTGTTTTTAGTAGAGACGAGGTTTCTCCATGTTGATCAGGCTGGTCTCGAATTCCTGACCTCAGGTGATCCACTCACCTTGGCCTCCCAAAGTGCTGGGATTACAGGCATGAGCCACCATGCCCGGCCCAAGTAATTATTTTTTAGAAAGTCAAACAGCTTTGCAAATCTTATAATGAAGAAACATTAGCTTCCTCCCCCGCTCCTATTCACCCAGCAGCAACTGCTAAGGACTCTTTTAGTTGTGTCTTTCGGTATTTATCTCCAGATTTCTTTTTTTTTTTTTTCTCGCTCTGTCTCCCAGGCTGGAGTGCAGTGACGCAATCTTGGCTCACTGCAAGCTCCGCTTCCTGGGTTCAAGTGATTCTCCTGTCTCAGCCTCCCAAGTAGCTGGAATTACAGGCGTGCACCTCCACGCCCAGCTAATTTTTGTATTTTTAGTAGAGATGGGGTTTTACCTTGTTGGCTAGGCTGGTCTTGAGCTCCTGATCTCAAGATCCACACACCTTAGCCTCCCAAAGTGCTGGGATTACAGTTGTGAGCCACGGTGCCCAGCCCTATCTCCAGATTTCTAAATAACATGCTTATACTATTATTTCTTGATTTTTATTGACTTCCTATTATGGAGGATGAGGGCTCAATTTTTGTTTTTTTTTTTTTTTTTTTTTTTGCTCTATCCTCTCTCAGTGCCTCAATATTGTTATGTTATAATTTTTTGGTCAATATTCATTTTTTACATTGTGATTATGTAGTATGATATGGTTACTGTCATTCTAGTTTTCCTTGGAGTTAATAATTGCCTTACTTCCTGATTAGCTTAGTTTTCTATGTTACTATCAGTAATTTGTCTTTAAACTCTCCACCAGAAGTATAAATCTCCTCTTGATATATCAGGTAATCATCAGTTTCATTATTTTCTCCTCTTCAACTTCCTCCTCCTTTTAATATCTCCTTATATGTCCCAATTTGGACTGCTTTCCCTTTAGGTAATGCCCTGGGAGCTCCCTTCAGCATCATTTTGGATATTAACTTGCTTTTATGTTGGATCCTCAATTTCCTGGTTCCAACTTCTTCCTTTTTGTTGGTTTATTCTTTCATTCTGGTGAGACGTATCCTCTAGTACCTCACTCTCACCGTGTGGTCTACAGATCAGCAGCACTGATGTCACTTGAGAGCTTGTCAGAGTGCTCAGGCCTCACTCTAGACCTGCTGAACCAGAATTTGCATTGTAACAGGTTCCCAGGTGATCCATGGCACTTTAATATCTAGAAAGCACTGTTCTGGTAGCTCATGAGAAAGGCTAAAAAAAATTTGAGTCCTTGCATTTCTGTATATGCCTATACACTACTCTCACTTTTGACTAGCGGATTGATTGGGAAAAAAACTTCTAAGTTGTAAATAATTTTCTGTAAGAAATTTCAAGACATTTTTCCATTGTCTCCTAACTTCCAATGTTGCTGTTAATAAGTTCAATCCCATTATGATTTTTAGTCCTTGGTGTGTGACCTTTTTATTTCCAGATTTCTAAAATTTAATGATAAATATCCTTTGATGAGGGTTTTTTGTTTGTTTGTTTGTTTTACTTGTTTGCTGGGTGTTCTGTGTACTCAGCAACCCCTTTTATCTAGAGAGTCTTCTGGTTCTGCAATCTTTTCTTGCATTATTTCTTTGATAATTTTAATGATTTCTTTGATCCATTCCTGGAACTCCCAAGAAGAAGATATTACTGCACTCCAGCTGAGCAACAAAGTGATACCACATCGCTAAAGAGAAGAAGAAGAAAAAAGGAGGAGGAGGAGGGGGAGGAAGAGAAGAAGGGGGAGGACGAGGAGAAGAGTGGGGAAGAAAGGGGGAGAAGGGAGAGGAGCAGGGAAGAAAGAATAATTTAGGCTTCCTGGCATGCTCTTTTAAATACATAGTCTTATCTCCTATTTTCATTTCTTTTTTTCTTTTTTTTCTTTTTCTTTTTTTTTTTTCTGAGGCAAGGTCTCACTCTGTCACCCAGGCTGAAGTGCAGTGGCACCATCATGGCTCACAGCAACCTCTGCTTCCAGGGCTCAAGCAGTCCACCCACCTCAGCCTTCCAAGTACCTGGGACTACAGGCACATGCCTCCGTGCCCAGCCAATTTTTGTATTTTTTTTGTAGAGATGGGGTTTCACCATGTTGTTCGGGCTGGTCTAGAACTCCTGGGCTCAAGCAATCTGCCTGCCTCAGCCTCCCAAAGAGCTGGGATTATGGATATGAGCCACTGCGCCTGACCCATTTCTTTGAATTTTTGATTTGCTTTTCTAGGGAGATTTTCTCAACTCTATTATCTAATTTTTCCATTAATTTTACTTATTTCTGCCATCATATTTTTAGTGTACGAGGGTTCTTTATACTCTGAACATTCCATTTCATGGCATCCCCACCCTTTTTGTTGCAAAGATCCATCATCTTTTATCTTCATTGTCTTTTTTATGTCTTTTCATGTAAAGACATTGTTGAAGCGAACTAAATATGGCTTGAGAAGGATTCTGTACTTCTATATTTGAGTCCTTGTGGGAGAACTGCAACCTAACTAATAGGTAGACAAGACTGAGAACCTACCTTGGGAGTGTGTGCCTTAACAGTGGCTGGGTCTTGGCCAATCCCAGCAGCCATACCTCAACCACTCACATACTGTCAGGCGTTTAAACTGTGTTCAAATATGGCAAATGCTGAGCTGTAACCAATTCAGCTATTTCTGTACCTCACTTCTGATTTCTGCACATCACTTCCCATTTTTGTCTATAAATCTTCTTCTACCACGTGGTTGCGTTGGACTCTCTCTGAATCTGCTGTGATTCTGAGGGCTGCCCAATTTGCAAATTGTTCATTGCTCAATTAAACTCCTTTACATTTAATTTGGCTGAAGTTTTTATTTTAACAACATTAATTACAGCTTTGTAAAAAGTTTTCTCATACTTCCAGCACTGTCTCTGTTTCTGTGTCTCTTTATTTGGTTTGTAGTTTTAATCATTAATCATGTTAGAGGATTTCTTCAAATGTTTGGTGATCCCAGGTTGTCTGGTCACATTTAAGAGTGAGGCACTAAAGTGATCACTGGAAGCTCTGTGCACATGGTCTGACCTGGCTGAATAGAAACTTCATTGTAGGTTGATTAGGCAGGGATCTGGAACTCTGGAATACAGCAATCACCTATTAGTATTGGTAGTTTTTTGTTTGTTTTTGTTTTTCCTTTTATGTTGGTGTGTTTCCCTGGAAGGGAATCCTCTGTTCTCTTGCCTGATGATACTGGTGGTGGTGGCAGCAGGGGAGGTGTAAGACTGGCTGCCAGCATTCTCAGGGCTGAGTGGGGAAAGAGGTCTGAAGGTGATGACTCCCATTTCAGTATGTGGACTCCCATGTCTTCTGCTTGCTCCTCCCCAGAGAGTAAACCTTTAACCTTCTGCTGAGACTGGACAGGTGATTTGTGGGACTATTACACTTCTGCCAACTTCCAACTAATCCTATTTTCAGGTTAATCTGCACCTTTACCTTTCATGGTAACTGAGCTCTCCTAGAAGTTGAACCATCAATCAGTTTGCTTATAGCTCTTTGCTCCCACCCCCAACAGCAGACTCTTAATGGTTGTTTTTTTTTTTTAAATGTTATTGAGTATAACATAGACAGAAAAGCACAAGACCGTAGGTGTGCAGCTGGATGGATGCTTGCATGTCTCTACCCCTGTAACCACCACCTTGATCAAGATACAGAACATTTTCATCATGTATGAAGATTCCCTTGTGATTCTTACCAGAAAATACCCCTCAACCAAAGGTAACCACAATTTTAAGTTCTGTCACCACTGATTAACTGTGTTCGTTCTAGAGCTTGGCATCCACGGAATCACACAATCACACTCCTCTATGCCTGGCTTCTTTCAGGGTACATTATGTCTGTACAGGCATTTTGTTTTGAGTTGCTAGTCTTGCTTTCTGATTCACCATCCTTTCTTCTCCACCCCTTGACTCTGTGGCCTCCCCTGTCCCTCTTCACAACTCAGCGTCTCCTCTGATCAGCTTCCTGATGGCTGTGAAGGGACGGACCCATCCCGGCATGGCGCCAGCTGGTGGGTGTGCACAGTTTCCGTGATAATTATCCACAGTCAGCTCTTTGAACTTGGGCCAGGTACACAGCTGCCACCCCATGCAAATACATTAAATACGTTCATTGTTCCTGGTAGCTAAACAGTGTCTGTGAGAAAGTGTGTGTGGCGGGGTATGTAAATCTGATCTGAATTCTTGGCTCTTTCACGATGCATCTTTTGATCTGAGCAGGTCTGTTTCTCTGTCCCTCTGATTCTCATTCCTTCAAGCCCCTTGGATCCACCAAATATTGTGAGTTTCTTTAGGGTCAGTAGATTTTAGGCTGTGAAGAGGAGACTCATTCTGACCCAGTGGTCTCCTCCCGACACCCCCCCCCCGCCCACCCGTCGCCTTTAAAAATTTTATTTATTTATTTATTTTTGAGACAGAGTTTCACTCTTATTGCGCAGACTGGAGTGCAATGGCACAATCCTGGCTCACTGCAACCTCCGCCTCCCAGGTTCAAGCAATTCTCGTGCCTCAGTCTCCCAAGTAACTGGATTATAGGTGCCCACCACCACATCCGGTTAATTTTTTGTATTTTTAGTAGAGACAGGGTTTCACCATATTGGCCAGGCTGGTCTCAAACTCCTGACCTCACGTGATCTGCCTGCCTCAGCCTCCCAAAGTGCTGGGATTACAGGCGTGAGCCACCGTGCCCGGACCCAACATCCCTTTTTAAAGACCAGTGGGAACAGCAGCACAAGCCACACAGCAGCCTTACTGCGGGCAGCTCAGCGTGGTCAGGGTGGCAGGCATGACACCGCTGGGTCAGAATGACAGTAATATGTGATATTTTTGAAAAGTATGCTGTTGAAGAAACTGAGTGTGTCAAAGCTGTTATCTTGGAGTTGAGAGCCAATAATTCTACCTGCTAGAAAAGCTCTTCTGAATCCATATGAGCTGTGGGAATGGTAAAGAGCTAACTTGAAACTAACTTCAAACTTTCAAACTTCTAACTTTTCTCTCAGTTCTTCATTTTCAAATAAGGCCACCCCTTATTTGAAAACTGATGGCATCTTCTTAATAAAATTTACTTAATATCTTTTTGTAGAAGTTGTGATTTTTTTTTTTTTCTCACTCTGTCACTCAGGCTAGAGTGCAGTGGTGCAATCACGGCTCACTGTAGACTTGACCTTCTGGGCTCGAGTGATCCTGCCACTTCAGCTTCCTGAGTAGCTGTGACCACAGGCGAGCACTCCCATGCCTGGCTAATTTTTAAAAAATTTTTTGTGGAGACTAGGTCTCCTATGTTGCTCAGGCTGGTCTCAAACTCCTGGGCTCAAGCAATCCTCCCGCCTCAGCCCCCCAAAGTGCTGGGATTACAGTCATGAGCCACCGCATCCAGCCTGCAATCTTTTAAGATCAAAGAAAGCATTGTCTTGGTCTTTGATTTCATTGTATACAGATGGCATGTTCTGTTCAGAATGATCTTTGCTAATTTCAATACTGCCACATTTATGGTCCAGATACTCGCTTTTTTGAGACGGAGTTTCACTCTTGTTGCCCAGGCTGGAGTGCAGTGGGGTGATCTCGGCTCTCTGCAATCTCCGCCTCTTGGGCTCAAGCAATTCTCCTGCCTCAGCCTCCCAAGTATCTGGGATTATAGGCACACACCACCAGGCCAAGGTAATTTTTGTATTTTTAGTAGAGATGGGGTTTAACCATGTTGGCCAGGCTTGTCACCAACTCCTGACCTCAGGTGATCCACCTGCCTTGGCCTCCCAAAGTGCTGGGATTACAGGCGTGAGCCTCTGCGCCCCGCCCAGAAATTCTTTAAAGTATGCATTATTTTTGCAGTAGGAGCTTTGCCTTGTTGATTATAATTTTCTTTCTTTTCTTAAAGCTTAAAGAAGTATAAAGATGAAGGAAAACTTTGAGAGGTTTTAAAAACAAAATGTGCCTTAGTTTGGTTTAACATTTTATTGCAGGCCCTGCTTGCCTGTCTACACAGGGGAGAGTTGTATTCAGTAAGAATTTTCAGCTTACATAGAATTATAGAGTCACTGATACTGGCTTCAAGATGATTCTGATTCCATATTTTAAATGCCAAAAGAAAGGATTCTAGGGCCTTGTCCCTCTGTCCTCCTGGCTCTGACACCTCTGATCTTGGTGCCATCCTCCCTGGGTGTCCTCAGAGGGGCAGCCCTTGATGAAAGGGGCTGATTTCCTTCCTGCTCTTTGAGGCTTCTAGGAATGGAACTCCCAGGACTTCTGCCTCTGGGCTGCTGCTCTGCCCTGGTGAAGGGGCTGTGGTTGGTGCCTAATCCCTCCCATGCCTGGTGGAACATCTGCTTTGGAGACCTCCTCTACTCAGGCTTTTGATTTTGTTTTCGTTTTTGAGACAGAGTCTTGCTCTGTCACCCAGGCTGGAGTGCAGTGGCATGATCTCGGCTCACTGCAAACTCCACCTCCCGGGTTCAAGTGATTCTCCTGCCTCAGCCTCCCAAGCAGCTGGGATTACAGGTGTGCACTACCACGCCCGGCTAATTTTTGTATTTTTAGTAGAGACAGGGTTTCACCATGTTGGCCAAGCTGATCTCGAACTCCTGACCTCAGGTGATCTGCCTGCCTCAGTCTCCCAAAATGCTGGGATTACAGGCGTGAGCCACCGCACCTGACCCAACTCAGGCTTTTTTGAGAAGGGCTGGCAATATGATATGGAGGAGATGGGGGTTTGCAGTAGCTGAGTGAGGAAGAGGGCTTAGGATGGAGTGTGGTGAGAGGCTCTGAGAAGAGGGTAGGCGGGAATATGGGGGGAGGGGGTTTACAGATAGCCAAAAAGGTTGAATGCCGCTGCTGTATGACCTCTGAAGTAACAGCTTATACCTAATAGTGGTACTCCACTTTTAAATAGCACAGAATACTGTAAATTGGTGTTGCAATAATCTGTAAGCACCAACCCATTTTCTAAAGGCTCATCTTAAGAAATGCCTCCTCTGTGAATCTCTTTCCAGATATCCCATTTAGATTCCTTTTCTGCTTCATAACTTGCGACATCTTATTTCCTAGTCCCCAGACCTCTGGACAGTTGTGTAAGGAGGAGGTTACAAATAGGCTGGGAGGAATTACAATTTCCCACTTAACATAAAAAAATTCAGGTTCACTTTTGGATTAAACTCAGCTTCTCTTAGGAAATGCTCATTTTGGAGCTCTCTCTACCCCACCCTTGGAGCCGAGATGGCAGCTAAGCATGCGGGACCCTCAGTGGTCTTGGGAGGGTTGTAGTCCAGGATCTATGTGGGGTGTTCTGACCAGGCCTTTGGACTCCTGCTTGTATGCACAGCCAAAGCCACAGCTGACGGGACCGCTGTTGCGTTCCACGCTGGCCAGGTCGGGGCAGGCCCTGGCTCAAGCTGACCATCCCCAGCTTCTGCCTCACCTCACGCCACCCATGGCAGCTTCAGGCAGGCCTCTTGCTGTCAGCTGAGCTACCTCCACACCCCCAGTGGGAGCTTGGGAACACTTCTGGATCCTTCTGTCACACAAGGGGGCCTAGGAAGATGAGAGGGCACCACCACAGGCCCCCATCCTACCTAGGCCCTTCCCCAATCACTTCCCACACCCACGATGGGCAGGCATTACTATGCGGGACACAGTGCTCCTGTCCAGGGATGTGACTTTTCCCAGGATGTGCCTGTGGAGACAGGGCTAAGCCCACACCTAAGGGATTTCACCCACCTGATTTGTTCGTGCAGAATACCCCCAAGGGCTTGGGCTGGGCTGGGAAGACATGTGAGTCCTTCTCCCTGCTTCCCTCCTGGAAGTACAGGGGCTTTCTCCTTTCATCCTATGCTGGGTGGGCACTTTCTCTAAGACTCTCTCTTCACAGGACCCACATTTCAAAGCTCTGCTTATGGTCTGTGAAAGGAAACTCTGGGAATTTAGAAAAGTCTTCATTTTCCTCACAGTGGTCAGCCTTTAAGCCTTGTTTCTGGAACGTTGGCTCTGAGATTTGAGGCAGAAGGAGGCCCCCTGCTCCCCTTTTTTTTTTTTTTTTTTTTTTTTTGAGACAGAGTCTCACTCGGTTGCCCAGGTTGGAGTGCAATGGCACAATCTTGGCTCACGGCAACCTCCACCTCTATGGCTCAAGCGATTCTCCTGCCTCAGCCTCCCGAGTAGCTGGGATTACAGGTGTGCGCCACCACACCTGGCTAATTTTTTTTGTATTTTTAGTAGAGACGGGGTTTTGCCATGTTGGCCAGGTTGGTCTCAAACTCCTGACCTCAGTTGATCCGCCAGCCTCAGCCTCCCAAAGTGCTGGGATTACAGGTGAGAGCCACTGCACCCGGCCAGGAGGGCCCCTTTCTTTCTCTCATCTCCAGCTTTAACAGTTGGTGCCATTGGCTGAAGACGAGAGAAATGAATAGGAGGAAGGGGCAAAACATTAAAAGCACATTCACATATGCATTTCAAATCCTGTCATGTGAGGGAAGTCATCAACTATAGCTGGTGCTGAGGGAGTGTGATGGGGAGGGCTGGGCTTGGCCCTCAGCTCTGGACTTCACCTCAAATCCCTCTGGGCCACCCCGGGTGGCACACAGAAGGGAAGTCTCCTCCGCACTGGCGGGGCACTCAGGTGCTGCCTCCTCAGGGGCAGGAAGGAGCAGGCTGGCTGGGGCCCTGGGCCTTGCAGGTGGCATAGGTGTACCCCACACCCTCCTGAACCCAGGGCAGGCAGATCATTACCTCACAGTCGCCCCCCTTGGCAGCTGTTGGTGAGTTGGGTGTTTACAGGAAACCTATTGCCTTTCAGATGAGTCAGTGCCATGTGGGAAGAGGAGGGCAAAATTTCATAGAACTCCTGGCAATTGAGCATTAGGATGAAACTCTGAACATACGTCTGGACTGAGGATTCTCTTGCCAAATCTGTGGTCAGCAGGTCACTACTGGAGTTTAGAGAAAGATGTGTCTTCTATTCAGATCAACCAGCCTACAGAAATAATCTTTTAGAGGGCCCTATTCACGCTTAACCCAGTTTTGTTTTGGTTTATGTTTTGAAAATGTATGAAAGTCTCAATTTATTTTTTAAAAAATATTATGAACTAGAATATAAAAGTGACAAATACAGTACATTTAAAACGCACATACTCATTTCCATTGCTTGGAAGCTTTATGAAAACAGAAATCAGAGGATAAGGCCAACAGGGCGGAGTGGGGAGCGGGGAGATCCCCTCAAGACGGAGAAGGCCTGGTGAGGAGAGGCAGAGGGGTTCTGGGAGAGGTCGGAGCAGGTACCTCAGGGGGTCTTAAAACATGGTTCTCCGATAAAACGATAACCTCTTATAGTGTTTATAGAACTCAGAAATGATATTTATTTAACTTTATTATGAGGCAATACATATTTTCCTGTATTTCTAGATATAGTTTGGAAAACTCTCCTTAATAGTCTGTTTTGTATGCCTTGTATTTAAAAGTTTTAGTCATTTTTGAAAGACTATTGCTGCTGCAAATAGTTGTGTGCTTTACATTCTCAGCTTCAGTCAATTTTTTAATGTAAGAGCATCATAATCTAACCCGAGCATCCACTTGGAGAATGTTTTTTTGTGTGTGGTCTAGGGTGACAAAAGACCACAAAAATGTGTGGCCTAGATTTTTCCAACTATGTCATTAACTTCATGATCCAAGACCAGTTATAGGATGAGTCTATATGTGAAAATAAAGTCTGATTTATGGAAGGAATTATTCTAAGGGAAAAACCCAGGGTCAAGCTGTATCTTTTCTGTCCTCTATATTGCATGTCTATTTCTGTTACACAATTTGTAATTTCTTCAAATTTCCTATGGTAGCATGATAAATCATCAAAGAACCTGTTTGGGATATAAAACTTTCATAGAAAATATTTGATGAGTATCTTGATTATAACCTAGAATATGTATACATTAGTAAAATAACCAGATATACTACAGAACTCTCTGGTGGCTCAAACAGGGTGACCTCAATCCAAGTTTACTCTTGATATCACTTTATGGGCTGAAGGAGGAAACTCAAACCTCAGGGTTTGTTTTTCCCCGGACAGACAGTAGTGATAGTGCATTATATTTTAATAAGAAAAACAAACCAGTAAACCTCGAGAAATTTTAAAAAGCATAGTTGAGGCATATTTTTTCATAATATACTTTTCTACTTATTGCCCATGGAAAATATATGTGTGGAAGTAACTCTTCTGTTATTTGCTAATACCTTTTTAATTTGTTCCAAAGATAATACTGCCATACTGCATTCCCTCTGGAAGGAAAGCAAACCAAACCAAACCAAACTCACTCAAAACCACAGTGCTGTTATCGGATAAGTAGATGTCAATGTATACTTACAAGGAAAAACTAAAAAAGGTAATGTGTTAATTCAGCCTTTTTCTATGTAATATTTCCAAGTCAGATTTTCTTACATTCCTGGAATTTAGTTTGATATACCAAGAATAATATGACAAAAATAATGATAAAATGTTTGCTTTGATTACTGTTGGGGGGGAATGAGATGTTCAATTGTATTAAAACAAACAAAAATTTCAGAGAAAAAACAAAACAAAACATGTTTCTATTTCTTATCCCAAAGCTCATGGACCTGCAACGACTGCCTCCAAACTAAGTTAATTAGCTGACTAATATTTGTTTACAGCTCTTCCATGGCTCTTTACCTTGAAATTCCAGAGACTCTGTTCTGCATTGTATATCTGCCCCAGCACTCCAGGGCCTGAAGTGTCATGTCCCAGGTTCTGGAACACTGACTTACCCCGTTGGCTGAGAGACATGGAGTGGAAGGTGGGTTGTACACTGGAGGTGGGGACCAGGCCTGTTTTTACCCTCACAGCTCTCTGTCTGGGACACGGTAGACACTCAATAACAATTTGTGGGATGAATGAATGGCTTGGCTGGGTGGTGCCCTGTCCCTTGCTTACAGCAAGGCTTGTCCTTTCCAGTAGCCCTAGAATGAATGAGGGCAGGGGTGAGGTGTCCCTTTCCTGCTTGGTCCTGAGCACTCCTGGACAGGAAATGGTCCTTTCCCTCATGTCAACAGGGTAAATAACCACTTCCTCATGAGGCAAGAGTACAGGCCCGCTTGTGCCTTCCCATGGTACTCAGCGCGGAACACCGAAGCATGTGTCATGCCTGCCTCATGCTACATATCTTGCTATCTGACCCACAACCTGCTCCAGGGCTTTTGCCTGGAATGGAAACTCAGCAGGTCATCAGCCCTGATACTTCCTACACCCCTGTCAGTCAGCTGCCTCCTCTTCTCTGTGACATTGTCATCGATTGGTGTTCTAAGCAAGGATAAAGGGAAGGGAGTGACCAAACCCTTCTTTCCTGGGGTTAAAGTAGGTGGGGAGGGGCTGAGACCCAAGTGAAAAGCCCAGGACTGGATCTACTCCTTCAGGCAAAGCTCGATCCAAGGGCTCTCTCTGCTCCCTTTTGCCTGCACTTCCTCTGGAAGGAGACTGTACTGTGGCCTCTGGGCTCCACTCCCAGGGTGACCTGGGGGCAGTTCATCAACCAACTCCTGCCTCCGTGTTCTCATTTGTAGAATGAGGATAATAAAAGTTCCTCACCTGACAGGGCTTGGGGGATCTCCTTAGCCAGATCCTAAAAACAGCCATAGCCACACCAATGTCGGCAGACAGGCAGAAACAGGAAGACAGGCAGCTTTGCCAATTGTAGATAAAACAACGGTGTTCTCTATATAAAGTGCTTTGAATAGTGTGACACAAGGGCGTGTATTATGGAGCCTGAAGGTTATACAAGTTGACACAAAGTTAGGTACAAAAGTTAATATTCTTTGTAAATGATAAAAAGAAATCAGGCAAAAATTAAAATTTTAAAAGGTTGATAAATTCCAAAATATTACAAAATTTAAAAAAATACATTGATATGGGCTCAGCACAGTGGCTCACAAATGTAATCCCAACAATTTGGGAGGCTGAGGCGGGTGGATCACTTGAGACCAGGAGTTCTTGACCAGCCTTGCCAACATGGTGAAACACCATCTCTACTAAAAATACAAAAATTAGTCAGGCATGGTGGTGCGCACCTGTAATACTAGCTACTGGGGAGGCTGAGACATGAGAATTGCTCGAACCGAGGAGGTGGAAGTTGCAGTGAGCTGAGACCATGCCATTGCACTCCAGCCTGGACCACAGAGCAAGACTCCATATCAAAAACAAAAAACAAACAAAAAAAACACACCATGATATTTGTGTGAATCAACTGCCAGACACACCTCCATGCTTTTCCCTCCACTGCTTGCCTGAATACACCTTGATTGCCTTTTTGTTCAACACCCATTTTGTGAGTTGTTGTTTTTTTTCATTTCTTCTTTGCTGTATAACAATACCAGTTTTGTAATATCACTTTCTTTGGTGCAAATAGGTAGCAATCTTTCCTCCAGTCTGGTTGATTGGAATTTTTAGAAAATTATTGATAGTTAATAGTAGTTCATTATTGATTGTTTCTTTCAGCTTCATAATTCTTTACTGGTAATGTTACATAAAACTTCAGGATCATTACAAATTTAGGAAAACCTCTGCTTTACTTACTATGGCTATGTAACAAATCACCCAAAATGTAATGGCATAACACAGCAACCACTCTATTAGGCTCACAGATATTTTGTGTGTCAGAAATTCAGAAAGGGCCCTGGCTAGGGATGACCCAACCACTGGGGCTAAAATTATTGGAAGGCTCATTCGTCCGTGGGTCTGGAGCCTGGGCTGGGCCAGTTGGAGATTAGGACTGCTGACTCCAGCACCCACTGGTGGCCTGTCCTTATGGCTGGGCTTCCCCACAGTATGGCCGCCTCAGGGGAGTTGGGTGTTTCGCCTGGCGGCTCAGGGCTCTAAGGGGGAGTGTTCTAGCCATTAAAAAAGAGAGCTGCATCACCTTATGATCTAACCTTGGGAGTCAAGCAGTCATTTTTCTCACATCCTGTAAGTTACCAATCACAAGCCCATCAGATTTAAGAGAAGGGGAGTTGGCCTCTATTTTTTGATGGGGAGTGGCAAGGTGCTGGAAGAGCATGGACAGGAGATATCGGTGCAACCATTATTGGAAAACAGAATCTGCCGCAGCCTCCATCAAGCTTCTTTGGTGTATAAGCTGTTGTAGGTGTTGTGCTAGCTGCTGTAGCACAGGAATCACGATACATATTCTATTAATATTTCTTAAAATTACCCTCAAATAAAGGAAAACATGCAATCAAGACATGATGGGAAACACCCTTTTCAGGAGAGAACTTCTGTTTTGATCAGGTGTCAAGGAAAACCAAGTCTTCCACTTACAATGTTGTGTGTTGGATTAGAGGAATTTTTCAGATTGGTTTCTGGCTCTGGATATTTCAGATCTCATTTCTCTTCCTCTATCCAATTCTTCTGGCACCAAAGGACACACCCACATCACAGTGAACTTCACTATATGTGAAGCTGACTGTACATGAAGCTGACTTCACTATATGTGAAGCTGACTGCAAACCCCATAAATACATCTCACTAAACTGAAATAAAATATATCTCTAACTCAACCTCTCCTTAACCAGATCCTAAAAATATCTATAGCCACACCAATGCTAACAGAGGGGTAGGAATGGGAAGACAGCAGTCTTTACCAATTGTGGATAAAATCGTTTACTACTGTGAATTTTACTAAAATATATGATCACACGAACCTACTGCTAGGGCTCCCCTGGAGCCTTGGAAGGATGTGTGTGTGCAAGGAGAAGACTCAGCTTAAGTATCATTAGCTGCACAATAAACCCGCCTCTGCCTGGCACATAGGAAGTATTAGTTATATAGGTGTTTATTATTACTGGCTCCATTTTCCTGACAAATTTTCCTCTCATGGTGGCAAGATGGATACATTTAGCAGCCCCAGCTTCATATGCTCCCAAGTTCTGCCCAGCAGGAAAGACAAAGTGTCTTTCTTAGAACTTCATGCACCAGCATTTATTGTGATTGCACCAGCCAGAGTCCTGAGTCCAATGAACCAAATGCCTTGGTTAGAAAGCTTCCAGGAACTGACTGGCCAGCTTTGGACCACATGCTGTGTTCTTGCAGCTGGAGGTGGAGTCAACAGCACCCAAACCAAGGGGGAAGAGAGTCGGGGAGGGCTGGTTTCCAGAGAAAATCTGGGGAAATTAAAGGAGCCTTGAGTGCCAAATGAAAAAATAGATGTTCATTTTCTGTGAGTATAGAGTAAACGTTGAGAAGAGACAGTGGTGGCAAGGATGCCCAGCAAGGGAGAGGGATGAGAGAGTGGAAAACATGGCGCCCAAGACTTCCTCCAGCATGGCTGCTTAGGTCAGGTCTGCTCTGATGGGCTCTCTAGGCATGGCCCTCCTTTAAGGACCCTCCACCCGTGGCCTGGGTGAGCAGCATGTGGCCTCAGCCCAGCCCCGCTGTGCCTGCCAGCCCTGTTCCAGGCTGACTGCCTCCAGGTCACCTCTACCTGTCTTCTGTCTTCTTGTCCTGACCTTTGTCTTGGTCTGATCCCTATTCCCAGCTGCCTATTCATAGCCCTTGGAGGGTTGGAGTGGGGAGATCTTTAGGACCTCAGTCCGAGGCCAGCCACTGTGCTTCCCTGCTCCGTGTCCTTCCCCCTTCCCACCTTGGGTCTCCACCATGTGTCAAAACCCTAGGTCTTGGCACATAATTCATGGAAACTGTGATGGGAGCATCCTAAATATTTCCTCTCGTCCATGCAGAACCCTGCGGCTCTCTTCAAGTGGGGGGTATCCACGTGTGACCCATCGAGCAATGGTTTTCCATCTTTTTCAAACTCTTTTTGAGAATCTGATTAAAGCTATAGACCTGAGCTCTCTGGTAAGGTAGGCTCTAGCCACATGCAACTGCTGGACTCTGGAAATGCGGCTGGGCTGAACTAAGATGTGCTGCAAGCATAAAACACACAGTGGATTTTGAAGTCTTAGTATGAAAAAAAGTAAAATATCTCCTTAATAATTTTATATGTTGATTACATGTTGAATTGACAATACCTTAGATTATTGGGCTAAATATATATTAATTTCACCTGTATCATTTTACCTCTTTTTTTGTGGCCACTAGAAAGTTTAATACAACATCTGCAGAGCTCCCAGAACATTCCTACTGGACAGTGCTGTTCTAGACCCCTTCTCTAGAAACATTCACACATGCATACATAGTCACATACTGGACTGTGCTGTTCTAGACCCCTTCTCTGGAAACATTCACACATGCATACATAGTCACCTACTGGACTGTGCTGTTCTAGACCCCTTCTCTGGAAACATTCACACATGCATACATAGTCACATAATTTTGTATACAATTTCAGGGACGGTTAAAAGTATCCTAATTCCCATCCATGGACCCTAGACCCAAATTAAGAATCTCTGAATTAGGAATTTCGTAGTTTTCACCAGGCCCAGCATCTACCACACCATCATTGCACAGGTGGGGAAACTGAGCACCACGTCCTCCTCCAGGCACAGCCAGCTGTCTTCTGGGGGTGAGGGGGTGTCTGGCCCTCCCGTACTGGAGTGGGGCGCTGGGGCTGGGGTCACCTCAAGGAACGTGTTGCTGCGGCTCTGCCTCCCTAGGTTCCCCCAGCGGATCCCGGCGGGCGTATGGGGATGACAGGGGCAGGGAGGTTAATCAGGACTCCTAAGGTCCCAGGATTCCTCTGGAACGGGCCTAAACAATGGAGGCCACCAAGGACCAGGGAAGTTCTGGTGGGTGGGCTTCAGGACAGACAGTACAATCCCAGCCTTTCCAGTCACCAGCTGGGTGATTCTGTATTGCTTTGTCTGTGACCCACTTGAAATGACTTGTTCTTTGTAGTTTTCTACATATTACATTTACTTCTTTCCCCCCCACCCCTTTTTTTAAAGAGACAGTGTATCACTCTGTCACCCAGGCTGAAGTGCAAAGGTGCAATTATAGCTCACTGCAGCCTTGAACTCCTGGGCTCAAACAATTCTCCCACCTCAGCCTCCTGAGTAGCTGGGACCATAGACACGTGCCACCATGCCCCATTAATTTAGAAAATTTTTTTGGTAGAGATGGGGTCTCAACATGTTGCCCAGGCTGGTCTCCATTTCCTGGCCTCAAGCAACTCTCCCTCCTTGACCTCCCAAAGTGCCAGGATTACAGGCGTTAGCTGCCATGCTCAACCACTACATTCATTTTTTTATTAAATTTTATATCATGCAAATGACAGATATTTCCACCCAAATAATGTTTACTTGTTCATAGACCATTAGATTCCTGTTTTGGCCAACTCTGAAATAATACATTTTAGATCCACTTGTAGTATTTTAAGATTAACTCAGTTTCATTTGCTTTGAAAAACAACATCATCGCTGTTCAACTGTTTACAGAATTGATGGTAAAATGACTGAATTCATGTCATTTTAGGAGAGCGTTCAGTGCTAATGTGTACACTGAATGCTTTAAGCGGTGAGGTGGCTTCACAAAGTTTACTTCTACAATTTTCATAACCTAAGAATCTCCTGATTGGTCTCTTTTACTTTTATTACAAAGTCTAATTGAAATCCCCTAAATTCTTAGGGCCCGCCGCATGGAGGTGAGGGGCTTGTGGTGGGGAATGTCCAGACCCCTGTGCTGCTCCCTGGAGCTTGCTCAGGTCAGGTGAGGAGGATACACTAGCCCGGGCCTGTCACCACGACTGCTCTTGTTTTCATCCCCTGAACTCCCTGCTGCACAGAGCTGCCCAGGAGGGCTGGCTCCTTGCCTAGTCTCAGGTGCTCAGCCCTCCTCCTCTAGAGGCTGGCCCTGGCTCCAGTGGAGCTGGGGGTTTCCTCAGCTCTACCCCCACCCCATCCTCTGCCCTCAGCCTCAGGGGAACCAGCTTCCTGCCACCACTCCTGGGACTCGTCTGCCTCCCCCTGGCTGCATCTTCTGTCCTGAAACTCCAGGTCTGGAAGAGGTGCTCCGCCTGCAGGTCCTGGAGCCCTGCCAGAGGTTTCTGGAGATGCTGGTTGACCCAGCCTCTTGGGGAAGAGGGGCAGGTGCAGGGCTGAAGGAGCGACCTGGGGGTGGAGCCCCAACCTGTTTATAGGATCGTGGCTCATTGAAGGCTGGCAGATTCATGCTGGTCCTATCCCACTGGGACCGTCGCTGCCACTCAGCCAGAGAGCCAGCATCTTGGCAAGGGCTGGGCCTGGAGTGAAGCTGGAAGGGCTAGCATGGAGAGCCTGTCACCTGGGGGACCACCTGGCCACCCTTACCAGGTAACAGTGTCTGCAGAGCATGTGGGCACCAGTCAGGGCAGGCCTGGAGCCAGGGTGCATTCTGGGAAGTGTGATAGCTGGAATCAGGGTGATTTCAGACTGGGCCAGAGGGCGAGGGAGTCTGAGATTTGGGATGCAGAGTGGGTGGGGTGGGTGAGCAGCATCCGTAGATGCGGGGGCTGGGAAACGTGAGTCTGGTCAGCAGAGCTTCCTCTCCCCACCACCAGCGACCACAGCAGTGTCCTTAGGGACCTCTCCCCCACCATCATCGGAGAACATAGTGGCTGGGTGTGTCACAAAAGGAGACCCACCAGGCCCACAGCCCCACCACCACAGGCCGGCAGACTTCCCAGAACTGGCTGGAGCCCTGGGATCACCCTGTGTGTCTCCAGAGCTCTGGGGGCCCAAATCCCCATCCACTGCCAAGTATTTAGTAGGCCCAAGAGCTGTGGGGCTGCATCCAGGCCAAGGAGGCCTGCAAACTTCTCGCCACCCCCCCACCCTCTGTCATGTGTTTCTCCAAAGCCCAGAGTTTTCATCCTCTGCCAGGGACCAAGGCCAGCAGAGCTGGCTCCTGAGGTCTCCCCCCGGTGCCCCAGGTGGTGGCCAGGAATGAGGCTAAGTGTGTCAAGGTCACTGTCCTGAGGTCCTTTGCCTCATATGCAGACCTCGCTGGGCTTCTAGAGCTGTGGCCCTGAGACCCAGGCCCAAGCTGGATCCAGACAAGCAGCTCCAGACTGGTGCTCCTGGAAGAGGCTCAGCCTGGGGCAGGGCAGACACTAAGGAGCCCTGGGGGAAGATGAGAGGGACCCCTCAGTGAAGGACCACACTGTTGCCCCAGCCTGAGGTCAGGTGGATCCACCCACGAGTCAGACATCAGCGGACATTTGGATGCGGGGGAGTCCACGGATGCAGGCCAGTGGAGGGGCTGGCGGCCCTGGCTCCACCACCCGTCCCATCAGGAGCCCTGAGCCCAGAACGGCCCATTGTGGAGGCTTCTGGAATATTTCCCCCTTTAAACTCATCTCCCTGGCGAAGGCTGTGCCCCTTTCCCCTTTTCCCTCAGCCTGCTCTAGGTCTAGCTCCTGGGTAAAACAAAAGCCTAAGTGTCAGCAATTTGGGAGCCTCAGTCGGCCCCACACCTGGAAAGCACCTCGCCTCCAGCTGGCATTCACAGGACTGAGTCCCCAGGACCAGGTCCTCAAGCTCCAGCCTTCAAGTCGGTTCCTGTGGTTGGCAAGCTTCAGCAGCGGTTTAGCCTAGCCTCATTTCTGCTGGAACAGGGGCCTGGAACCTGCCCCAGAGCGGGACCTGGGCCAGCAGGCTAGGCTGGCCATCCGGGACCTGTTCTGGAACGTGCCTGCCGTGTGGTCCAGGAGACTCAGCCCAGCCTGAGGGAGGTGCAGGGCCTGGGGCTGTGCCCAGGGGTTCCACTCCTCTTCTCTCTGACCTCCTGCATTGCCCCACCACAGGGCGCCAGTGCCAGCAGACGACAGGGTGGGTCTGCTCATTTCTCTCTTCCTGCCGAACACCCAGGATCACGGGCAAGGATACTCTGGACCCCAGCTGGGGAGACCCAACCCCCTTAAGCTCTCTTGGGCCACATCTCCCAAGATGGGCACGGGGCAGCACAGAGCCTCTCACAAAACTTCCTGGCAAACGTGTGCCCTGGGCCTCTCCACCGGAAGAAGGATGGCCCAGAGCCTCTGGGGTCCCTGCGCAAGGTTCAGAGTGGCTGAGACCCTCAGCAGGGAGGCATTCGGGGGATCCTACAGGTGACTGGGCTGACGAATTTCCTCCAGAAGCCTCCGGGTTAGTCATCAATTAAGGAGGTATTTCAGATGGGAGGAGCTTTCAGAAGGGAATGTGACGCCCCTATGCCCTCAGGGGAAAAGATTCATATCAGTTAAAGTGTCGGTTATCTCAGTAATCATATTAGTCAAATCTGTGACAAATCTATGAATATCTGTTAGTCAAATTAGACAAATCTATGAAAATCTAGTGTCTAGATATCCTAGATATCCGTGGGGCAATGAGGGAAGAGTTGCATGCTTTTCCAAAGAAGCAAAAGTCCTGGGAAGGTAGAATAGACGGGGGTTGTGAGCTCTGGCCTGGAAGTTTGAATTCTAACTCTGTCCCTGCTAACTCTGTGACCTTGGGCAAGTTAGCCTCTCTGAGCCTCAATTCCCTCATGTAGAAAATGGGAGGAAATGGGAGTACTGTCTTTTGAAGCTGTGGGAGGATAAATAAAGTTACAGTAGTGTAGGGACCAGCCCCACAGGGTCGGTGGGTCTCTCCCCGTGTGCGGTGACGAGAGAGTTTAGAAATAAAGACACAAGACAAAGAGATAAAAGAAAAGGCAGCTGGGCCCGGGGGACCACTGCCACCAATGCGCGGAGACCGGTAGTGGCCCTGAATGTCTGGCTGTGCTGTTGTTTATTGGATACAAAGCAAAAGGGGCAGGGTAGAGAGTGTGAGTCATCTTCAATGATAGGTAAGGTCACGTGGGTCACGTGTCCACTGGACAGGGGGCCCTTCCCTGCCTGGTAGCCGAGGCAGAGAGAGAGAGGAGACAAAGAGAAAGACAGCTTACGCCATTATTTCTGCATATCAGAGACTATTAGTACTTTCACTAATTGACTACTGCTATCTAGAAGGCAGAGCCAGGTGTACAGGATGGAACATGAAGGCAGACTAGGAGCGTGACTACTGAAGCACAGCATCACAGGGAGATGGTTAGGCCTCCAGGTAACTGCGGGCGAGCCTAACGTCAGGCCCTCCACGAGAGGTGGAGGAGTAGAGTCTTCTCTAACTCCCCCGGGGAAAGGGAGACTCCCTTTCCCGGTCTGCTAAGTAGCAGATGTTTTTCCTTGACACTTTTCGCTACCGCTAGACCATGGTCCGCCTGGCAACAGGCATCTTCCCAGACGCTGGCGTCACCGCTAGACCAAGGAGCCCTTCTGGTGGCCCTGTCTGGGCATAACAGAAGGCTCGCACTCTTGTCTTCTGGTCACTTCTCACTGTGTCCCCTCAGCTCCTATCTCTGTATGGCCTGGTTTTTCCTAGGTTATGATTATAGAGCGAGGATTATTATAATATTGGACTGAAGAGTAATTGCTACAAACTAATGATTAATGATATTCATATATAATCGTATCTAAGATCTATATCTGGTATAACTATTCTTGTTTTATATTTTATTATACTGGAACAGCTTGTATCCTCGGTCTCTTGCCTCGGCGCCTGGGTGGCTTGCCACCCACACGGTAGGTAATATGGTTAGTACAGTATTGTCACCCTACAGAAAGACACGAGAGAAAATGATCTCTATGTTGTGTTTACTCTGGAATGAGAAATGACTGTGGCTCGGAATGTGTCGAATGACAGGCCGCCAGGGCAATTGTGAGGGAAGGGGAAAGGGAAGCTTTTACTGGAAAAAAGGGGGAGGCTCACAGAAACTGCTTGGAAACAGAGTTCATTGGTTCCAGAGCTCAAAGCCAGAGTTGTCAGTTCATTGGTGGAGATGCTGTTACTGGGCACGTGTTTTCTGAGAGCATCTTATCTGAATTATTGCAGTCCTAATGGATGTCTAGTGATGAACCTTGTCAACTCATCTCCCTGGCGAAGGCTGTACCCCTTCCCCCTTTTCCCTCAGCCTCCTCTAGGTCTAGCTCCCAGGTAAAACAAAAGCCTAAGTGTCAGCGATTTGGGAGCCTGAGTCTGCCCCACAACTGGAAACTGCCTCACCTCCAGCCGGCATTCACAGGACTGAGTCCCCAGGACCAGGGGCTGTGCCCAGGTGTTCCACTCCTCTTCTCTCTGACCTCCTGCATTACCCCACCACAGGGCACCGGTGCTAGCAGGGAACAGGGCGGGTCTGCTCATTTCCCTCTTCCTGTCAAAGAGGGACTTTGGCATGAAGGATGTGAAGCTGTTTTCTGTGGGGTTTGTAGGAAGTCCTTGGAAACAACTCTCATCTCAGACATGTAAATACGAGCTCTGCTCTTTCATGCGTTCCCAGCCCTAATTTGTCGGGGTCTGACAAAAGTGATTTCATCCTGGTATCTGCAACATTCACAGTGCCTGAAAACATGGCAAATACTTAATAAACAGTAGTAGCAATAGCAGTTACCTAAAAACTGCTTACTTTATTCCTAAGCAGTCTGCAGGCATTAACATTTTAAGCCTCAGAATACTATGTGAGGTCAAAACTATTATTTCCACTACACATGAGGAAACAGAGGCACAGAGAAGTTTAGTGACTTGTCCAAGGTCACACAGCAAGTAAGTGGCAGGGCCAGGGTTTAAATCCAGACAACCTGGCTCCAGAGTCTGCCTTTAAGCCCCCGTAAAGACCAGTCATTGTAATCACTGTCCCAATAATACCATGTTCTGGGCACTCCATGTTAGCGATGATCTTAGAGGTGAAGAGAATCGGGATTTTTCTCTAGGGAAAATAACCTGCCGGGGAATGGTGGGCTTTCTGAGGTTGAGAAGCTCTCAGTGATGGGAGGGAGAAATGAACCACAGTGCTTAAACCCGGGATGGTGACTGGCTAGACAGTGAGTAACTGGGGCCACTTCTCAGTAGCCCAAGTGACTTTAGAGCAGCCCACAAGCTGTGGACCTGTGGAGTATCAGCCTGGCCGGGGGAGCAGGGGAGCGAGGCTGGGCTGCCTCTGCCCTTCACCTGTCTTGTCTTGGAGCGGGACATTCAAACTCAATACCCTGCAGGGCCCCAGCATCCCAGCCATCACCTCCCTGTGGCCGGCAGTGGTGGAATCTGAGTGAGGGGAGGAAATGGAGCTAGATGTCCCAAAGTTCATGAAATCTCTGCTGCTGACAACCTCTATAAGGCTTAAGGTTTATAGAGTTGACATGTTGCTGGTGCCACTGGAGTTAATCCCCAAGAAGAGAGAAACAAATCTACCTTGCTCGGGGAGGTCACATGTGCTCTGCTGGGAAGCTGCCTGGAATGATAGGACGTTGGCATGGAACCACAGAGAGGAAAGATGCAGGGGCAGGGCCACCAGGCATATGGCTTTGCTGTGGCCCATGGTCCTTTACAGTTTTTGGTGGGGAGTGGAGATTCAGGTCCCCGTGGGTGCTGAGCCAGCCCCTAGCAAGCAGCATCTGTGCAGAGCGGGTACGAGTCCTTGTGGGCACCGAGAACTTCCAACCACATGCATGGAAGTGGGTCTGGTCACGGGAGAGCGCAAAGCAGGAAACACCTCTGGTTTTATCACAACAGTCTCCCAGCTATGCGATATCAAATGTTCACTGTGCAAACACTGCACTGGCTTTTGGCTCCCTCAGGGTCGGGGAGGAGCGGGTGAAGGGACATAGGGTCTGAGAAGATCGTACTTACTTAATGGGGAGTCTAACCTGGTGGCAGAGCCGCTGAATGGCAGAAGCCCCAGCACGGGTTTTTTTCTGGAATGAAGGTGGTCTCTGGGTTGTTCAGCAGGGCCGCCACACTGCATGGCTCCTGGGGTTAGCATTTCATAGGCCTTCATGTGCTTGGTGCCTCCTGGGGGTCCTGCCATGCTGTGGCCCTGCAGGATCCCCTCCTGGCTGGGGCTCCCACTGCCCCACTCCCCGGCACAGGCAGTGTTCCTTCCTGACAGCCCCTGTTCTAACAGACCCTCTGGACATGGGCTCTTTCTGCTGGGGCCACGTGCCTCATAGGTGGTCCTCCTGGGAAGGCTCCCTTCCAAGAGGATGCAAGGCCAACAGCCTTCCTTGGGGTCAGCCCACAGGAAAAAATGCCATTTGCCCTGCCAAACCGATTTGAGTAACCTCACATCAAAGGGGCTTATAAGAAACCTGTGCCAGATGCCCAGAAAAAGCCGTGCTGCAGGGCTCAGGAAGAACAGAAACTCCAGGGCCCTCCTGATCGTGGCAGTGCCGGGGACCTCAGCAGTAGGGTGTGGGGACACCCCCAGTGCTCTGACCCCAGCAGGCCTCAGCCACGCCCCTCTGGCCATCTGCTTTCCCTCCTGCCACCTACTCTCGGCTCATCTTCTCCTCCAGCTTCTGCCCACTCAGCTGCTTCTCCCTCACACCTGGGCTGTCTGTGGCTGATGTGGCCTCATCAGCATCTTAATACACAGTGGCCTTTCACCCACAGCACCCACTGCTCCCTGTGATGGCTGGATGCTCTTGGAGTTTCCTCATTCATACCCCTTACAGTGCAGATAGCTGAGATCCAGGGTAGCGCCTGTGGACTGGGCTGCTGAGGCTCACCCTCCCTTAAGTCATATGCCTGCTTCCCGTCCGGAAGGGCTGAGGGGTGGGCAGTGCTGGCAGCAGGGTCACCAAAGGTAACCCTTGTTTTGCCAAAGGGCTGCCCTCCCTGGGAGCTCTGGGAATGGCTGACATCTAACTGACCTCTGTGGTTGCCACTCCTTGGCCCTCACTTCCTTGCTCTGTCCACTACCCATGTTGCTCTGTTCCCGAAGGGGAAGGGGTTCCACAAATTCCACATCTGGGTGTGCTGCTATTCCCTGACTGCTGCAGCCCAGAACCATGACCCCCAAAACAGAAGTGGACAAAGGCTCTTTGGTCCCCAGAGGGTGTCCCCGGAACGCCTGGCAGGGGTGTCAGCACCACCAAGTACCAGGAGAGTGGTGAGGGGTGTCGGCAGCCCGGGCTGCAGCTCCAGGCATAAGGGAGGGAATGCAGGAAGGACTCTGGAGTTTGATTTTCTCTTCAGGGGGAGGCCTCTACCTGCTGGCAGCTCACAGTGAGGGTCCTGGAGGCGCGGAACCTGCGCTGGGCTGACCTGTGTGAGTAACCGCCCTGTGCGCTCTGTCGGGAGCAGGGAGGACCAGATCCCATAGGAAGGGCCAAGACGAGTGCCCTGGGGCTGGGCTGGGTCACCTGCGGTGACCGCCAGGGTCTTGGTAGGAAACTGGCATGGCTCATGGAGAGGGGTGTGGGGAGTACTCCCTCACGAAGACTTCCTTAACCTTGGCAGTGAGTGAGGCCGACCCTTACGTGATCCTACAGCTGTCGACCGCACCTGGAATGAAGTTTAAGACCAAGACGCTCACCGACACCAGTCATCCTGTGTGGAATGAGGCCTTCCGTTTCCTTATCCAAAGTCAGGTCAAGGTGAAGGCCCGGGACTCCTGGCCACTCCCTTGTGAACGGGCTGGACCCCCATGCAAGGGTTCCTGGGGTAGAGCATGCTTCCTCTGGGGCTGTCAGAGAAACTCTCAGCAGTAGGGGGTCTCTGTGCCCTGGCCTGTCTGTGCTGTGTGCAAGGGAATGTATGAAAGAATGAACATGGTCCTTTCACCAACTGGCTGTGGGACTGACTCCCACAAGCTGGGTTCCTCTCGAAGCCCAGCTATGAAACAGAGACAGTAAGAGCCCCCTCCTGATCAGGTCACTGTGGGGTGAGATGAGATAATGCGTGGAAGACCGTGAAAGATCACCAGCACATACCTTAGGGTGCACCTCAGGGAGCCAGAAAAGCCAGGGAGAGAGAGACACACAGACAGGGAGAGAGGAAGAGGGAATTATTTGACAGACTTTTATGTGTTTTGTTTTGTTTTTGAGACAGAGTCTTGCTCTTATTGCCCAGGTTGGAGTTGAATGGCGCGAACTGGGCTCACTGCAACCTCCGCCTCCCAGGTTCAAGCGATTCGCCTGCCTCAGCCTCCCGAGTAGCTGGGATTACAGGCACCCACCACCATGTCCAGATAATTTGTTGTATTTTTAGTAGAGATGGGGTTTCACCATGTTGGCCAGGCTGGTCTCGAACTCTCGACATCAGGTGACCCACCCACCTCAGCCTCCCAAAGTGCTGGATAACAGGCATGAGCCACCATGCCCAGCTCAGAATTTTATGTTTGATAAAAACAAAAATTAGAAGGAGGAAATTTGAAATTTAATAAGATTTCCTTATATTTAAGTTTTACAGTTTTTTTTTTTATTTTGAAGCGCAGACGTGTGGTGGCATAATGATCTTCTCTGACTCTAGACATCAAGTAAGGGCTCAACAGAGGTGAGCTACTCTCACTATGAGCAGGTAAAATGCTAAGTCGCTGTTCCTGGTTCCTAGAATGTTCTGGAGCTTAGCATCTATGATGAGGACTCAGTCACGGAGGATGACATCTGCTTCAAGGTTCTCTATGACATCTCAGAAGTCCTCCCTGGCAAGCTGCTCCGGAAAACCTTCTCCCAGAGTCCCCAGGTGGGTGGGTGGGTGGGGAAGTCCCCGTGGGCCCCACTTCTTCCAACTCCAAGCTGAGGAAGTAGCTATTTCTCCCACCTGTTGGGAGGCTGCTGGGGTGAACTCATTCACAGAAAAATCTAAACCCCTTTTTAGATTTGCATTTTAATAAGCAAGGAAAAGGCTTCACTTTACAGTTACAGGCTGAATCACCCAGTGGAGGAATTTTAGCCACCTGTGGCAGGAAGGCCACCCCTCAAAACACAGCTCAGCATCCATCACTCCTGCTGGTGGTGCCAAGGCCTGCTTTGTGAAGGCCTCACGTCCCTTCCTGCTGCAGCCTGGGGGTGGGGACGGCAGAGTTCGGGGGTCTGGGCCCTCCTCAAGAAAAAGATATGGGTCCTGCACATCATGCCTCCTTTGGCTGTGCTCCTTGTCTTCCCCTTCAGTCTTGCCCAGAGTTGTGGGACCTCCAAGGGAGGGAGACCTGTTCTCTGCAGACTTACTAGCTGTGGGCAATGTGGGCAGGTAGCCCATCTGGCCCCATACCTCAGTTTCCTCATCCATAAATTGGAAATAATTGTACTAACGTGCCTCCCTTGGAGACCGCTTGAGAGGATGAGATGACACCTGTAAAAGAACTGTGTCAACTCTGAAGACACAGGTATGTGCTGATGACTTGCTCATGCTCTCTGATTTCAGGGAGAGGAGGAGCTGGATGTGGAGTTCCTGATGGAAGAAACGTGAGTAATGTCACACAGCCCAGGGAGTGTCTCAGGACTCAGGCTCTGAGGAAATGGCCCTGACCCAGATCTCCCTGTGGTCAGTCCAGCCTGACTGTCCCTCATCTCCTACCCCTGCCAGAGAGGTCGGGAGTGGGGCGGGGCTTCTCTTAGGGAAACACAGAGAGGAAGGCCGATGTTTTCTCTCTCTGCTCTCTCCCCTCCCCTCTCCTCCTGCAAAGCATCTCCCCTTGTCCCTGAACCGAATCCAGGACTTACAGAGCCCTCAGCATCACCCAGGGAGACCCCACATGGGCGGGAGCGGGAGGTCAATGCAGGAAGCGTTTGCCTTTGCATGGTTTGATTTTTCCAGGTCAGATCGCCCAGAAAACCTCATCACCAACAAAGTCATTGTGGTAAGCACCTTCCCCAGGCTTAGGGGAGGGGCCCCAGAGCAGACGCTTGGGGAGGGAGGGCAGCTGCCTGGGGTGTGGACCAGCAGGGACAAGGAAGGGGCAGGGCTTCGTGGTAAAACCACCCCTAGCCTTCCAGCCAGGTGGTCACCTGTGGCTGTGGGTCTTGGAGGGGCCTGGAGCTAAGGGGCGCATAGAGAGAGGGGAGGCAGGGCTCTGCTGAGAGGAGGTTCTGGCCCACGGCTGTTCGGGGTGCTTCCGGAAGGTGTTTAGTCACCTGCGGTGAACTCATAGTTCTAGGGATTGACTGAGTGCTTCCCTGGGAAGCGGTGAAGAAATCAGGTAGGCCAGGCCCACCTTCCGGTTGTTCACGTTGAGGTCACCGAGGCTCAGAGGGAGTTCCCAGGGCGGTGTACTGCCAACCTAGGAGGATCAGAGGCTCAGGCAGCTAGCTCCTCCTTGGGACTGGGGAGAGTCCTGGTCAGCGCTCCTGACCACGGGCTCACGAAGCTGCAGTGGACAGAAATGGCCGCAAGGTGGCGAGCGGGCGACGCGCTCGATTATCACAGTGACCCAGACCAGCAGCACAGACCTGGGAGCAGGCGGGTCCAGGGTCACGGGCGAAGGCACCTAGAGCCCAGCATTTAAGCTCCTAGGGGCTGTTTGATGGACGGGTATTACTTTTAAAAATACACATGAAAATAAAGTCAAGCCGATGGCACTGCCTCTTAGGAGGTGATGGAGACACACAGCAGGTGGGCAAATTCAGTGATTGTGTGGAGCGTGGGTGGCGGGCATCTGCTGGTATGCTTCACAGACAGCATGCAGAGGCTCCCTTGGCAAGGCCACGGGGGCCTGGCCTTGTCATTGTCCCCCAGTTAGGCCACAGAGGACAGCCAGGAGACGTTCTGAGGGTTTGTCCGACGCCCCGTCTACCCTCCTATGGATGGGCGGCTTGCTTAGATTATTTGGAGTTGTGGTAGAATACCTCCTCCAGCTCCAAGCCACAGGGAAACAAGAGAAGAAACAGCTGTGTCTGAGGGCTGGGCGCTCTAGGAGGTTTCGGGAGTTTGGCAAAGCCAGGGGAGCTGGAGGGGAGGTGTGGAGCCAGGGCCCTCCTGGCTGCTGCGGAATATCAGGTTCAGCCGCGGCAGAGGATCGGCAATGGGATGAAGGGCCTCTGCAGCCAATCCCATCCTGAGCCCACACAACTCCTTGTGTGTGTGGTGGATTTGGGACAGTGGGTCTCAGAGGGTTGAGGTTAAGGGGACCTCAGCTTACCCTGCAGAGGCCCCTGCCCATGATGTGGTCTTCCCCAGGCCCGAGAGCTGTCATGCCTGGATGTGCATCTGGACAGCACAGGGAGCACCGCTGTGGTTGCAGGTGAGACCAGCTTAGAACCAGGCCTGGACTCTGCCTGGATGTGGGGGTGAGGAGGATTGCTGGGAAGCCTGCGCAGGGCAGGAGGCCAGCAGCAGGGTAGAGCTTGCCTCTCTCTTCTCACCCACATGGCACAGAGGGCCACGCATCTCCGCTGGGCAGGAGGGTCCCCTGACCTGGGGGAGAGCATGTTGCAGAAGGCAGGAGTCCGGGATGGGGGGTTGTGGGGCCCCTTGGGCTGGGAAGGGCCCTTTTCAGAATGCTGTTGACGATGGCCCAGCCTCCCAGGCATCCTCTGAATCCAGGTGGTGGTGCTGCTGTCCCAGGTCCGAGCTGGGGTTCCGGGCTCTTGTTCTCATGCTAACCCGCCTACTCTCTCCCTAGATCAGGACAAGCTGGAGCTGGAGCTGGTGCTGAAGGGGTCCTATGAGGACACACAGACATCCTTCCTGGGCACAGCCTCTGCCTTCCGCTTCCACTACATGGCAGCCCTAGAGACAGAGCTGAGCGGGCGCCTGAGGGTGGGTCTTGGCTCTAGACCTCGTTTGCAATCCTAGGCTTGGGCAGCTCCAGCTGCAGCGGGCCCCTCCCTGCCTTCCCTGCCCACCAGGGCCAAGGCCCCTGTGGCCTTGTCAGCCTCCCCTAGTTAGGCACCTCACTCTTGGCAGACACAGAGGACCACCAGTGGCCAGAGCGGGCATGGGGCTGCTGCACCATATCAGTCTCTGAATCCTCCAGCGGCCCCTCCAGTGATACCCTTAGAATAAGACATGACATCTGTGCCCACATGGCCCTGCACAGCCTGGCACCCGTCCACCTCTGCCGCCTCATTTTGTTCCACACTCCCCCCATGCACGATGCCTCAGCCATCCTTGTCTCCTCTCTCATTTCCAATATGCCAAGTGCTCTCCTGTCCCCAGCTGGCTTCCTCCAAGGCTGCCTCCTCCTCCTCCTCCTCAACATCTTAGCTCAAATGGTGGCTCTTCAGAGGGTCCTCCTTGACCCCCACCTCAAATAAACCCCACGCACTCCACCTTTGGTTGCATTAGAAACTGTCATATCACACCACTTATTTCCTTCACAACACTTACTAACATCAGTTCATTACCCATGTCTTTATAAATTTATACATGCTATTCCGTGAGAACAATGCCTTCGTACTACATAAATATTAGCTCTTATAATTTTATAATTATAATTATGATACTTATCAATATTATAATATTCTGTATTATCAGGGAGAATGTGTCTGTCTGGATTGTAGTCTAGATACTTAGTAGGGATTTGTTGAATGAATGAATGAATGAATGAATGATGCTTTCCCTTCAGAGCTCCAGAAGCAATGGCTGGAATGGGGACAACTCAGCTGGGTACCTCACTGTGCCCCTGAGGCCCTTGACCATTGGGAAGGAGGTGACTATGGATGTTCCTGCTCCAAATGTAAGTGGCCTCAACTGGATGGGAAATGCCAGTAAGAATGAAGATAAGGCTGGGCTCTGTGGCTCAAGCCTGTAATCCCAGCACTTTGGGAGGCCAAGGCAGGCGGATCACCTGAAGTCAGGAGTTTGAGAACAGCCTGGCCAACATGGCAAAACCCCATCTCTACTAAAAATGCAAAAATTAGCCGGGTGTGGTGGCGCACACCTGTAATCCCAGCTACTCAGGAGGCTGAGGCAGGAGAATCACCTGAACCCAGGAGGCGGAGGTTGCATTGAGCCAAGATCGCACCATTGCACTCCAGCCTGAGCAACAAGAGTGAAACTCTGTCTCAAAAAAAAAAAAAAAAAAAAAGAATGAAGATGAAGGGGACCAAGTCCCCAGGGATACCCATGTGCCGCTTAGGGTCTAGGAGGGTCTGAGCAGAGTCTCTGGCTTTGATTTCAGGCCCCAGGAGTGAGGCTGCAGCTCAAGGCAGAGGGCTGGTAAGGGACATTCACATCTGTGGGGACAGTGAGAGGCGGGCATGCAGGAGGGGAGGGCTATGGACAAAGGTGGTCCTTGAGATTGGAGGAGAGGGCTTCTTTGGCAGCTCATTGTGGGCTTGGCCAGCCAGTGGCTGAGCTATGCAGGTGTCCCCTGACCCCTGGATCCTCCATTGCCACAGCCCTGAGGAGCTGGCCGTGCACCTGGGCTTCAATCTCTGTGCAGAGGAGCAGGCCTTCCTGAGCAGGAGGAAGCAGGTGGTGGCCAAGGCCCTGAAGCAGGCCCTGCAGCTGGACAGAGACCTGCAGGAGGATGAGGTCTGGGGGTGCAGAGGGATGTGTGTGCAGATATCCTGGACGGGCCATAAGGGAGTACCTGATTCCTATGCCTCTCCAGAAACTCCAGTCAGTGGAGAGTGGGCATGTGTGTGGAGACATGGGAGCGTGAGTGGGCTTTGTGGTTCTAACTCCCTTGGGAGCTCCATCCTGAGCTGAGAGCCATTGCTTCCAGAGGAGGGCTGGACCCAGCTCTAACCCTGACTCTATCAGGACCCAACTATGCGGTCCCTTCCCTGGAGACAAGGAGCGGGGCAGGGCCCTGGGTGAGACAGGAGGCAGCTGGCCCCTTTCCTTGTTAATCCAGCCTGTCTGTGTGTGGTCCAGGTACCCGTTGTGGGCATCATGGCCACAGGAGGAGGTGCCCGGGCCATGACCTCACTCTACGGCCACCTATTGGCCTTGCAGAAGCTGGGCCTCCTAGACTGTGTGACCTACTTCAGTGGCATCTCTGGCTCTACGTGGTGAGGATCCTGGGGGACTGGGTGGCAGAGACAATCAGGGGCCATAGCGGGGCAGAGTGGGCACCAGAGGGACACTTTGTGTGGGGAGGCCAAGTAGGTGTGATCATTGTGATCTGATGGGCGCCAAGCAGCTTTCCCACAAGGAAGGAAACAGACGTTTACAGAAGCCCTGCCGTGAGCGAGGCGGCGCAGGAGGTGCATTCCAGATGTTACTGAAAGGCTGTGAGGTAGCTGACTCAGATGCAGCTGGATTTGAGTCCTGGCAGCACCACTTACTGGCTGGCTGACACTGAGCAACTTATCTCCTCTGATTCTCAGTTGATGCAGCTCCAAACGGACAATCCTAGCACACACCGCGTGGGACTGGGGTGTGGGGATCACCCAAGTAAAGCACTTAACTTAATGCCCAGCACAGCCAGGAATTCCTAATTGGTAGCTCTTTTTATCTTTCATTGTTATTATTGCATTTAATCTTCACCACACTCGAGGTAGATTCCCTTATTGTCCATTTAAGACTGTGTAGACATTGAGGTCGAGATACTATTTCTACCTAAAGCTAGCATTACCTCCCTACGCCCTCACCCCGCAGCATGACGAGGTGCAGCATCCCGCTGTTAGAGATTCATTCCTTTGAGTCTTATTGAAATGCGACTTTGAGGAGTAAAAGAAGAGGAAACGCCTCAGAGGAGTTTAGGTGACAGCTGTTGACAAGCAGAGTGTGAAAAGGCTTCAGGACAGGACCGTGAAGATGGGAGTGGGGTCCAGAACTGGGCTGTCCAGTACAGTAAGCCACTATGGTAGCCACTAGCCACATTGTTTATTGACCATTTGAAATGCAGCCAGTCCACATTGAGATGTGTTATAAATACACAGTGAATTTGGAAGACTTAGTTTGAAAAAAATAGAAATTACATCAATAACTGTATTTACTACTTGTTGAAATGATATTTTTGAATATAGCGAATTAAATAAAATATTAAAATTAATTTTTACAGGCTTGTATATCTTTTTAATGTGGTTACTAGGAAATTTAAAATTCCGTGTGTGGCTCACATCGTATTAATATTGGACAGCGCTGATCTAGAAGGAGAGAAAGCCCTGAGACCCATTTACCAGATCGGCAGAGCCTTGGTGGCAGGAGCCACGTGTCAGGAGAAGCTGCCGAGTGGGAAGCAGGAGTTGCAGCGCCCCATGCTGGGCCTCGGGCTCCTACTGTTCTGTCCCCTCGTTCTTCCAGGACAATGGCCCACCTGTACGGGGACCCTGAGTGGTCGCAGAGGGACCTGGAGGGACCTATCAGATACGCCCGGGAGCACCTGGCCAAGAGCAAGCTGGAGGTCTTTTCCCCAGAGCGCCTGGCGAGCTACCGCCGGGAGCTGGAGCTGCGGGCTGAGCAGGGCCACCCCACGACCTTTGTGGACCTGTGGGCGCTAGTGCTGGAGTCCATGCTGCACGGCCAGGTAGGGCGCCTGCGCACGTGGGGGAGACGCGTGTGTGCACCGCGGGGGCGAAGGCAGGGCTCCCAAGCGGCTGACATGCGCGTGCGTATTTCTTGCAGCGTGGAAGAGCCAGTGTTTTAGTGTCTGCCTCACTTTGGAATGCTGCCTTTCTGAGTTAGCAGATTCTTTAATTAATTGCTGTAAAACAGAAATTTCTGGATCTCCCAAAAGCTGGGAATGAGTCGATGTCAAAGTCAGTTAAGCAAACAAAGCTTTTGTTTTGAATGGGTAAGATTGCTAGAACCGTTTTTATTTATCCTGCAATATGAAATTTACTGTTCTTCTTCATCTTCAGGGTGCTGTTAAAAGCACAAACTCTGTAACCAGATTGCCTGGGTTCTAACACCAGTACCTCTTACTAGCTGTGTGTCCTTAGGCAAGTTACTTAACCTCTCTGTGTCTCCATTTTCTGATCTGTACAATGGGGATAAGAATAGTTCTTAAGTCATAGAGCTGTTCTGAATACTCAGTGATACCTCACCATAGAATAAGCATTAAATGTCAGCTATTATATTTCTTTAGTATTCTAACAGCATCAAGACAAAACTAAACATACATTTTTTAAAAAAATTACAATGCTGCTTGAGAGAAAGCTTAGTAAGTTAACTGCTGAACTTTACACAGATACAATTATTAAAATCAGCTATTTTTTCACGCTGTTGTTTTACCACACATAACTATCTGAACAAAGCTTCAAAAGCGTTTGAAACAATGAAAAGACAAAGTATGGAATATATTAGTAGCAGAAGGACTCATCTTTATCTTTGGGTCAGGGGTTTAATCAAGTATGATTATCATGGGAGGGGAGGAAGAAAAATTCGTTAATGGGTATAAAAATAAATTTATATAGAAGGAATTTGAAAAGAATGATTATCGTGTAAACTAACCAAAAATGAATTTGCCTTCAACTTTTTTCTTTAAATATTATTCTTACCGGTTAAGTACAACACTGCTTAGAAACTACCATCCTTATTTGTTATTAGCTATACATATTCATTATGCAAATCTCAATCTTTATTATTTATTATGAAAATCTTCACACCTAAGACATTGAATAAAGCATAATGACATAATGAATATGCATGAACTTACCAACCAGCCTATGAAATGAAATGTTACAGATACAGTTAAAGCCCTTTGTATACCCTCCCCAGTCTCATTTCACTCCTGCCCCAGGGGCAAACAACATCCTGAATTTAGGTTTATCATCATGTTGCAGGGCAAGGGAGCCTCAAAACTGGGGTTCCACCCATGGAGATTCTTGGTGTCCCCCAGGAAGAAATTCAAGTGTTAGCTGGTGGTAGAAAAAATAGCTTTATCAAGGGCACAGTGTTACAGCTCTGTGACTGCTCCTGCAGAGCAGGGCCACCCATCAGCAGTGTGTCCAGAGCAGCAGCTCAGGGACAGTTCCACAGTCACATTTATACCCATTTTTAATTACATGC
Organism: Homo sapiens; assembly: GCF_000001405.40. Classification (NCBI taxonomy): domain Eukaryota; kingdom Metazoa; phylum Chordata; class Mammalia; order Primates; family Hominidae; genus Homo; species Homo sapiens. Next base: position 42,078,052 of record NC_000015.10, on the reverse strand, counting down.
AAATTAAGGAGTAGATTATTCAGAAATTTCTAGAAAAAGGTCGTAACTTCCAGGTTGTTGCCAGGGAATGAGTAAACTGTCATGATACTGGTGAGCATGCCTTACAGAGAGGTGCTTTCAGCCCTTCCCTGTTTCAGCCAGTCTCCAATCTAGTTCGAGTCAAGCCCTGCCTCCTACCTCATTCCTGTCTCAGAGATTAGACACTCCTCCTTAATCTTAACAGGGCTGCAGAAGGGTAGAAATCTGTCTTCTGTAACTGCTTCCTGCTTATGTTATGGGCGTAGGCCCTGGCCAAGCAACAGAGGAGTAAAAATCTCTGGATACCTGATCTAAGGGGCCCATAGGCAGAACATTTTAATTCTCCTGGTCAGTAGGCAGGATGGATTGGAAGCCTTGTGCCAGCATTGTCTTTACCTGGAACTATTGTAATCTAAAAGACACAAACTTTACTAAGAGGTTAATCAAACAAGGGCCAAAGATTAGTAATAACAAAATAGCTAACAAAGGTCCTAGGAGAGGTAAGAATGAGGTGAGACTTGGGAAGGCATTTTTGATTATGTAACCAGGGCACTGATCCCAACTATATCTGTTGATGTGATGTATCACATTTATTGATTTGTGTATGTTGAACCATCCTTGCGTTCCTGGGATGAATTCCACTTGATCAATGGTGAATAATCTTTTTGATGTGTTGCTGAATTTCGTATGATAGTATTTTGTCGAGAACTTTTGCATTTATGTTCATCAGGGATCTTGGCCTGTAGCTTTCTTTTTTTGTTTGTGTCCTTATCTGGCTTTTGTATCAATGTAGTTCTGGCCTTGGATAATGACTTTGGAAGTATTCCCTCCTCTTCAATTTTTTGGAATAGTTTGAGTAGAATTGGTATTAGTTCTTTAAATGTTTGGTGGAATTCAGCAGTGAAGCCATCAGGTCCTTGACTTTTCTTTGATGGGTGATATTTTATTACTGCTTCAATCTCATTGCTTGTTATTGTTCTGTTCAGCTTTTCTGTTTCTTCATGGTTCAATCTTGGTAGGTTGAATGTGTCCAGGAATTTATCTGTTTCTTCTAGGTTTTCCAGTTCACAATATTTTCACATATATATCCTTAAGAAAAATATGATATTATTTGCATGAACAATTTTGTACAAGTCTCCTTGCACACCTGCATTAAAGATTCTCTAAGCCTCCAAGATACATACCCAGTAGTTAAATTGTTGGGCCACTGGGTTTGTGCACCTTCAACTTTCCTAGGTATTGCCAAACCATTCTCCAAAGGAGTTGTGTTAATTCACACTCCCACTACCAGTGTATAATAGTTGCTTTTTTCTCTATATCTTGGGCAGACTTTTAAAGTTTTGTTTAACTATGGGGTGTGAAAGGAACATTTATCATAGTTTTGCATTTCTTTGATTTTTAGTTAGACAGTTGATGTTTTTAAGTATATTTATCATTTGGGCTTCCTCTTCCATGAATTACCTATTCAAACCCCTTTCCATTTTCCTGTTTAATTTGTCTTTTTCATATTGTTTTGTAGGAATTCTTTATGTATTCTCGATGTGAATCCTTACCAGTTCTAATGGTTTTAATGCATAATTTCAATATAATCTAATTTATCATTCTCCTTTATGGTTTGTGTTTTGGGGAGTCTTCCTTTTCACTCCCCCAAAGTTATAAAATATCTTCCTATACATTCTTATAAAATTTTTAAAGATTTATTTCTTACTAATAGGACTTTAATCCACCCAGAATTTATCTCCAGGTATCATGTGGATAGGGATCCAATTTTGTTTTTTCTCACATTAATAACAAATTTTCCCAGTCTCATCTATTGAATTTTTTCTCCACTGATCTGCATTGCTAATTCTGTCATGTATCAGGTTTCATATATTTTTCATGTATTTATATTCCTGTGACTCTTCCTGAGTGCCCTATTCTGTTCCAACAGGACAGATTCTCTATCCCTATGCCAACAGCACACTGACTAAAGTTTTGTGATAAATCTTGGTATCTGATAGGCCAAGTTACCAGTCCACTTGAATTGTTCTTCAGAATTCTCTTGGCTGTACTTGACCCTTTGCTGTTTCCTTCCTTCCTTCCTTCCTTCCTTCTTCCTCTCCCCTCCCCTCCCCTCCCCTCCCCTCTCCCTCCCTCCCTCCCTTCCTTTCCTCAGAGTCTTGCTCTGTCACCCAGGCTGGAGTGCAGTGGCACAATATCGGCTCACTGCAACCTCTGCCTCCTGGGTTCAAGTGATTCTTGTGCCTCAGCCTGCCGCATACCTGCGACTACAGGCATGCACCACCATGCACGGCGAATTTTTGTATTTTTAGTAGAGATGGTGTTTCACTGCTTTGGCCAGGCTTGCCTTGAACTCCTGGCCTTGAGTGATCTGCCTGCCTCAGCCTCCCAAAGTGCTGGGATTACAGGTGTGAGCCACTATGACTGGCCTGCTGTTGTAATTATATGATAGAATCACCTAGTCATGTTTTGCAATAAATGTTGTTGGGATTTTTATTGAAATGGCATTGAATTTATGAAGCCAACTTAATTACTAGAAATATTTTCATTTTATTACTATGTGCTATGTAGTCTTTGGATCTACTGTTTAAGTTCATATTCAGTTTTGATGGTGTTGTGTTTTAATAACTGACTTTCCTGCTGAGTGGCAGCAATTAGTTACTACAGAATGGGAGAAGCTGTTTTAACAGTTCACTTTACAAGGTGCTAGAAAACGCAGTTTGATCCTAGGCTGTAAAGCAGACTTTTATTTAATTACCATTGGATACTCCAGTAATGACTTAATGCACGGTTTTATGTGCAAGCTTTATAGACATTTTTTAGAAGACATTTTTTAATTGTTCACAAAAATAGAAATGCTTGTGGTATTATTAGACACCTATATATTCTTAAAAATGAACCTGGACAACATAGTGAGACCCCATCTCTACAAAAAGTTAAAAAATTAGCTGGGCATGGTGGTGCACACCTGTAGTCCCAGCTACTGAGGAGGCTAATGTGGGAGGATAGCTTGAACATGGGAGGTTGAGGCTGCAGTGAGTTGTAATCACCCCACTGCATTCCAACCTGGGCTTTAGAGTGAGACTCTGTCTCAACAAAAGCACCTATGCTATTTTTAAAATTTTGTCCCAATATGAAAGGTTTTTAATTTATTATTTTTTTCTTCTGATTATCATACCTTACCTCTTAAAGCCAACATTCATTGTAGACTTTACAAAATAATGTTTTCTTCGGGCAATTTTAGTGTCAATTTCTAATTTTTTAAAGACTTTAGATAAAAACAGGTATTTATTACCTCTATAATGTAATAATCTAAAATACCAAAAATCACTTACAATGTCAGAATATATAACTCCATTTATGACCAATCACAATTTCATTAATATTAATAAATATCATACCCTGAAACTTTGCTCAGAATGACTTTATTAGTCTACATACATCTTTAATATTGATTAGGTTTTTATAAAAACCCGCTCGTAAAATACACTAGCTATAATCAGTGCTTCTCAAACTCTCATCTCTTCGAAACTTTTTTCTTCAGTCTTTTGCTGGCAAGTACTGAACTGCTTAGAAGCTGCTTATCATTCCTCAAGGAGAAACTCAGAGTGGTTCTCTTATCCTTTCCTGAGTTAAGAGCTGACACACTTTCCTTCCCTTTAGTCTGCATTGCCGGTACTGCACCAAGCTCCAGTGTTTCCCATGGGACCCTCGAATCATCAGAATGGTGTTCTGCAGGGTTGGGGTTACTTGCTTGGAAACTGGGGGGTTAGAGACTGAGAGTCCTGCCGCAGCTTACTGGTGAGCCATTAGATATACCGGGTGGGTTTCAGTAGATGGAGGGGTGTGCTGACCTTTTTCCAGAACTTTCCCTAGGGCATAAATTGTGCAACTATAGTAAAAGGACACATTTTCCCTAGTCATATGTATCAAAAGAGCAACAGAGTTTCTAAATAAAAAGATTTTGAGAAGGGGTCACGTACACACATTTGTACCTAAGGACTGACTCGTACGTACACCACCACCATCAGTGGCAGGGGATCGAGCCCTATTTAGAGATTTCCTGCAAATTCCCTGTAATTCATACTGGGGACCATTGGAAAATGGGGTGGAAGGATGACTGTGGTTGACACATGAGTGTTCTCGTCAGGGACAGAAGAGCTGCCAGCAAGGAGGACACACACACTGGGTGTGTTGAGTTTCGCCATGGATGTGGGAGAGGGACCCTCCTTGGGTAGGCTGGGTAGGAATCCTCACACCTGGCTGGGCATCAGGATCATCTGAGGGTTTTTAAAAGGCAAACTCCAAAGTGACTTCTGACAGGCTGATTCTCAGGGGAGACCCAGAAGTCCGCATGCTTCACATGCTCTCACGTGTACACATTCACTGAGTCACTCTGATGATAAGGGCTGCTGCGGCAGGTTGGGAGCCTCTAGAACTAGACACTCTTCCATCTTGGAGAGCCCAAAGGAAGGATGACGTATTCATGGTACACATACTGCCCAGTAGAAACAGCCCAGGGCTGACAGCATCAACCTCAGCTCTGGCGGCAGAATCCTTCCCAAGGTGGTGCTCCAGGCAGGCACCACCATTCGCCTTGCTGGTGCTTGGGAAGAGCTCTATTTGCAATTCTAGCTCAGCATAGAATGAGGCCTTTCTGTTCCCTTACAATTCAGGGAGGCTCTGTGGAGGCTCCCCCAAAAGGCAAGCTATAGTCGTTGCCATCAAAGAGCTTGGGCCAGGCATGGTGCCTCACGCCTGTAATCCCAGCACTTTGGGACGCCAAGGCAGGTGGATTGCTTGAGCTCAGGAATTTGAGACCAGCCTGGGCAACATGATGTAACTCCATCTCTACAAAACATGCAAAAATTAGCCAAGTGTAACTTGTAGTCCCAGCTACTCTACTCGGGAGGCTGAGGTGGGAGGATCACTTGGGCCTGGGAGGTGGAGGTTGCAGTGATCCAAGATTGCACCACTGCACTCCAGCCTGGGTGACAGAGTGAGACCCTGTCTCAAAATAAAATAAAACAAAGGCAGAGCTTGGAGCTCTATTGAGGAGGAAATTAAGAACAGAAGGCAAGAATAATCAATGGGGTACAACCTCATGTTATGCAAAGCAAGAAAGAAGAGGGACGATGAGGGGGAGGCAAGGATGTCAGGAAAGCATTCGGGAGGAGCTGAAACTTGAACTGCATTAAGGTGAACCTAGAAGAGGGGGCAGTCCATCCCCTGGCATAGGTTGCAGTATATGCTAAAAGGGCATTGCTGCATCCTTTCTACAAAGCAATACGTGGATGTGTGCATGTGTCCTTGTGTCTGTGTGTCAGTATCCACACCCACTTCACCCTTAAATCCACGAAGATGGGCCTGGAAGCACCGCTGGCATTGTGGTCCCTATGAATGGCCCTCGCTGGAGATTCATAGTACACAGCCTGCATGCCCTGTCCAGCGACCCTGCATCTAGGGCTGTTCAGAACACAGGGGCAGGAGTGGGAACTGACCCACATATGGTCCCCAGACCCCACGGGAGGAGCTGCCTCCTCACCCCCAGCCAGGTCCCCCATCCTGCCCCTGTCCTGGCGGAGCCACTGCCTCCAGGGTACTCCCAGCCTCACTTAGGCCCTGATGCCCTCTGGCCCCAGGTGATGGATCAGAAGCTGTCAGGACAGAGAGCCGCCCTGGAACGGGGTCAGAACCCTCTGCCCCTCTACTTGAGCCTCAATGTCAAAGAGAACAATCTGGAGACACTGGACTTCAAGGGTACAGTTCTACCTACTCCCCTCCCACATACTCCACCCCCCAAACCCTCTGCACCCCGACAGCCCCCAGAGAATTCATGCTGGAAGCTCCGCACAGATTGCCCAATGTTCCGGAAGGGCAGTGGTGCTGAGGGGCTCAGGGCATCTCTCTGTGCTTGAGAGTGGGTAGTGCTTGAGGGTGTGGACCAAGGGCTGGGAGGGGTGTGGTCAGTCCAGGACTGCCCATTCCTCACATCTGCTGCATTGGTGCCAGGCACAGCAGGGCTCAGGCCTGCTGGGGGCAGGGGCAGTGTCTTTCGCCAGAGCTGGGGACTCCCGCAATCCACTCCCCTCACACTCCTGCCTCTCCTTCCCACCCCATTAGAGTGGGTTGAGTTCTCCCCCTATGAGGTCGGTTTCCTGAAGTACGGGGCCTTCGTCCCTCCTGAGCTCTTCGGCTCCGAGTTCTTCATGGGACGGCTGATGAGGAGGATCCCGGAGCCCCGGATCTGCTTTCTGGAAGGTGAGGGTGGTGGCTCTGAAGGCCCTGGGCAGCCCTGGGCCAGGTGTCTGAATGGACATGGGTCCTGTAGCTCAGGTGGGGCAGAACCTCAGGACAAGGGGGAGGGGTGGCGGGGGGGATGCATTGTAGGGGTAGCCCTCGCCCCACTCCCATTTTCCATCAGTACCTGAGGGTGGGGCCGCTGGCTGGGGCCTGAGGCTGATCTCTTTTGGTGTTCCTCAGCCATCTGGAGCAACATTTTCTCCCTGAACCTGCTGGATGCCTGGTATGACCTCACCAGTTCTGGGGAGTCCTGGAAACAGCACATCAAGGACAAGACCAGGAGCTTAGGTGGGAAGGGCAGGGGCACTGAGGGGCCTGGGATGACGCTGTTCCTTTAGAATGCTTGCGGTGTGCGGTGTCTGAGGGGAAGAAGTAAGGGGAAGAAGGGACCAATTTCTGTTTCTCTGGCTTCAGAGAAGGAGCCCCTGACCACCTCGGGGACCTCCTCGCGGCTGGAGGCCTCGTGGCTGCAGCCAGGCACGGCGCTGGCCCAGGCATTTAAAGGCTTCCTGACAGGCAGGCCCCTCCACCAGCGCAGCCCCAACTTCCTCCAGGGCCTCCAGCTGCACCAGGACTACTGTAGCCACAAAGACTTCTCCACCTGGGCAGGTCAGGGCCGTGGCCAGGGGTCCCTAGGTCACAAGGTTGGGCCTCTGGGTGGTGTGGCAGGGACTGGCTGAGGCCTAGGAGGTCAGCATCCACTTCTGGGGTGTGGCCTGGAGACGATCCCCTTGGAAGGTCCTGGGGAAGGGCTGGGTGGCATTTAAGGAGTGACCCAGAGGAGAGAAGGGGACATGGATGACCTGTGGCAGGGTGGTGGCCTCTGACCATCCTGCGATTCCCACCAGACTACCAGCTTGACTCCATGCCCAGCCAGCTGACCCCCAAGGAGCCCCGGCTCTGCCTGGTGGACGCCGCCTACTTCATCAACACCAGCTCTCCCTCCATGTTCCGGCCAGGCCGCAGGCTGGACCTCATCCTCTCCTTCGACTACTCCCTATCTGCGCCCTTCGAGGTACCCTGGTCACCCCAGGGGAACCCCTCTGCCCAGCCAGGCCAAGCTCCAGAGGCGAGCAGCAGGGCCACTGAGCCCCTGCCCCACACCGCCGGGGTCCCGAAGGGAAGGAGAGGTGTCAGGCCTTGATCTGCTGGCTCCTGCCAGGGTCCTTAGGTGGGAAGGCTGGGGTGGTGCAGGGGCCTTGGGCTCCCAGGACAGGTGAACAGGGAGGGACCTCCCCACACCTACTCCAAAGAACAGCTGGACGGAGCTGAGAGGAGACCCTAGCATCTCCATGTCCATCCCCCAGACCTCCCCTGAGACGCTGTGCCAATGTGGGTCTCCTCTCGGCTCTGGGATTTGAACAGTCCAGCAATAGCAATCCAGAATTGGGGTTTTGGGGGGCTGGGGGATGGGTCTGACCCCACCTAGAGCTTTTAACCAAACAACATTGCAGACCACCAGAGTCCTTGGACTCCCCCTGGGTCTCCCTCCGAGTCACTCTGCAGCTTGGCCCGACCACAAACAGGACAGAGCCAGGCTGTTGTCTTGACACTGAAGCAGCTGGTGTGGGCTGGAACTGGCCCAGCATTGACCTGGGCCGGGCTGGTTCTCTCCGGGCCACCTTCTCCCCACCAGGCACTGCAGCAGACGGAGCTGTACTGCCGGGCCCGGGGGCTGCCCTTCCCCCGGGTGGAACCCAGCCCTCAGGACCAGCACCAGCCAAGGGAATGCCACCTCTTCTCAGACCCCGCCTGCCCCGAGGCCCCGATCCTGCTGCACTTCCCGCTGGTCAATGCCTCCTTCAAGGACCACTCAGCCCCCGGTGAGGCAGCCCCTCCCAAGCACCCAGGCTGCCTGGCCCCTCAGAGGCCTGCCCTGGGCCCCCCGGCTGCCCAGCAGAGGGAAGGGAAATGAGTCTGCCAGGAGAAGGCTTCAGGCTAGGCCCATCCAGGCCCACTCAGGCCTTGGAGCCCACCCTGGCCTCCTTGCTGATGCCCACATCCCTGCAGGCCCTCTGTTTGCAGGGTCGCTATGCAGGGGTCCCCTTTGTCATGATGCCGGGCTCCTGCAGCCTTCCACTTGCCCTAGTACCCCCAGCTGCCCAGGGCTCCTCTGCTCTCCTGCTCTGTGGGGGACTCACTTGGCCTCTCCACCATCCTTCCCCAGCCCAGGCTGGGCCCCTTCTCAGGGAGCTGGGCCTCTCCTCAGGGGCTCCCGAAATTTAAACCCCCATCACATTCCTTCCTATCTTCTCTTCTCACCAACTGGTCAGAATTTTATTTCCTTCTGGTGGGAAAAACTCATTGCTGCCTTTGTGCGATATTCCCAGCTTTCCAGTTCCTACCATCATTCTAGATCTCCCAGCTTTCCTCTGAACATGCTCAGCCCACATCTGAGAATTCTAAAGAACCTTCATCTCTCAGCAAGTTCTCGCTGCCCCCTTGCTTCCACCGTGAGTTCTAAGAATCCATTCGCAAACCCAGTTGACTTCCCCCTTCTGGCTGTTTCCACCTTGCCTCGAAGCGATGTAGAGACATGTGGGGCTGCCTGAATAGCCTAAGGGGTGTCACGCCACAAGGCAATGAAATATGAAATTGTATTTTCTACCACCAAATAGTACCCATCCAAAGAGCACCCTGCCACCCACATTTACATTCCTGGGCAAAGGACACAGAGAGCTGGGAGGAAAGCAGGGGCCCCTCCAGCGGGGGCAGCCCTCCCTGTGCGCCGCTGCCAGGCTGTAGAAGCCCCGGCGTCCTGCTCCTGACACCCCTCCTACCCCTGGGCAGGTGTCCAGCGCAGCCCCGCAGAGCTCCAGGGTGGCCAAGTGGATCTCACCGGGGCCACCTGCCCCTACACCCTGTCCAACATGACCTACAAGGAGGAAGACTTCGAGCGCCTGCTGCGGCTCAGTGACTACAACGTGCAGACCAGCCAGGGTGCCATCCTGCAGGCCCTGAGGACCGCGCTGAAGCACCGGACTCTAGAGGCGAGGCCTCCAAGGGCACAGACCTGAGGTTGCTCAGAGGCTGCAGGACCCTCCAGGGCCTGCGGGCATAACCTGATCTGTAGCTGGGCTCAGCCACAGGCCTTCCTGGTTGGAGTTCTGGGCTCTCCCAGGCCTGGGTGGCCTCTGTAGCTGGTCTCACTGCCCAGAGGGAACTGCACACACAGACTTCTCTCTTACGTTCATGGCTGGCTTGAGATGAGTTGAAAATAACTTCGCCAGGCCAGTGTGTAGAACAGCTGGTCCAACCAGACAGACTTTCACACCACAATTACTTCCATGCCTGAGCAGGATAGATTTGAAGTGCAAGCCGGAGGCAGCAGATCAGGAGTAGGGACAGGAAGGACAGGGGATGCCTGACCTGACAGGTGGCTTCAGGCCTCGGGAATCACAAGACATCCTGAACACATTGCCTCCTCATCTTCTTCCTGCTCCTCCACCTCCTCCTCTCCTTGTCCTTCTCCTCTTTGTCCTCCTGCTTTCCGTATCCAAGTCTTGTACTTGTTTAAATTTATTCCTAAATATTTTATTCTTTTTGATAAGTGGAGTTACTTTCTTAATTTCATTTAGATTATTCATTGCTATTTTATAGAAATACAATGGATTTTTAAATGTTGATCTTGTATTCCGCAATCTTGCTGAAGTTGTTTACCGGCTCTAATACTTTTGCGGATTTCTTAGAATTTTCTGTAGACAGATCATGCCATCTCCAAATAGAGATGGTTTTACTTCTTCCTGTCTGATCTGAATGCCTTTTATTTATTTTTCCCAATTGCCCTGAGCAGTACAATGATGAACACACGTTTCAAGAGCAGACATCTTGTCTTGTTCCTGACTCTGACAAGAAAGCATAAGTCTCTCACCATTTAGTGTGATTTTAGCTGTGGGTTTTTCTTGGACATCCTTATCAGGTTGAGAAAGTTCTCTTTTATTTCTAGTTTATTGAGTGTTTTATGATGAAACGGTGTTAGGTTTTGTCAAGTGATTTTTCTGTGTCTATGGGCATGATCATGTGGTTTTGTCGTGTATTTTATTAATGTACTCTATTGCATTAATTGGTTTTTGGATATTAAACCAACTTTGCATTCCTGGGGCAGTTTCCATTTGATTATGGTATATAAACCTTTTTGTTTATTGCTGGCACATTTCTTTTTCTTTTTCTTTCTTTTTTTTTTTTTTTGAGACAGAATCTCATCACACTCTGTCACCCAGGCCAAGTTCAATGGTGCAATCTGGCTCACTGCATCCTCAACTTCCTGGGCTCAAGTGATCCTTCCACTTCAGCCTCCCAAGTAGCTGGGACTACAGGCATGTAACACCATACTTGGCTAAATTAAAAAAATGGTTTTTTGTAGAGATGAGGTCTCACCATGTTGCCCAGGCTGGTCTTGAACTCCTGAACTCAAGCAATCCTCCTGCCTCAGCCTCCCAAAGTGCTGGGATTACTGGTGTGAGCCACCACGGCCAGCTGCTAGCACATTTCTTACCTCCCTCATGCAAGGGTGCGTGTACACATACACACACACACACACCTGGCCCCAGGTGGGGGTTGTAGTGAGAGCTTCGGGACAGACCTTGGCTCAGGGACTGCCCTCATCTGATGTCCTCTCTCAGCTTCCTTCCCTGTGCCTCTTCTGCATTTGGCTTTATTTTGATTCTTCACTTTTTCCCTTTATCATGGACTCTTATTTTTTTAACAGTGATATGGGAATTGACTAGCTGTTGTGTTTTATTTTATGCTGGGCATTTTACATTATTCCCCTTAATTCTCACATTTGCCTAATGTGTTAGGTAGAATTACCGTCTCCTTGTTATCAGTGATGAAACTCAGGGTTGGGAAAGGAACAGAACAAAGCATCCTGTGACTCGTCTGCAGGTCCCTGGTGTCCGCCTGATGCACACAAACTTCACAGAGCACCTGTGTCAGGCAGGGTCACCGCGCCCCCGTGACGCAGCAGGACAGAATCAAGGCCACTCCATAAATATGCCTGAGCATGGACAAAAAATGAGGGCACTGTGAAACCATAAAAATGGCCAAACAGTGCCCTCTCCTGTTTCACGTGAGAGACTGCGGTTTCTCTACCAGGCTTTTCGTCCCTCCCGTTCTTCCACCTCCTGGATAAAAATTGTGAAGATCCTCAATTATAGACTCGCCCCACTCCCTGACAGCACCCAATCCACAGCAACACTTTGCTTCCTTGAACATTTCGTAATGTCACCCTACAAACGCCCAAATCCTTCAATAAGCACCCCCCCACCACACACACACACACACACACACACACACACACTTACTGAGACTGCACTGCCTCCTAGTATACAGTCTTCTTAGTGCAATGGGTACCAGTTAACTCAAATTTGTTTGGCTACTGGGCTGTTCCTGCTGGCCTCTGGCTGGTAGGCGTCCACAGGGATTAAGTAACTTGCTAACCTCAAAGGTGGCAAATCCAGGACTGGAGCTTCTGACAGCCACACCTCTCTGTGTCTTTGGGCACTGACTTTGTAACGTGCCCTATTCGTAGTTTAGAATTAACCTCACCAAAGAGAGGTCCAGTCTCTGCCCGTGGCTAGTGGGAGGTGACCTCTGGGTCCTGGAATGTCCTGTCTGACAGGAGTGTCTTTGTTTGCTGGGGGGCTTTGGAGACTAAAGGTCGGTCACACAGGCAGCATCTGATCAAGCCTCAGTAAAGTCTCTGGGCACCAAAGTCTCAGGTAGACTTTCCTGGTGGACAACACCCTGTGCGTATCCTCACACATTGCGGCCCAGAGGAGGCAATGCTGTCCAGAACCCCAAAGAGAGAGGACACCTCCCTGGAAGCTTGCAACTGGACCCCTCCCAGATTCTGCCCTAAGCCTCTCTTCCTTTGGCTGGTTTTAATTTGTATCTTTTCATGATCATAAAACTGTAATCATAAGGTTAGTGCTTTCCTGAGTTCTGTGAGTCACCCTAGAAAATTACTGAAGCTGAGGGTGGTTGTAAGCACCCCCAAATTTGCAGCCAGCTGGTCTGAAGTGAAGGTGGCCCTGGGGACTCTGAACTTGCGGCTGGTGGCTGAAGTTGGGGCAGTCTTGTGGGGACTGTTCCCTCGGACTGGACAGTTTGGTGACCTCTGCTGCAGAGGTCAGGCGTCCCAGAAGATGTGGTGGTCTGGAGGACTGTGCTCCCAACCTCAGGGTTTGGCCAACTGCCGGCACGGATGCTCTGGAGAGTGAGCCGGCATGGTAGAAAAAAAAAAAGACCCTTTCCATTTGGCGAACTTTCAATAAAGCCAGCCAGACAGCCAAGGAGAGTGGGCTGGGCTGAGGCTCAAAGCCACACCTGGCATGTGAGTGTGGATGTTTATCTGTCTCATATACCCGCCCCCCACTAGCTGCTGTCACCCCAGCCCCTGACTACCCAAACACCCGGAGGCCCTCTCAGCCCCACCCTGACCCGGGTGAGGACCGTGACTCCAGCAGCTGTCAGGCCCCCACACAAAGGCATCTATGTAAATCACACAGTGCTCTTCCTGCAGCCTGTGGGCCCTTCCTGGGGCCAGCTCAGAGACAGGAAGACAGCAGGCTGTCTGTCACCAGTCCCAGGACAAGGCTGGCGCTCTGCCCTCTGCTCACCACAGGCTGTGGCCGGGGGAAAGGCGAGCAAGATGAACTGAGAGATGCTCCCTTTTCCTCATCAAGTTGGATTTATCTCCACTATGCAAGAATGCTTTTATATTAGAAAATTTACAATTTTTAAAAACAATGTATAAACAAATGAGAACAACAATATAAAAGTAATTGCTTGATAAAATTCAACACAAACTCGGAAGTTATGAACAGCTCTTAATAAATTAGGGCATCTGCATAACCTGATGTAGGGTAACTGTACTGGTTCATTTTATGTGTCAAATTGGCTGCGCTACAGTGCCCAGAGATTTGGTTTAAAAGTATTCTAGGTGTTTCTGTGAAGGGAGGTGAGCGTTTAAATTGCT